>NC_000001.11:46826562-47129592 GCF_000001405.40 Homo sapiens
GGTAGCATGATGCCTCCAGCTTTATTCTTTTGGCTTAGGATTGTCTTGGCAATGTGGGCTCTTTTTTGGTTCCATATGAACTTTAGAGTAGTTTTTTCCAATTCTGTGAAGAAAGTCATTGGTAGCTTGATGGGGACGGCATTGAATCTATAAATTACCTTGGACAGTATGGCCATTTTCACAATATTGATTCTTCCTATCCATGAGCATGGAATGTTCTTCTATTTGTTTGTGTCCTCTTTTATTTCATTGAGCAGTGGTTTGTAGTTCTCCTTGAAGAGGTCCCTTACATCCCTTGTCAGTTGGATTCCTAGATATTTTATTATCTTTGAAGCAATTTTGAATGGGAGTTCACTCATGATTTGGCTCTCTGTTTGTCTGTTATTGGTGTATAGGAATGCTTGTGATTTTTGCACATTGATTTTGTAACCGGAGACTTTGCTGAAGTTGCTTATCAGCTTAAGGAGATTATAGGTTGAGAAGATGGGGTTTTCTAAATGTACTATCAATCATGTCATCTGCAAACACGGACAATTTGACTTCCTCTTTTCCTAGTTGACTACACTTTATTTCTTTCTCCTGCCTGATTGCCCTGGTCAGAACTTTCAACACTATGTTGAATAGGAGTGGTGAGAGAGGGCATCCCTGTCTTGTGCCAGTTTTCAAAGGGAATGCTTCCAGTTTTTGCCCATTCAGTATGGTATTGGCTGTGGGTTTGTCATAAATAGCTCTTATTATTTTGAGATACATCCCATCAATATCTAGTTTATTGAGAGTTTTTAGCATGAAGGGCTGTTGAATTTTGTTGAAGGCCTTTTCTGCATCTATCGAGATA
Organism: Homo sapiens; assembly: GCF_000001405.40. Lineage (NCBI taxonomy): Eukaryota > Metazoa > Chordata > Mammalia > Primates > Hominidae > Homo > Homo sapiens. Next base: position 46,827,398 of record NC_000001.11, read on the forward strand.
ATCATGTGGTTTTTGTCTTTGGTTCTGTTTATATGATGGCTTATGTTTATTGATTGCATATGTTGAACCAGCCTTGCATCCCACGGATGAAGCCAACTTGATAGTGTTGGGTAAGCTTTTTGATGTACTGCTGGATTCATTTTGCCAGTAGTTTATTGAGGATTTTTGCATCGATGTTCATCAGGGATATTGCTCTAAAATTCTCTTTTTTTGTGTGTGTGTGTGTCTCTGCCAGATTTTGGTATCAGGATGATGCTGGCCTCGTAAAATGAGTTAGGGAGGATTCCCTCTTTTTCTATTGATTGGAATAGTTTCAGAAGGAATGGTACCAGCTCCTCTTTGTACCTCTGGTAGAATTCAGCTGTGAATCCATCTGGTCCTGGACTTTTTTTGGTTGGTAGGCTATTAATTATCACCTCAATTTCAGAGCCTGTTATTGGTGTATTCAGGGATTCAACTTCTTCCAGGTTTAGTCTTGGGAGGGTGTACGTGTCCAGGAATTTATCAATTTCTTCTAGATTTTCTAGTTTATTTTCATAGAGGTGTTTATAGTATTCTCTGATGGTAGTTTGTATTTCTGTGGGATTGGCGGTGATATCCCCTTTATCATTTTTTATTGCATCTATTTGATTCTTCTCTCTTTTCTTCTTTATTAGTCTTGCTATTGGTCTATCAATTTTGTTGATCTTTTCAAAAAACAAGCTCCTGGATTCATTGATTTTTTGAAGGGTTTTTTGTGTCTCTATCTTCTTCAGTTCTGCTCTGATCTTAGTTATTTCTTGCCTTCTGATAGCTTTTGAATTTGTTTGCTCTTGCTTCTGTAGCTCTTTTAATTGTGATTTTAGGGTGTTGATTTTAGATCTTTCCTGCTTTCCCTTATGGGCATTTAGTGCTATAAATTTCCCTCTACACACTGCTTTAAATGTGTCCCAGAGATTCTGGTATGTTGTGTCTTTGTTCTCATTTGTTTCAAAGAACATCTTTATTTCTGCCTTCATTTTGTTAGGTACCCAGTAGTCATTCAGGAGCAAGTTGTTCAGTTTCCATGTAGTTGAGTGGTTTTGAGTGAGTTTCTTAATCCTGAGTTCTGATTTGATTGTACTGTGGTCTGAGAGACAGTTTGTTATAGTTTCTGTTCTCTTACATTTGCTGAGGAGTGCTTTACTTCCAACTATGTGGTCAATTTTGGAATAAGTGTGATGTGGTGCTGAGAAGAATGTATATTCTGTTGATTTGGGGTGGCGAGTTCTGTAGATATCTATTAGGTCCGCTTGGTGCAGAGCTGAGTTCAATTCCTGGATATCCTTGTTAACTTTCTGTCTCATTGATCTGTCTAATGTTGACAGTGGCGTGTTAAAGTCTCCCATTATTATTGTGTGGGAGTATAAGTCTCTTTGTAGGTCTCTAAGGACTTGCTTTATGAATCTGGGTGCTCCTGTATTGGGTGCATATATATTTAGGATAGTTAGCTCTTCTTGTTGAATTGATCCCTTTACCATTATGTAATGGCTTTCTTTGTCTCTTCCGATCTTTGTTGGTTTAAAGTCTGTTTTACCAGAGACTAGGATTGCAACCCCTGCTTTTTTTTGTTTTCCATTTGTTTGGTAGATCTTCCTCCATCCCTTTATTTTGAGCCTATGTATGGCTCTGCACGTCAGATGGGTCTCCTGAATAGAGCACACTGATGGGTCTTGACTCTTTACCCAATTTGCCAGTCTGTGTCTTTTAATTGGGGCATTTAGCCCATTTACATATAAGGTTAATATTGTTATGTATGAATTTGATCATGTCATTATGAAGTTAGCTGGTTATTTTGCCCGTTAATTGATGCAGTTTCTTCATAGCATCCATGGTCTTTACAATTTGGCTTGTTTTTGCAGTGGTTGGTACCAGTTGTTCCTTTCCATGTTTAGTGCTTCCTTCAGGAGCTCTTGTAAGGCAGGCCTGGTGTTGACAAAATCTCTCAGCCTTTGCTTGTCTGTAAAGGATTTTATTTCCCCTTCACTTATGAAGCTGAGTTTGGCTGGATGTGAAATTCTGGGTTGAAAATTCTTTTCTTTAAGAATGCTGAATATTGGCCCCCACTCTCTTCTGGCTTGTAGGGTTTCTGCCGAGAGATCCACGGTTAGTCTGATGGGCTTCCCTTTGTGGGTAACCTGACCTTTCTCTCTGGCTGCCCTTAACATTCTTTCCCTCATTTCAACCTTGGTGAATCTGACAATTGTGTGTCTTGGAGTTGCTCTTCTCGAGGAGTATCTGTGTGGTGTTCTCTGTATTTTCTGAATTTGAATGTTGGCCTGCCTTGCTAGGTTGGGGAAGTTCTGGATAATATCCTGAAGAGTGTTTTCCATCTTGGTTCCATTCTCCCCATCACTTTCAGGTACACCAATCAAATGTATATTTGGTCTTTTCACATAGTCCCATATTTCTTATAGGCTTTGTTCATTTCTTTTTACTCTTTTTTCTCTAAACTTGTCCTCTCACTTTATTTCATGAATTTGATCTTCAATCACTGATACCCTTTCTTCCGCTTGATCAAGTTGGCTATTGAAGCTTGCGCATGTGTCATGAAGTTCTCGTGCCATAGTTTTCAGCTCCATCAGGTCATTTAAAGTCTTCTCTACACTGTTTATTCTACTTAGCCATTCATCTAACCTTTTTTTTCAAGGTTTTTAGCTTCCTTACAATGGGTTAGAACATGCTCCTTTAGCTCGGAGAAGTTTGTTATTACCGACCTTCTGGAGCTTACTTCTATCAACTCGTCAAAGTCATTCTCTGTCCAGCTTTGTTCCATTGCTGGCGAGGAGCTGCAGTCCTTTGGAGGAGAAGAGGCACTCTGGTTTTTAGAATTTTCAGCTTTTCTGCTCTGATTTCTCCCCATCTTTGTGGTTTTATCTACCTTTGGTCTTCGATGTTGGTAACCACAGATGCAGTTTTGGTGGGGATGCCCTTTCTGTTGATGTTGATGCTATTCCTTTCTGTTTGTTAGTTTTCTTTCTAACAGTCAGGTCCCTCAGCTGCAGGTCTATTGGAGTTTGCTGGAGGTATACTCTAGACCTTGTTTGCCTGGGTATCACCAGCGGAGGCTGCAGAACAGCAAATATTGCAGAACAGCAAATATTTCTGCCTGATCCTTCCTCTGGGAGTTTTGTCCCAGAGGGGCACCCACCTGTATGAGGTGTCTGTTGGCCTCTACTGGGAGGTGTCTCCCAGTTAGGCTACATGGGGGTCAGGGACCCACTTGTGGAGGTAGTCTGTCTGTTCTCAGAGCCCAAGTGCCATGCTGGGAGAACCACTGCTCTCTTCAGAGCTGTCAGACAGGGACGTTTATGTCTGCAGAAGTTTCTGCTGCATTTTGTTCAGCTATGCCCTGCCCACAGAGCTGGAGTCTACAGAGGCAGTAGGCCTTGCTGAGCTGCTGTGTGCTCCGCCCAGTTTGAGCTTCCTGGCTGCTTTGTTTACCTACTCAAGCCACAGCAATGGCAGACGTCCCTTCCCCTGCCAGGCTGCTGCCTTGCAGGATGATCTCAGACTCCTGTGCTAGCAATGAGTAAGGCTCCGTGGGCATAGGACCTGCTGAGCCAGGCACAGGAGAGAACCTCCTGGTCTGCCAGTTGCTAAGACCATTGGAAAAGTTCAGTATTTGGGCAGCAGTGTCCCGTTTTTCCACGTACAGTCTGTCATGGCTTCCATTGGCTAGGAAAGGGAAATCCCCCGACCCCTTCTGCTTCCTGGGTGAAGGGATGCCCCGCCCTGCTTTGGCTCACTGTCCATGGGCTGCACCCACTGTCTGACCAGACCCAACGAGATGAATGAGGTACCTCAGTTGAAAATGCAGAAATCACCCGTCTTCTGCATCAATCACACTTGGAGCTGCAGACTGGAGCTGCTCCTATTCAGCCATCTTGGAATGGAATAAGCCAGTCTAATTTGTGGAATGTGCAGGGTTTGAACATCCCAATCCTGCTGAGTGAATGCTTTACTTCACAACTTTCTTCTCTCCTGAAACCCTCTTGACTCATTTATTAGTTTTTGTAGCTTCTTTTTTTTTTTTGGAGCCCTTAGGATTTTAAAATAAACTTTATTTTTAGAATAGTTTTGTTTATTTACCTTTTCTTGAGACAGGGTCTCACTCTGTTGCCCACGCTGGAGTGTAGTGGCGCAATCATGGCCCACTGCAGCCTCGACCTCCTGGGCTCAAGCAATCCTTCCACATCAGTCTCCTGAGTACCTGGAACTACAGGCGTGTGCCACCATACCCAGCTAATTTTTTGTAGAGACCGGGTTTTACCATGTTGCCCAGGCTGGTCTCCAACTCCTAGGCTCAAGCAATCCACCTGCCTTAGCCTCCCAAAGTGCTGGGATTAAAAGTGTGAGCCATGACACCCAGCCACCAACAGTTTTAGATACATAGAAAAATTGAGAGGATAGTACAGAGTTCTAATACACCCTGCATCTAGTTTTCCTGTTATTGATGTCTTATATTAATATGGTACATTTGTTACAATTTATGAACCAGTATTGATACTTTATTCACTAAAGTGTGTAGTTTTTTCAGATTTCCTTAGCTTTTACTTAATGTCGTTTTCTGCTCTAAGATCCCACTCAGTATATCATGTTACATTTAGTTGTCTTCTAATCTCCTTAGGCTCCTCTTGGCTGTGGCAGTTTCTCAGACTTCCCTTGTTGTTGATGGCTTTGACGGTTTTGAGTGGTGCTGGTCAGGTATTTCGTAGGATGCCCACTATTGCAATTTGGTGTTTTTTTCTCATTAGACTAGGGTTATGGGTTACTGGGAGGATGACTACACAGATATCAGGCATACTTACTATCAGTGTGACTTATGGTTGTTAATGTTCACCTTGATTGCCTGGCTGAGGTATTCTTTTTCAGGTTTTTCCACTGTAAAGTTACTCTGCTTCCCTCTTTTCTTTTTCTTGTTTTTCTTTTTAGACAGAGCCTTGCTCTGTCTCCAGGCTTGAGTGCAGTGGTGTGATCTCAGCTCACTGCAACCTCCCTGTCTTGGGTTCAAGCGATTCTCCCACCTCAGCCTCCTGAGTAGCTGGGACTACAGGTGTGCGCCACCATGCCTGGCTTATTTTTGTATTTTTAGTAGAGATGGGGTTTCACCATGTTGGCCAGGATGGTCTTAATCTCTTGACCTCTTGATCAGCCCACCTCAGCCTCTCCAAGTGCTGGGATTACAGGTATGAGCCACCACTCCTGGTCCCCTCTTTTCATATTGCATTTTTTTGCAAGGAAGTCACTATGCACAAGCCACACCTAAAGTGGGGGAGTTATATACTTGTTTCCTTGAGGGCAGAGTACCTACACAAATTATTTGGAATTCTACTGCATGGAGGAATCTGTTCCTTTCCCTCCTTTTATTAATATATTTGATCATTTACTTATATTCATATGGGTTCATGGATATTTACTTTATACTTTGCGTTATAGTCCAGTACTGCCTTATTTATTTTATTCAAATTGTTCTGACTTTGGCTGTTGGGAGATCTTTGGTTGACTCCTGTGCTTCTTTGATCTGCATCCATCAGTGTGGTGAGTTTTGTCCATTTTGTTTTGCTTTTTAGCCATTACTTTCTGGCACTACGAAATACTCCAAGTTCATTCTGTATATTTCCTGACCCAGTCTTGGATCAGCCTTTTCTCCAGGGAGCCTTGCTTTCTTTTATTGGAGAAGGGTATTAGAAACCAAGATCTGAGTGTTAGGTGTGGTCCTTACTGCTGGGGTGTACTTTCTTTTAGCCTGTCTTAGCTGACAGAGCAAAGAAACATAGGTATGTGCACTAACCTGAACATATATACATATCTATAAATGTCTCTATATGTAAAACTATCTGTGTCTATATGAAACACAAATTCATACTATGTTTCCACTTCTAATCCGTGATTACATGGATCACTCTATAGCTTCCTCCCCTGCTTGTCTATAAATTACCACTCTAACAGTGAGAAATCTGGCTCCTACCATTTGCCATCCACTTATTTAATTGTTTAATTTCAATGTATATGTGTAGCCATATCAGATTTGTTAACCCATGCCCCCATGAAAAAAAGCTTTACCTACTAGTATACAGTGGTATACACAACTCCTTTTGCCTTTAGTCTTACAGATTCCACTCATTTCCAAAGGTAGTTAGGTCAGCTCTTTCTCCCCCACCTCCTTCAGTGAGGTTGGTTCATACCCTTATGATTTAAAAAAAATGTTTAGTTCTGGTAAAAACTACATAACAAAAAATTTACATTTTAACTTTTTGTTTTTTTTTTTTTTTTTGAGACGGAGTCTCACTCTGTCTCCAGGCTGGAATGCAGTGGTGTGATCTTGGCCCACTGCAACCTCCGCCTCCCAGGTTCAAGCGATTCTCCTGCCTCAGCCTCCCAAGTAGCTGGGACTACAGTAAGTGCCACCATACCCGGCTAAATTTTTTTTTCTATTTTTAGTAGAGACAGGGTTTCACCATGTTGGCCAGGATGGTCTCGATCTCCTGACCTCATGATCTGCCTGCCTTGGCCTCCCAAAGTTCTGGGATTGCAGGTGTGAGCCATTGCACCTGGCCCATCTTAACTATTTTTAAGTGTACAAGTCAGTAGTGTTAAATGAATTTCCATTGTTGAGTGACAGGATCTCCAGAACTTTTTCACCTTGCAAAACTGAAACTCTATTCCCATTAACCACTCCTCATTTCCTTCTTCCCCAGGCTGCGGGCAACCACCTTTCTACTTTCTGTTTCTATGAATTTGGTTACTTTAGATATTTCATATAAGTGAATTCATACTGTATTTGTCTTTTTGTGACTGGTTTATTTCACTTAGCATAGTGCCCTCAGGATTCATCCATGTTGCAGCATGTAACAGGATTTCCTTCATTTTAAAGACTGAATAACATTCCATTGTATGCATATGCCACATTTTGTTTATTCATTCATCTGTCAGTGGATATTCGGGTTACTTCCACCTCTTAGATATTGTGAATGATGCTGCCATGAACATGGGTGTGCAAATAACTTTTTGAGATCATGCTTTCAACTCTTCTGTTTATTTATTTGTTTATTTTAGAGGCAGGATCTTGCTTTGTCACCTAGGCTGCCGTGCAGTGGCACCATCATAGCTCACCGTAACATCTAACTCTTGAGCTCAAGTTATCCTCCCGAGTAGCTTCCTGAGTAGCGGGAACTGCAGGCACTTACCACTATGCTCAGCTAAATCTTTTTTCTTTTTTTTTGTGGAGATAGGCTCTTGCTATGTTGCCCAGGCTGGGTTTGAATTCCTGGCCTCAAGCAATCGTCCCTTCTGCCTTCCAAAGTGGTGGGATTACAGATGTGAGCCACCATGCCCCATCAATTCTTTTGGACACATACGTGGAAATGGGATTGCTGGATGATAATGGCAGTGCTATTTTTACTTTTTTGAGGAATTGCCATACTGTTTTCTATAGTGGCTGCAGCATTTTACATTCCCATCAACAGTGCACAAGGGTTTCAATTTCTCCAGCACTTCTTATTCTGCCAGCACTTCTTATTCTGTTTTGTTTGTTTGTTTGTTTTGTTTTGTTTTGTTTTTCGAAAGGGAGTCTCACTCTGTCACCCAGGCTGGAGTGCAGTGGCGCGATCTTGGGTCACTGCAACCTCCACCTCCAAGGTTCAAACAATTCTTCTGCCTCAGCCTCCTGAGCAGCTGTGATTACAGGCACATGCTACCATGACTGGCTAATTTTTGTATTTTTAGTAGAGATGGGGTTTTGCCATGTTGGCCAGCCTGGTCTTGAAATCCTGACTTCAGGTGATCTGCCCACCTTGGCCTCCCAAAGTGCTGGGATTACAGGCGTGAGCCACCTCACCTGGCCTATGTTTTTTTTTTTTTCTTAATTAGTAGCCATTCTAATGGGTGTCAGATACTTTCAGAATTTTTAAATGAATATTTTCAATGTGAAAAAGATAGAGCTACATTTTTCTTCTTTATATCTTTATCAGTCTGTTCTTACATTGCTGTAAAGGAATACCTGAGACGGGGCAATTTATAAGAAAAGAGGTTTAATTGGCTCTTGGTTCTGCAGGCTGTAAAAGCCTGGCACCAGCATCTGCTTGGCTTCTAGGGAGGCCTCAGGAAACTTACAATCATGACGGAAGGCAAATGGCGAGCAGGCACATCACATGGTGAAAGCAGGAGCACGAAAGAAAGAGTCGGGTGTGGGGAGGCACTACACACTTTTAAAAGACCAAATCTCACTGTCTTGAGAGCAGCACCAAGTAGATGGCGCTAAACCATTCATGAGAAATCCACCCCCGTGATCCAGTCACCTCCTGTTAGGCCCCACCTCCATCACAGGGAATCACAATTCAACATAAGATTTGGTTTTGATTTGCATTTCTCTGATGGCCAGTGATGATGAGCATTTTGTCATGTGTCTTTTGGCTGCATAAATGTCTTTTGAGAAGTGTCTGTTCATATCCTTTGCCCACTTTTTGATGGGGTTGTTTGTTTTTTTCTTGTAAATTTGTTTGAGTTCATTGTAGATTCTGGATATTAGCCCTTTGTCAGATGAGTAGATTGCAAAAATTTTCTCCCATTCTGTAGGTGGCCTGTTCACTCTGATGGTAGTTTCTTTTGTTGTGCAGAAGAAGTTTAGTTTAATTAGATCCCAAATGCAAATCAAAACCACAATGAGATACCATCTCACACCAGTTAGAATGGCAATCATTAAAAAGTCAGGAAACAACAGGTGCTGGAAAGGATGCGGAGAAATAGGAACACTTTTACACTGTTGGTGGGACTGTAAACTAGTTCAACCATTGTGTAAGTCAGTGTGGCGATTCCTCGGGGATCTAGAACTAGAAATACCATTTGACCCAGCCATCCCATTACTGGGTATATACCCAAAGGATTATAAATCATGCTGCTATAAAGACATATGCACACGTATGTTTATTGCAGCACTATTCACAATAGCAAAGACTTGGAACCAACCCAAATGTCCAACAATGATAGACTGGATTAAGAAAATGTGGCACATATACACCATGGAATACTATGCAGCCATAAAAAATGATGAGTTCATGTCCTTTGTAGGGACATGGATGAAGCTGGAAACCATCATTCTCAGCAAACTATTGCAAGGACAAAAAACCAAACACCACATGTTCTCACTCATAGGTGGGAATTGAACAATGAGAACACATGGACACAGGAAGGGGAACATCACACACCGGGGCCTGTTGTGGGGTGGGGCGAGTGGGGAGGGATAGCATTAGGAGATATACCTAATGTTAAATGATGAGTTAATGGGTGCAGCACACCAACATGGCTCATGTATACATATGTAACTAACCTGCATGTTGTGCACATGTACCCTAAAACTTAAAGTATAATAATAATAATAATAAAAAGAAATTAAAAGGCAAGAAAGCTCTTAAAAAAAAAGATTTGGGTGAGGACAAATATACAAACTATATAAATGTCATATATATTTTATTACGTTTTCTTGCCTTTCTTGCAATAGCTATAACCTCCAATGCAACATTGAATATTAAAAGAAGGGACGAAAGAAGATATCTTATTCCCAATCTTAGGGAAGAAGCATCCCGTCTACCTCATTACGTAGAATGCAAGCTGTGGGTCTATTAAAATGGATGTCCTGTATGAGGTTAAGGAAATTGTCTCTTATTATTACTTTGCTGAGAGTTTTTAAGAGTAATATGTGTTAAATTCTGTCAAATGCTTTTCTGCATCTATTGACATAAACGTATGGTTTTTTTTTTCAATACTCAATGATTTTTTAAGTGCTAAATCTAGCTTGCTTCTTGGATGAACCCCACTTGGTCATGGTGTATTACCCCTTTTATATATTATTGAAACTTATTTGATAATATTGTGGTAAGAATTTTATGTCTGTGTTCACGAACAAAATTGGTCTGTAGTTATTTTTCTTTATAACGTATTTTTCTTGTTTTGATATTAGAGTAATACTGGCCTCATAAAATGAGTAAGTCAAGTTCTCTGCCTCTATTTTCTTAAAGAGTTTGAAAGGATTGGTATTATTTCTTTCTTAAATATTTGATAGAATTTACCAGTAAAGCCATTGGAACCTGGTGTTTGCTCTGTGGGAGTTTTTAAATTATGAATTCTTTTTTAGTAGACAAAGAGCTATTCAAATATTTTATTTATTCTGATGCAATTTGGTAATTTGTATTGTTGAATTTATTGGCATATGGTTGTTTGTAACATTTCCTTATTATTCTTTTTTTTGAGACAGGGTCTCATTCTGTCACCCAGGCTGGAGTGCAGTGGCGTGATCTCAGCTTACTATAGCCTCTACCACCTGGGCTCAAGCCATCCTCCCACTTCAGCCTCCCAAGTAGCTGGGACCACAAGCATGCAGCACCATGCCTGGTTAATTTTTGTATGTTTTGTAGAGATTGTGTTTCCCTGTGTTGCCCAGGCTGGTTTTGAAATCCTGAGCTCAAGCAATCCTCCCACCTCAGCCTCCCAAAGTGCTGGGTTACAGGTGCCTTATTATTCTTTTAACATCTATATGATCTATAGCGATGTTCTCTGTTTAAGTCCTGACACTGGTAGTTTGTTTCCTTGCTAATTTTTTCTTGACAAGTCTAGCTAGAGATTTAACAATTTTATTGATCTTTCAAAGAATCAGTTTTTGGTTTCATTGTTTCTCTCCATTATTTGTCACCAATTTCACTGATTTCTGCTAATGTCTTTATTATTTCTTTCTTTCTATTGGCTTTGGGTTTAATTGGTCCTTTTCCCCTTCTAAGTTTCTAAGATGACAGCTTGGATCTTTGATTTTTAGATCTTTCTTCTTTTTTATGTATAAGCCTATAAGGCTTTAAAGCATTGCTTTAGGTGCCTCTTACAATTTTTCACGTTTTGTGTTTTCATTTTTATTCTGTTCAAAATATTTTCTACATTTTTCATGCTTTCTTCTTTGACCCATGTGGTTTAGAAGTGAGTTTTTAAAACTTTCAAATATTTTAAGCTTTTCCAGATATCTTGTTTTTGTTGCTTTTTAATATTTTTCTGAACTTCTCAGATAGCAGTTAAAAATTTCAACCCTTTGAAATCTGGATTTTTTAAAGATCAGCATATTTTGATCAATGTTCCATGTGCATTTGAAAAGAATGTGTATTCTACAGTTGTGTTTAATGTTCTATAAACGTCAATTAGACTAAGGTGATTGGTAGTGTTATTCAGATGTTCAGTATTCTTACTATATTTTTGTTAGTTGTATATCGATTTCCAAAAGACATGTGCTAAATTCTCCATCTATGATTTTGAATTTGTGTATTTATTTCCTTGTTTCTGAAAGTTTTGCTGCATGTAATTTGATGCTCATGAAGCACATAATCTACCCGATGCATTGATCCTCTGTTATCATGAAGTGTTCCTCCTTGTCTCTGATAATATTCTTTATCAGTAGTTAATTTTGTCTGATAATAGTATAGCTACTCCATATTTCTTTTGCTCACTGTTTGCATGACAAATCTTTCTCTATTGTTTTTATTTTAAAGCTATTTTTGTCTTTCTATTTGAAGTTCATCTCTTGAGTATAACACATAGGCTGTCAGTCCCTGCTTTTTAAAAAATCCAGTTCATCAGTCTCTTTCTTTGATTGGAGTGGTTAGTCTAGTAATCTTTAATGTAATTATTGATGTGGTTGAATTCAGGTCTGCCATTTTGCTATTTTTTTCTGTTCGTCTCATCTGGTTATAATATATTTCCCTATTTCTCCTTTCATGCCATCATTTGTATTAATCAAGTATTATTCAATATTTCATTTTAATGTGCAGCTGATTTATTAGTTCTCTCTCTTTGCATTACTTTTTAGTGGTTGCTTTAGGGATTACAATATGCAGTTTAACTGGTTTTAAACCTTCTTTAAGTTTATGTTAAATTATTTCAGGTAAAATATAGCAACCTTGCAACAGTATATTTCTGTTTCCCCTTTTTCATATCCTTACTATTATTGGTGATATTTTATATATTTTATATTATATATAATATAAATATATAAATATACATAATATATTTATATAATATGTATTATATATTATATATAAACATATATTTAATGAGCCCAACAATAGAGCTTGATGTTTTTCTTTAAACAGTCATATATTGTTTAATTAAATTAAGAAAATAACATTTAAAAGATATTCTGTGTATATGTGTATATACGTACACATATGTTTATATGCGTGTATGTATGCATCTGACGGTCTTTATTTCTTCCTGTGGGTCCACTTTTATTTGGTATCAAATTAAAGAAGGTTGTAGGTGTATGCATTTATTTCCGGGCTCTCTATTTTGTTCCATTGGTCTTTGTGTCTACTTTTGTACCAGTACCATGCTGTTTTGGCAACTATAGCCTTGTAGTATAGTGCACGTTTGTTACCTGGGTATATTGTGTGATGCTCAGGTTTGTGGTGTGATAGAACCTGTCACCTAGGTAGTGAACATAATAGCCAATAGGTAGTTTTTCAGCCCTTGTGTCACTCTCTCTCTATCCCCTCTAATAGTCCCCAGTGTCTATTTCTCATTTTTATGTCCTTGTGTACCCAATATTTAGCTCCCACTTATGAGTGAGAACATGTCATATTTGGCTTTCTGTTTATGTGTTAGTTAGCTTAGGATAATGGCCTCCAGCTACATCTATGTTGCTGCAAAGGACATGATTTTGTTCTTTTTTTATGGCTGCTTAGTATTCCATTGGGTATATGTGCCACATTTTCTTTGTCCAATCCACCATTGATGGGCATCTGCATTGATGCCATGCTTTTGCTATTGTGAATAGCACGGTGATGAACATTGGGTGCATGTGTCCTTTTGGTAGAGCGATTTATTTTCCTTTGGGTATATACCCAGTAATAGGATAGCTGGGTCCAATGGTAGTTCCGCTCTTAGTTCTTTGAGAAATCTCCAAACTGCTCTCCACAGTGGCTGAACTAATTTACATTCCTACCAACAGTGTATAAGTGTCCCTTTTTCTCCACAGCCTCACCAACATCTGTTATTTTTTGACTTTTTAACAAAAGCCATCTGACTTTTTGTGAGATGGTATCTCATTGTGGTTTTGATTTGCATTTCTCTGATGATCCGCGATATTGAGCTTTTTTTTTATATGCTTGTTGGCCACATGTATGTCTTCTTTAGAAAAGAAGACATACATGCCCACTTTTTCGTGGAGTTCTTTGCTTTTTGCTTGTTGATTTGTTTAAACTCCTTATAGATTCTGGATATTAGACCTCTGTCGGATGCATGGTTTGCAAATATTTTCTCCCATTCTGCAGGTTGTCTGTTTACTCTCTTGATAGTTTCTCTTGCTGCGCAGAAGCTCTTTAGTTTGCTTAGGTCCTACTTATCAATTTTTGTTTTTGTCACAATCGCTTTTGGGGACTTAGCCATAAATTCTTTGCCAGGGCTGAAATGGAGAAGGTTATTGTCTAGGTTTTCTTCTAGAATTGTTATAGTTTGAGGTCTTACATTTAAGTCTTTAATCCATCTTGAGTTATTTTTTGTATTAAAGGGCCCAGTTTCATTCTTCAGCATATAGATAGCCAGTTATCCCAGCACAATTTAATGGATACAGAGTCTTTTTCCCCATTGCTTATTTTGTCAAGCTTGTTGAAGACCAGAAGGTTGCAGGTGTATGGCTTTATTTCTGGGCTCTCTATTCTGTTCCATTGGTATATGTGTTTATTTTGTACCAGTACCATGCTATTTTGGCTACTGTAGACTTGTAGTGTAGTTTGAAGTGGGTAATGTGATGCCTCTGGCTTTGTTCTTTTTGCTTAGGATTGCTTTGATTATTCAGGCTCTTTTTTTCCTAGTTCTGTGAAAAAGGACATTGCTGGCTTGATAGGAATAGCACTGAATCTGTAGATTGCTTTGGGAAGTACGGTCATTTTAACAATTTTGATGCTACCAATTCATGAGCATGAAATGTTTTCCCATTTGTTTGTGTTATCTCTGATTTCTTTCAGCAGCATTTCGTAGTTCTCCTTGTAGAGACCTTTCACCTAGTTTGTTAGATATATTCCTAGGTATTTTATTTTTGTAGCTATGGTGTAGGGATCGTGTTCTTGATTTGGCTCTCAGCTTGGATGTACTGGTATATAGCAATGCTACTGATTTTTGCACATTGATTTGGTATCCCAAATCTTTACTGAAGTCATTTATCAGTTCCAGGGGCCTTTTGGCAGAGACTTTAGGGTTTTTTAGGTATAGAATCATATCATCCATGAAGAGAGATAGTTTGACCTCTTTTCCTATTTTGATGCCTTTTATTTGTTTCTGTTGCCTGATTGTTCTGGCTAGGACTTCCAGTGCTATGTTGAGTAAGAGTGGTGAGAGTGGGCATCCTTGTCTTGTTCCAGTTCTCAAGGGGAATGCTTCTCACTTTTGCCCATTCAGTATGATGTTGGCTGTGGGTTTGTCATAGATGGCTCTTATTAATTTGAGATATGTTTCTTCAATGTCTAGTTTGTTGAGGGTTTTTTTTTTATCATGAAGAGATGTTAGATTTTATCAAAAGCATTTTCTGCCTCTACTGAGATGATTATATGTTTTTTAAAAATTCTGTTTATATGGTGAACTACACATAATGACTATCACTGATAATATTTTGTTTTTATTTCATCTATTTTATCTAATACTAATATAGTTACTCTGATTCCATAAGCATTTTTCTGGCATATATTTACCATCTTTTTACTTTCAATAATTTCATGGTCTTATGTTTTAGTAATGTCTAGAATTTTCAAAAATCCAATTTCACAACCTCTGCATCTTAATTTGTGAGTTCTTCTATCCATTGATTATCTTCTACTCATTAATTATTGATGTATTTGCATATGTTTCTACTATTTTACTTTGTGCTTCCTTTTCTATGCTTCTTTTTTCCCTTCTTTTTCAGAGTATGTATTGCCTTTTTTTTGGCTCTTTATATCCTATTTTTTCTTATTCTGTATTTTCCTCTACAGATTTCAAATTTATACATTTTATTTCTATTCTTTAGTTACTATGTTTGAAAATTTTATTTTTCATGCTTGATAAAGTCTAAAGTTATTTGGTATTTTAACCACACCCCCATCCCCCACCCTACAACCTCAAAAGATGCATGGACTTTAGCACAGTTTAATTCCAGTCACTCACTCCTGGATTCATAATGATTCCTCTTGGCTCTCTTGTGATGCTTCTTGGCTCTCTTAACGATTCTGTGTTTTCCACCGCAGATATATGGGAATTTCTGTATCTCTGTTAATGCACACACCAGCATGGGGGATTAGGTTGTTCTATCTGGACCCCCTCTCTGCTAAAATATTTCCTAGCTACATTACTCCATGTTGAGCAAGAGTTCCCTATGGTATGGTGTCCTCTAAATATTCCAAATGGGAATTAATATATGAGGCTTTTCTGTATTCAGAATTCCTCTTAAGTGTCTAGGCTTTCTAATACACTGTCATCAATTTATCCATTCTCTACAGGGTATAATGAGAGTCTATGGGACTCAGAAGGTGGCAGATATTTTTTATTGTGGGAAAGATAACTGAGAATAAAGCTATCATGCAGATATTTGCAGAGATAAAAGTAATGCAGATATTGACTGGAGCCTTGATCAAACTATGCTTGAAAGCCACTCTACCACTAGTTACACGAGCCAATAATTTCCCTTCGCAGTGGAAGTCAGCTTGAGTTTTTTCAGGTGTTTCTGTGGGTTTCACCAGATCCAGCAAGGAAATTAGAATTACTGTTAATGGATGTTAAAACCAGTCAGAAGTATCCAAAGTTATATAATTTGTTAAACAACCATATAGATATATTTTGTATTATATTTATCCTTCCATTCTTCCTTTGGTAGGAAAATTATCTCATTAATTCTTATATGAAAGGACTTAAAATTAGCAAACTTTTTTTGCAAACACATGGATTCCATTCTTGGACTTGAGGAGCATTTGACGAACAGGCTGGGGAGGCCTTGAGTAGTCTGGAGCCAGCTCGAAGCAGAGCAGAGTTAATGCCACTGCCACTTTACACCCAATTATGGCAAAATGCTGCCCAATGCAGTTCCTGGGGATACCCAGAAAGAAAAAATGGCATCTCATGAATTTATATATGGTTAGGAACATAAGCCAGTCTTTTTATATATGACAACTTTTGTAGGAAAACAAGATCCATTTTTTTTTCTGTCATCCATGCTGGATTACAGGGTCGTGCCATGATGCCCAGCTAATATTTTTGTATTTTTGGTAGAGACAGGGTTTTACCATGTTGGCCAGGCTGGTCTCGAACTCCTGATCTCAAGTAATCTGCCTACCTTGGCCTCCCAAAGTGCTGGGATTACAGGTAAGAGCCACCACTCCCAGCCAAGATCCATGTTTTAAACAAATTCCAATGTGGCAGAATCCAGCAAATGTCTTATTTTAAGTTAAGTAAGCCCCGATCAGAAAGTCCATTAATGTCAAGACCTGCAAACTGTGTCTCTATTATTTTTGGGCCCATCTTACAAGTAAGTGGTAGTGAGTTCTATCAACATTTGATTCTGCAGGGTCCACGTAACTTGAAAACCTTCCTTATATCATGATAAGGAAAAGCTACTTCTTACTATTATTTAGAGGCTGTGCAGTTGAAGCCTTAGGCATAAGAACAATAACCTGGCATACTCAGTGGATTGTGTTGTCATTTGGTAAATCGGGTGTCTCTCATACCAAACCAAAGGGAAACTTGGACTTCAGAACAACATTGCTCTCTGTAGGAACAAGAGCTGGAGGTGCCAATGTTGCCTTGTTCCTATAACAAGGTGGCATTCCCAACGCTTGTCCATTGCAAGTTTAAGTGTAGTCTTTGGGCCTGTCATGAGGATGGCCTTCATCAATTCACGCCCATATGCCAAGGACCAGAGTTGTTCTTTGTAACATTAACCAGTCCCTTTGGGGGCTCAAAAGGGTACCATCTGAGTGCACTGGTCACAAGAGAAGACAAGTCAGGTAAAATGATGGGGAGCAACAGCAGTGTCAGCTAACTGAAGGCCTGAAGGGAAGAAGCACTTGTCAGGTAAGCACTATTACACATTTCCATCAAGTTCACCAGCTTGAGTCTTTACCTTAATCCAGCTGAGAATGGTATGAAGGCATAGGGATGCATTTTTTCAGAACTTTCCCTGGAGAATCTCAAGGGGTTAAAGACCTGTAATGAGAGTGAAGATCCCAGTCCTAATCCCTCCAGCCCACCCCCACAAAAAGCAAAAACAAAAACAAAACCCTAGATATTGTTAACAGAATTCCAAAGCTAACTTTAGGAACTTACAATATCTGGATACTACAAGTCCTGCTTGATGTTCCCCAAAAGCCTACCACTGAAAATATATCCCAAGAAAGCAGAGGCTATATAACCTAGTGATAGATTAAACAGGCCCCGATAGTAAGAAGCAGCCCCAAATCATCCAGACAATCTGACTTGAGCAAATAGTGACTTCATTATTTTCCCTTCACAGTAAACACGTGCCTCTGTCATATAAAAACGGGCAAATAATCAAATTATTATCTTTTCTATTTGTCTTGGTTTCCAAATGGACTGAGCCAGTGACTTGGGCAAAGAAGAAAGGGGTGGCAATTCACAAGCTGAAGTCACAAGCTGAAGTTGTTCAGCTTCTGCCCGAGCGTCTCTGTGAGAGGCTGCCGATTAGTATCTCCTGGGCTGTGGGGTTGGTCTGAGCGCTGGTTTGCAGCCCAGGAGTGTGCTTGTTCTCTCCCAGGCCCCCTCTCCCTTTCACTCTCAGGTTAGTACTGAGTGTGAAGGAGAGTGATATTCCTAGAGACTAACTTCAAATATGCTCAAATCTTAAAAAAAGCAAAGAGTTCATAATCTTGCTACTTTAATTATGACCAGTAACAAGTGATTTGCAATACACTTCACAAGTCTGTGACTAGATTGACTACAGACATGAACAAAAGCAGAGAGCAAGGTGGTTAAACAGTGCAGTGTCAGTTGACTAATCACACCCCTCTACTTCCCAGGGGATGGTATGCTTCTCTTGACAAGGCATCGTCATGGAACACTGGTGATGATTATAAATGCAAATGTATTTTTCTCTTAAAAGCATAGGGATTTTGTTCTGTTTTGTTCTTTTCTAAATGACGGATGGTTATCCTAACTGCCCCCTCAACTGTGAAGATGCTTCTTTTCCCTCTTGGTGCTATCTTAGATGCCACTGGGTGCAGTTGGGACAATCATACCTGAGGGTTTTCCCAGAAATAGGGGTTGTGGTGAAGAGCCCAAATATTGATAAACACAGTTATTCCTGAGTAAACAGAATAAAAAGCAGATAAGTGCATGAGCAAAGATTCCTTCACATCTATTCATAGATTTCATAACCAAGGAAAGAATTCTACAATCATAATATCCTCAACCATTTAAGAAGCATCTATTATGATGACACTTAAATGGGTGCTGTGGAGATCAGTGAGATCTATTCTAGCCTTGAAGGAGCTCACAGTCCATTGGAAGAGACAAGCAATTGCAACACATGGTAATAAGTCAGAAGGAAGCCTGGGATGCTTGGGGAATTGAGTGGGGGGAACCTCATGTATAGAGCCTTTGGATGTATGCAGGAGAAAAGGCCCAGGAGAGGCATGCTGAGCTGAGTATCATGAAATCAGTTGGGGAAAACCAGGTAAAGAAAAGAAGATTTGAAGGAGACCCTGGGGGAGGTTCCAAGATGGCCAAATAGGAACAGCTCCAGTTACAGCTCCCAGCATGAGTGACGCAGAAGACCGGTGATTTCTGCATTTCCAACTGAGGTACCAGGTTCATCTCTCTGGGGGCTTGTCGGACAGTGGGTGCAGGACAGAGAGGGCAGCCCACGGAAGGTGAACTGAAGCAGGGCGAGGCATCGCCTCACCCGGGAAGTGCAAGGGGTCAGGGAATTCCCTTTCCTAGCCAAGGGAAGCCATGACAGACAGCACCTGGAAAATCGGGTCACTCCCACCCTAATACTGCACTTTTCTAACAGTCTTAGCAAACGGCACACGAGGAGATTATATCCCGCACCTGGCTCAGAGGGTCCCACGCCCACGAAGCCTCGCTCACTGCTAGCACAGCAGCCTGAGATTGAACTGCAAGGCAGCAGGCAGGCTGGGGGAGGGGTGTTCGCCATTGCTGAGGCTTCAGTAGGTAAACAAAGCATCCAGGAAGCTCAAACTGGGTGGAGCCCACCGCAGCTCAAGGAGGCCTGCCTGCCTCTGTAGACTCCACCTCTGGGGGCAGGGCATAGCTGAACAAAAGGTAGCAGAAACTTCTGCAGACTTAAATGTCCCTGTCTGACAGCTTTGAAGAGAGCAGTGGTTCTCCCAGCATGGAGTTTGAGATCTGAGAACGGACAGACTGCCTCCTCAAGTGGGTCTCTGACCCCCAAGTAGCCTAACTGGGAGGCACCTCCCAGTAGGGGCTGACTGACACCTCATATGGCCAGGTGCCCCTCTGAGATGAAGCTTCCAGAGGATTGATCAGACAGCATTTGTTGTACTGCAGTATTTGCTGTTCTGCAATATTTGCCCTTCTGCAATATTCGCTGTTCTGCAACCTCCGCTGTTGATAGCCAGGCAAACAGGGTCTGGAGTGGACCTCCAGCAAACACCAACAGACCTGCAGCTGAGGGTCCTGACTGTTAGAAGGAAAACTAACAAACAGAAAGGACATCCATACCAAAACCTCATCTGTACATCACCATCATCAAAGACCAAAGGTAGATAAAACCACAAAGATGGGGAGAAACCAGAGCAGAAAAGCTGAAAATTCTAAAAATCAGAATGCCTCTTCTCCTCCAAAGGAATGCAGCTCCTCGCCAGCAATGGAACAAAGCTGGACAGAGAATGACTTTGATGAGTTGAGAGAAGAAGGCTTCAGATGATTGGTAATAACAAACTTCTCCGAGCTAAAGGAGGATGTTCGAACCCATCGCAAAGAAGCTAAAAATCTTGAAAAAAGATTAGATGAATGGCTAACTAGAATAAACAGCATAGAGAAGACCTTAAATGACCTGATGGAGCTGAAAACCATAGCACGAGAACTACGTGATGCATGCACAAGTTTCAGTAGCTGATTTGATCAACTGGAAGAAAGGGTATCAGTGATTGAAGATCAAATGAATGAAATGAAGCAAGAAGAGAAGTTTAGAGAAAAATGAGTAAAAAGAAATGAACAAAGCCTCCAAGAAATATGGGACTATGTGAAAAGACCAAATCTACGTCTGATTGGTGTACCTGAAAGTGATGGGGAGAATGGAACCAAGTTGGAAAACACTCTGCAGGATATTATCCAGGAGAACTTCCCCAACCTAGCAAGGCAGGCCAACATTCAAATTCAAAAAATACAGAGAACGCAACAAAGATACTCATTGAGAAGAGCAACCCCAAGACAAATAATTGTCAGATTCACCAAAGTTGAAATGAAGGAAAAATTGTTAAAGGCAGCCAGAGAGAAAAGTCGGGTTACCCACAAAGGGAAGCCCATCAGACTAACAGTGGATCTCTTGGCAGAAACCCTACAAGCCAGGAGAGAGTGGGGACCCAATATTTAACATTCTTAAAGAAAATAATTTTCTTCTTTTTTTAATTATACTTTAATTTTTAGGGTACAGAATTTCATATCCAGCCAAACTAAGCTTCATAAGTGAAGGAGAAATAAAATCGTTTACAGACAAGCAAATAATGAGAGATTTTATCACCACCAGGCCTGCCTTACAAGAGCTCCTGAAGGAAGCACTAAACATGGAAAGGCCACTGCAAAAACATGCCACATTGTAAAAAACATTGATGCTAGGAAGAAACTGCATAAACTAACGAGCAAAATAACCAGCTAACATCATCATGACAGGATCAAATTCACACATAATAATATTAACCTTAGATGGAAATTGGCTAAATGCTCCAATTAAAAGACACAGACTGGCAAATTGGATAAAGAGTCAAGACTCATCACTGTGCTGTATTCAGGAGACCCATCTCATGTGCAGAGACACACATAGGCTCAAAATAAAGGGATGGAGAAAGATCTACCAAGCAAATGGAAAACGAAAAAAAGCAGGGGTTGCAATCCTAGTCTCTGAAAAAACAGACTTTAAACCAACAAAGATCAGAAGAGACAAAGAAGGTCATTACATAATGATAGAGGGATCAATGCAACAAGAAGAGGTAACTATCCTAAATATTTATGCACCCAATACAGGAGGACCCAGATTCATAAAGCAAGTCCTTAGAGACCTACAAAGAGACTTAGACTCCCACACAATAATAATGGGAGAGTTTAACATCCCACTGTCAACATTAGACAGATCGATGAAACAGAAAGTTAACAAGGATATCCAGGAATTGAACTCAGCTCTGCACCAAGCGGACCTAATAGATATCTACAGAACTCTCCACTCCAAATCAACAGAATATACATTCTTCTCAGCACCACATCGCACTTATTCCAAGATTGAACACATGGTTGGAAGTAAAGCACTACTCAGCAAATGTAAAAGAACAGAAATTATAACAAACTGTCTCTCAGACCACAGTGCAATCAAACTAGAACTCAGGATTAAGAAACTCACTCAAAACCACTCAACTGCATGGAAACTGAACAACCTGCTGCTGAACGACTACTGGGTACATAACAAAATGAAGGCAGAAATAAAGATGTTGTTTGAAACCAATGAGAACAAAGACACAACATACCAGAATCTCTGGTACACATTTAAAGCAGTGTGTAGAGGAAAATTTATAGCACTAAATGCCCACAAGAGAAAGCAGCAAAGATCTAAAATTGACACCGTAACATCACAATTAAAAGAACTAGAGAAGCAAGAGCAAACACATTCAAAAGCCAGCAGAAGGCAAGAAGTAACTAAGATCAGAGCAGAACTGAAGGAGACAGAGACACAAAAAACCCTTCAAAAAATCAATGAATCCCAGAGCTGGTTTTTTGAAAAGATCAACAAAACTGATAGACGACTAGCAAGACTAGCAAAGAAGAAAAGAGAGAATAATCAAATAGGTCCAATAAAAAATGATAAAGGGGTTATCACCACCGATCCCACAGAAATACAAACTACCATCAGAGAATACTATAAACACCTCTACGCAAATAAACTTGAAAATGTAGAAGAAATTGATAAATTCCTGGACACATACACCCTCCCAAGAATAAAAGAAGTTGAATCCCTGAATAGACCAATAACAGGCTCTGAAATTGAGACAATAATTAATAGCCGACCAACCAAAGAAAGTCCAGGACCAGACGGATTCACAGCCGAATGCTACCAGAGGTACAAAGAGGAGCTGGTACCATTCCTTCTGAAACTATTCCGATCAATAGAAAAAGAGAGAATCCTCCCTAACTCATTTTATGAGGCCAGCATCATCCTGATACCAAAGACTGGCAGAGACACAACAAAAAAGGAGAATTTTAGACCAATATCCCTGATGAATATCGATGCAAAAATCCTCAATAAAATACTGGCAAATGGAATCCAGCAGCACATCAAAAAGCTTATCCACCATGATCAAGTGGGCTTCATCCCTTGGATGCAAGGCTTGTTCAACATATGTAAATCAATAAATGTAATCCATCATATAAACAGAACCAAAGACAAAAACCACAGGATTATCTCAATAGATGCAGAAAAGGCCTTCAACAAATTTCAACAGCGCTTCATGCTAAAAACTCTCAATAAATTCGGTATTGATGGGATGTATCTCAAAATAATAAGAGCTATTTATGACAAACCCACAGCCAATATCATACTGAATGGGCAAAAACTGGAAGCATTCCCTTTGAAAACTGGCACAAGACAGAGGGATGCCCTCTCTTACCACCCCTATTCAACATAGTGTTGGAAGTTCTGGCCAGGGAAATCAGGCAGGAGAAAGAAATAAAGGGTATTCAATTAGGAAAAGAGGAAGTCAAATTGTCCCTGTTTGCAGATGACATGATTGTATATTTAGAAAACCCCATCATCTCCGCCCAAAATCTCCTTAAGCTAATAAGCAACTGCAGCAAAGTCTCAGGATAAAAAATCAATGTGCAAAAATCACAAGCATTCTTATACACCAATAACAGACAAACAGAGAGCCAAATCATGAGTGAACTCCCATTCAAAATTGCTTCAGAGAGAATAAAATACCTAGGAATCCAACTTACAAGGGATGTGAAGGACCTCTTCAAGGAGAACTACAAACCATTGCTCAACGAAATAAAAGAACACACAAACAAATGGAAGAACATTCCATGCTCATGAGTAGGAAGAATCAATATCGTGAAAATGGCCATACTGCCCAAGGTAATTTATAGATTCAATGCCATCCCCATCAAGCTACCAATGACTTTCTTCACAGAATTGGAAAGAACTACTTTAAATTTCATATGGAACCAAAAAAGAGCCTACATTGCCAAGACAATCCCAAGCAAAAAGAACAAAGCTGGCCAGGTGCAGTGGCTCATGCCTGTAATCCCAGCACTTTGGGAGGCTGAGGTGGGTGGATCACGACATCAGGAGATCGAGACCATCCTGGCTAACACAGAGAAGCCCTGTCTCTACTAAAAATACAAAAAATTAGCCAGGTGTGGTGGTGGGCACCTGTAGTCCCAGCTACTTGGGAGGCTGAGGCAGGAGAATGTGGTGAACCCAGGAGGAGGAGCTTGCAGTGAGCCAAGATCATGCCACTGCACTCCAGCCTGGGCGACAGTGCAAGAATGTGTCTCAAAAAAAAAAAAAAAAAAAAAAAGAACAAAGCTGGAGGCATCATGCTACCTGACTTCAAACTATACTACAAGGCTACAGTAACCAAAACAGCATGGTACTGGTACCAAAACAGAGATATAGACCAATGGAACAGAACAGAGCCCTCAGAAATAATACCATACATCTACAACCATCTGATCCTGACAAAAACAAGAAATAGGGAAAGCATTCCCTATTTAATAAATGGTGCTGGGAAAACTGGCTAGCCACATGTAGAAAGCTGAAACTGGATCCCTTCCTTACACCTTATACAAAAATTATTTCAAGATGGATTAAAGACTCAAATGTTAGACCTGAAACCATAAAAACCCTAGAAGAAAACCTAGGCAATACCATTCAAGACATAGGCATGGGCAAGGACTTCATGACTAAAACACCAAAAGCAATGGCAACACAAGCCAAAATTGACAAATGGGATCTAATTAAACTAAAGAGCTTCTGCACAGCAAAAGAAACTACCATCAGAGTGAACAGGCAACCTACAGAATGGGAGAAAATTTGTGCAATCTACTCATCTGACAAAGGGCTAGTATCCAGAATCTACAAAGAACTTAAACAAATTTATAATAAAAAATCAAACAACCCCATCAAAAAGTGGGTGAAGGATATGAACAGACACTTCTCAAAAGAAGACATTTATGCAGCCAACAGACACATGAAAAAATGCTCATCGTCACTGGCCATCAGAGAAATGCAAATCAAAACCACAATGAGATACCATCTCACACCAGTTAGAATGGCGATCATTAAAAAGTCAGGAAACAACAGGTGCTGGAGAGGAGGTGGAGAAATAGGAACACTTTTACACTGTTGGTGGGACTGTAAACTAGTTCAACCGTTGTGGAAGACAGTGTGGCGATTCCTCAAGGATCTAGAACTAGAAATACCATTTGACCCATCCATCCCCTTACTGGGTATATACCCAAAGGATTATAAATCATGCTGCTATAAAGACACATGCACATGCATGTTTACTGTGGCACTATTCACAATAGCAAAGACTTGGAACCAACCCAAATGTCCAACAATGATAGACTGGATTAAGAAAATGTGGCACATATACACCATAGAATACTATGCAGCCATAAAAAAGGATGAGTTCATGTCCTTTGTAGGGACATGGATGAAGCTGGAAGCCATCATTCTCAGCAAACTATCGCAAGGACAGAAAACCAGACACCGCATGTTCTCACTCGTTGTGGGAATTGAACAATGAGACCACTTGGACACAGGATGGGGAACATCACACCCTGGGGCCTGTTGTGGGGTGGGGGCAGCGGGGAGGGATAGCATTAGGAGATATACCTAATGTTAAATGACGAGTTAATGGGTGCAGCACAACATGGCACATGTATACATATGTAACTAACCTGCACGTTTTGCACATGTACTCTAGAACTTAAAGTTAATTTAAAAAAAGCAAAAAAAAAAAAAAAAAAAAAAAGGAAAACAAGATTCAGAAAGGAATTTGAGGCAGATAAAAAAGCATGAAGCCAAGCTTTAATACTTGAGAAAGCATTACAAATTTGGGTGACTGGGTGGTTGTATAACAGGATTCAGGGAGCAAAGTGTCCTTAGTTGAGCCTGGGGAGGTTGGCTGGGCTTGTACCCTAAAATGGCAAAGAGGTCATGCTAAGGATTTTAGGTTTAAACCAATATGGATCACCAAGAAATTTAAGCAGAGAGTGAGAGTATTATATTTTAGGTTTTGTTTTTGTTTTACCTTTTCTAGTCAGCTACTTGGGAGATTTTATTATACTTTGGAGCCATAGAACAATATGGGATATAGTGCCAATATGGCACTGAAGTAATAGTTTATCATGTTATGGAATATCCATTGATCAGGGTGGAGATGATATGGGTTTCTCATGAAATCTATACATATAATAAATTATATTAATGGATTCCTAATATTGAACAATCTTTGCAGTTTTGGAATATGACCTACTTACTTGGCCATGATACACTATTTTATTTTGTCTTTTTGTAGAGATGGGGTCTTGTTGTGTTGCCCAGACTCAAGCAATCCTCCCACCTTGGCCTCACAAAGTGTTTGGATTACAGGCATGAGTCACCTGCCCAGCCAATATATTTATTTTGATGAGCTATTGGATTATGTTTACTAATATTTTATTTAAAATTTTTGTATTTATATACATTAGTGATTTTTATCTAAAGATACTTTTGTGCAATTTTTAGTAGGTTTGTTATCAGTGTGATACTTCCTTAAATAACTTTCTAAGTTTTTATTTTTCTATGCTCTGGACAACTTATTACTGGGATTATTTGGTCTTTAAAGGTTTGAAAAAGTTTCTGAAAAACTGCATGGGCCTGGTTCCTTTTCAGGGGCTCTACAATTTTTCTCTAGTCCTGTGAAAATTGGCATGCTTAGACTATTTATCTCTACCAGTATCAATTTTAGTAAATTATGTATTATACAATTATCTAGTTTTTTTCCTGGTTTTTCAAGTCTCTGTGCATACACTTGTGTAATATTAGTTCGTGGTGTGTCTCTTTGTTGACCAGCCCCTCCCCCACTGGCTATTGTGTTTTTTGACTAGTTTTGCAACCGTTCTGCTTTCCATACCATTACCTTTTGCTTTCGCCTTTGTTAATTCACCTGTTTCCTTTTAGTTTACTCTTTTATTCTTTCCCCAACTGATTTATTTCCAGTTGTTTTCGACATCAGTGTTTAATTTAATTCTTTTATTAATAAAAATATTTCGCATTTACTATTATAGCTTCTCTTCTGAATGCTGCTTTAGTGGCAGACCATTAATTCTCATATGTAGAGTTTTCAGGGTCATGATTTGATTTTGTAATTTTGCTTTAGCCCAAGAGTTTTTAATGGATAAAACAAAAAACTCCAGATGAATGAAACTTTTTGAAAAATTTTTGTTGCTAATTTCCATTTTTATTGTCTTCATTTAAAGAATGCTATTTTGTAATGTTTCTCTTTTAGTAACTTTTTAAATTGTGGTCTAGTATACCGTCAACTTTAAGGAATGTTGCTGGTGTACTTAAAAGGAAAGTTCTCTATTAGTGGGGAAAAAGTTTAATATTGTACGCATAAAGTCTATCTTATTAATTATATTGTTTAGATAGTCTGTGTACTTTGATTTGTGTACGTCTTTGAAAGGCAGTTAAAATCTATTAGTAGGGTGCCTCTGTCTGTTTTCCTTTTCATTTCCTATAGTTTGCTTTAAAAAATTGCAGGGCCAGGTGTGGTGGCACGCCTGTAATCCCAGCACTTTGAAAGGCCAAGGCAGATGGATCATGAGGTCAGGAGATCAAGACCATCGTGGCTAACATGGTGAAACCCTGTCTCTACTAAAAATACAAAAAACTAGCCAGGCATGGTGGCACGCGCCTGTAGTCCCAGCTACTCGGGAGGTGGAGACAGGAGAATCGCTTGAACCTGGGAGGTGGAGTTTGCAGGGAGCAGAGATTGCACCATTGCACTCCAGCCTGGGTGACAGAGCGAGACTCCATCTAAAAAAAAAAAAAAATTACAGATGTGTAACTTGATATATAGGTATTCATAGCTGTCTTATGTTCATGATGAACTGTGGCTTTTAACATTATGAAGACTAATTTTGAAGTTCACCAATCCTGTTATGACCAGCTAGCTAACTGACTGAGGTAAAGACCTAATTTGGGTTAGAATGGCAACTGGGACACCATAACAGTGCTGCATCCACACAGCAAAGATCACTTTCAAAAAACAAATGGCCAGGTCACCGTTAACGAATTCTTCCTAAGTGATTAATCCACATATTGCTAGCTAATCAAGGACATTCAAGAAATTTGCTTTCTTAACATGGGTCAGAGATTTTGAAGTTTAGAGCTTCAAAAACCCAATGTTATTTAACTCTCCCAAGCCTCAATCATAGGGTCTAACTTCTATGGTTGGATTAGGTTTATATCCTGGCAGTACACATTCTTTCATTTTTCAATTTTTGGTTCCAGAAGCCTTGTTCTCTTTTAAACGGTTTCTGGAAGTCTCACCAAGATCATCAGAACAGACTGCCCACTGAAGTTCAGTAGTAGCTAATACCTAAGAAGTATGATTCACAGGCTCATCAATTATTAGCTCCTTTGGGTGAGTCTCAACTCATGGTCAATGAAAAAAATTTTTTTGAGATAAGGTCTCGCTATGTTGCCCAGGCTGGAGGGAAGTGGTGTGATTATAGTTTGCTGCAGCCTCAAACTCCTGGGCTAAAGTGATCCTCCCACCTCAGCCTCCTGAGTAGCTGGGATTACAGGCACATGCCAGTGTCCTCAGATGAGATATTTTTGATTTCCTAAGTCTGTTACTGTCTTTCTTAGGAGTTTCTGCTTGCTCTAGCTTACAGCCAGTGTCTAGTTGATTGCCATGGATCTCTCCCATGAGTGGCACAAAACCCATTGTGTTTTGCTCTATTTAGTGATTGTGAATTATTTAGGAGATTTCATAGAACACCCATTTTTTTGGGCCATGTCCCTCTCCACTGAGGCTTACTGGACCATCAGATTCATGGCACACACTAGGCCATTGATAGGTCTGTTATTGGCTATTGAGGGAATCTGTTTTGTTTTTGTTTTTGTTTTTCTGGCATGGGTTTTATTAATCCAGAGAATCACACTGACACCTTATGAGCATATTCATTATAATAAAAAAGCATGCACATTATCTAACAAAATTACATATTTAAACCAAGAATACGTCAGAAAAAGACACAATTTGAAAAACATCCTATTTTATTGAGGTTTTAAATCTCCATGGAGCCTTAGGGCAAAAAGAAAATAAAATTCATAACTTTTGGTGGTTTGTCATCTTTTTTCTTTTTGCCATGTAGAAAATCTGAAAACACCTCAATGACTCTAACTCAATGTCAGTGAAGATTCCCTGGAAAAAAACTTACGAAAGGCAGATTAATGACTGCCTGCAACTGATCTGATTTTATCTTCTTCCTCTCCCTAAATCTGTCTTCCTAACTCCAGTTTCTTTGTTCCACAAATCTAGGTAATTCTGAGCAAGGCTCAAAATATCTCTTAAGATTAGTGAAAAGGGATCTGCATTGTCCAGAAAAAAATGACTGCTCTCCCAGGAATCTGTGTTATCATTTGGGTCACAATCTGTTAGCAGAGTGGACATCCCCTTTTCTCTGCCAGAATAAAGAGTCTTTAATTGTACCCTAGGCTCTAAATTAAAAGTTAACTTTTAAAAGATAAAATATAATTTTTAGGATTGACTATTTCTTTTAGGTGATTAATATACACTTTTCCTGAAGTAGCTCAGCCTTACTGAGCTTATTAAGACCACAATTTCTAAACCTTTTCTATGGGATTAAAAAGTAGAGCCACCCTCTACTCTCTGCAAGTCTTTCTGCAGCCACCCCCTCATTGCCTTTTAAAACTGGGAATTTCTCTTCTTGTTTAATTTGGCAGCCCAATCCTACCTTCTTTTTTAATTTCATAAATTCATTAAAATCTCTCTCTCTCTTTTTGTTTGTTAAATACTTTCCTTCCATTCTTTTCACTTTTATGGGATTATTTCTTTTTGCATTTCAGTGTATGTGTATAAGTAGGATCTTAGGAGGGACAAGTGGCAACAGAATCACCCAAGTGGCTTTCTTGAGTTGGAACTTAGAATTTACCTAGACTTATGATTTATCTTTTATAAGTAGATTGGTTTGTAGATAGCTAAGTATGGAAATATAAAAACTAGGGGACTCTGGCAGATGAAGATTGACAAAGGCAATAGCTGAGACCATGGAAGCAAGGTTGTTGAGAAGGAAATAGCTGATATTCTAGGACTTGGATACTGTCTGGGTAAGGAAGATGGTGGAGGTGTGAGGATGACTTCTATCTTTCTCACTTAAAATTACTCACAGACAGTGGTGCCATTCATTAATGTAGCAATCCAGGAGGAGGAATAGGTTTAGGGGAAGGAGGTAGATGACATGCTTTCTTTTGGACATTTTGCACATCATAGTACGCTCAGAACAAAGCAAAGTGCCTAGAGCAGATGTTTACTAGGCAATTGTTGGGCCAACAAATGAAGAGAAGGGCACACATAATGTAGTAGGTCTTTTGCCAAGAGTGAATGGGGCCATGGCACAGGCACAGGTAGAGAGTGATGAAAATGTGTAAGTGATATTGTGAGGTGTGGGAGAGAAAGCAGGCATCATAAACATGTTTCTTTTTAGAAATAAACAGGATTTTTGGGTAATACAGGGGAAGAGGTGGGTCTGGCGGATATGAGGCATCCATTTGCACATGCTTTGTTGTGCTATAGCTGTATTCAAGGGCCCATTAGCAGGGCAGAGAAAGCGTATAGAGGAATTTAATGCTGGTTGAATTACTGATGAGTGACAGTAGAGAAAGGGAAAATATTCAAGGAAGTTGATGGCATTGCCAAAGGGGAAGTTGGAGTGATGAATCCAGGCATCCAAGCCTGGGGTGAAGAAAGTGAAGTTGTGGAGTGCCTGTGTGTATGAGAGGGGCAGGAAGGAAAGCAGGGTAACAGGAAATGAGACAGATGAGCACGTGAGGTCCAGTGAAGGCCTGAAAGCTCTGTGTGTGGCAAGAAGGTGTGGCGGAAAGGAATGTAAAGTGAGGTGAAGGCAACTCTGCGTGTGCACTTCCTGTCCCTTCATTGTAGCTTGAGGGAGATTAAGGTGCAGCCCTTGAAGGCACTTGGAGGAAAGGGCAGAGACTGCAGGAGACCAGAGATGACGTATAAGTCGCCTAAAACTGAGTCAGCCGGGTGGAGCCAGCTCTTCCACCAACATCCATGCAGATCTCAACAGAATTGTCTGAAGCCCAGAAAGTTACCCGCAGCAGCCGCAAAAGCCACAAGATCAGGAAAGTGAAAGGAACATGAAACAGAAAGGACCTGAATGGGAAAAATTAGAAGGCATGCTGATTCTCACATTTTCAACATGTAGCTTTTGTATGGGTCGGGGGATTTTAAGACTCTGGATTACAGGGCTTAGGTGATCTAGAATGGAAGCAGAGAAAATAATTTTCTTGTGTTGGAAGGCAGCAATAAATCATCATTTTATTGATATTGAAAAAAACCAGAGATTATTGACAGGATTTAAGTATTATTGAAATGCAAGGTTAAGGGAAAAGGTAGTAAAAGTTGACTCTGAGCTGTCTTGTTTGAACAACTAGGTGCGTGGAACATTATGTGCATAGATGCAATATTATGTAGGTAATAAATATTACAATAAATACTATGTGAAAAATAACACTGAATTAAAAAGAGGAAACTTCTTTAGATACTAGATGATTGCAAAGATCCCCATGATAGCAAAGATCTTTCTCTGGAGAGATCCCAGAGAAAGCTTAAGTTGTTGCTGTAGTGTAGTAGTTAAGAGCACACTCTAGAGTCCCATTTCTTGGGTTCAAGTCCTAGTTCTACCATTTACCAGAGATGAAGTTTTACCTTTTTGTCCCTGTTTGCTAAAATGTGCATAACACTAGTATTTCCACAGCAGAACTGGGGGGCAGGAGGATGGGTGGATAAAATGAGTTAACACATGCAAAACATATGGAACAATTCTCAGCTCCTAGTAAGTGCTAAATAATTTTTTCCTTTTGTTGTTACAATAGTAAAGTTGATTTTGTAGGAAACAAATATTTAATTGCTATTGGGCAACTATGGTAGCACAGTAGCAATTAAATATTGCTACATTTAATTAGACTACTACAAATGCCCAATCAAATCCAGTATTTGAAAGATGGTTAAATTGGAGGAAGGTGTAGAAACACACCTCAACATAGGTCAAAGATAAATTCTGGCTCATTCCTTTATATCTCTAATGTCATCTTTCAATCCATCTTGCATCCCACCAATGTATTAATCTTTCTAAAAAATAACTATAATCGTGCTACCCAGCTTAGATGTCTTAAATCTGCTGCTTGATTGAGAAAGGCTGAACACAAAGGTTGGCCTTCAGAAAACTATGATCTGGCTACATCATGGCTCCAGGTATAGTCCCACAACTTCCCTCTGTGAATCCTGGAGTCTGGTGGATTACAGCAATTGCTCCAGTGACATGCCCTGCTGGTGTGCCTGAGGGAAGGGAGAAGGCAGGCTGCCTGCTGCTTTGTGTCTGCTCTTCTCTCTGCCAACAATGCGCCTCTCTCATCTTTGCTGATATAAATCTAGTCCTTTAAGGTTCAGCATTAAAGCCATGATGCTTCATGAAGGCCTCCTCACCCACTCCTCAGTCCATATGGCAGGATTCTGTACCTTTGCACCTGCATAATCCTGTGCCTGTTTAGATAGTCCTGAGAGCTCTCTCCTCTTTCTCCCTCTCTGGGAAATAAGAATGGCCCTAGGTTCCACAGAGTCTAAGGATAAATAACTGTTAAAGACATGAGTGTGTTAAGACATTTCAATCCAAACATAGCTGCATTGTTAAAAAAAAAAAAAGTTGTTTTAAGACCTGCAGGTAAGGAGCGTCCATCTGGAAAGGTAATGGGTTTGTCGAGTAACCGGGATATGTTTACTACCGGTGCGTAGAGGCGGAGGCATTCCTTGATGCACATTGTGGCGTAAGGCATCTGGCTCAGGTGTTCCCTGGGTACAAGCACAGGAGGAAAGGAAAAGGAGGAGTAGTCACTTTGGCATTGCACTGAAAGCCCAGCTTTTCCCCATTTTTGTAACTGAGAATGATTTTGTTCTTTACCCAAAGGAGGACTTCAGATGTATCAAGTATGTCTTAGGAAAAGCTAAATTTTAACATGAACCACTTTTCACATGTAACTGTAAGCTTTTTTTTCGCCGAAGATATAGGGCTCTTATCCTGAGACATACCTATTCCAGGGCTCCTGTGACCAATATCACACATCTGTGAAAATTTGGATAGACATGTGGGCTGTATTTATATCTAGAGTGCTTCTTTTATGAAAATATAAGTATTTCTGATAGTACTGTAGTAGGAATACAGACTACCTTCTTCACTAAGAGAGTTGAAAAAACTCAGGGAACTTTAAAAAATATTCTTAAAAGCATCAATGAGATAACTCATTTGTTAGGAGACCATAAAGAGGATTGGAGGATTGGAGATCACAGAAGTGGGCAGATAATGGCTGATGCTTCTGTTGCGAACCAGAAGTGGAGCAGTGGGCAAGGAGACATGAGTCAGAATCAAGGGCTCAACACATGTGGGGACTGTGGGAAGCCACCTTCAGCTCTGGGCTGGGCCTGCAAAGGAATGCACCTGGAAACAGGTATAGGAAAGGCAAAATAAATGCAAAGAAGTAGAGGAAAAAATAGTTTAGGGAAGAGTAGGAATCAATGAGATAGGCAAAAGCAAAAAGTCAACAAGGTCAGCAATGCTAGATATTGGTTCATTGAAAAGATGAATAAAATTGGTCATTTTTGGGTGAGAATGTTAGAGAAAAAAGACACAACTATCCAAATTGAACAAAAAGGTAACAAGTTTTGTTTCTAGTGATGGTGGACTAAGTAATTCAGTTCATATCTCCTGCTATGACAACCAGAAAATTTGGACCACACACACACAAAAACACACATAGTGTACTTGAACACATCAGAAAGCTAGTAATATAATATAGAGATGTTGGTTCAGGAGAGAATGAAGATTGAAGATTCATGGATTTGATCCTGAGATTTAGAAATGCTTTTCTGCTGGGGGCTTGCCGATTGCAGAAGAGTGAGCTAAGAGACTCAGAAGTGTTTTGGGTAGCCTCCTGTGGCTATGTGGACAAAGATCAGATTGCAGGCCCTCTGGGGGAAGGTGCCTGAAGAATCTAGCTGCTTTGAGTTGGGAGTTCAAAGTTGGCATTCTAGTTAAAAGAGTAAACTGGAGCTACGAAAAGTCACCGTATCAATGGCACAGCTTTTAACGGTCCAAATATTTGAATTAAGAGGATTCTGAATTGCATGATTACAGACACCTGGCATAAAGAAATGTAAATCCTCTCTGGAAGAAGCTTACATCAGCCTTAGTTTACAAGGAATTTGGTAAAAAACTTGTCTGGTACAAAGTAAAAATTTTCCAGGTAAAAAATGAGCCTGGATGACTTGAAAAACAAAACAAACAAAACAACAATCCAGCAGATACAACATAATAAAATAATATCCACAGGAGTTTCAAATATTGGAATCATGAGAATTTTAAAATAGTTTTTCTTACTCAGTACAAGGAGATAAAATTTCAGCAGGTAAAATTTAAAAATTGTAAAAAAATAAAATAAATAAAATAGGGAGGGGGCTCTAAGATGGCTGACTAGAGGCATCTGGTACTCACCTCTTCCACAGACAGGAAGCAACATAGCAAGTAGATAATGACACTTTGAATAGATGATCTAAGGGAGAACACTGGAATTCAACAGAGAAGCGATGGAAAGCACCAAAAGCAAGGAAGGAGAGGAAAGTGAGGCAGCCTGTTTGGCGGGGATCAACTGGGAGTCTGGAGAAGCTCCTTAATATGGGAAAAGAATAAGTGAGAGCCCTCCAGTGATCCACATTCCCACCACGGACTCCTACAATACTAGCTATGGAAGAGCCCACTAACCTTTGCAGGCCCTGAGACTGACATAAGGAGCTGCCTAGAGATTGCATGAAGACATTACTCCAGAGAGAGAGCTCACACTGGGTCCCACAAACCCCTGAGTCCTCAGCAGCTGCAGTGTGGCATCATCTGGAGAGTTCAGCCCCCATCAGACTGTGTCTTGCCTTGGGGTTCAACAGCCTCTACATCTCCACATCCCTGAAGCCCCAGTGACATTCCCCAACAGCTGCTGCTGCTGTTGCTGCTGGGGCCAAGGTGGGAGCCACTGCCAGTGACCCTATCACCCCCAGCAGAGGGGTGGGCACACATTTTCATGCACCCTGCGGACAAATTCCACTGCCTGTAACTGTAGCTGCTGTGGGCTGCTGCAAGGGCCAAGGTGCTAGCAAAGCATGAGTCACCCCACCCCCAGCCCCCAAAAGCCTTTTGCTTATGGCTGCTCCAAATAAAAGCAGCCCCTCCCTCTCCAGTAGCAGGGCCATAGCACAGCTGCTGCCATTCTCATCTGAGCATTCTGCTAGCAGCCTGGGGACCACCCTCTCCCTGCCTACCATAGCCAGCACCTGCATATACTACTGGGGGGTCTGAGGGCAGATCTGCTCAGGCTGGCTCCACTCCTCCCAGTACCTGAGCATGCTGTCTAGGGTCCTAGAGACTGCCCTGCCCAGTCCATCACTGGCACCTGAGACCTTCTCTTGGGGTCTGAGGTTGGGCTCACTCAATCTGCTGCTACCACCACAGCTGGCACCCACCCGCATGTGCCAACTGCAGGCCTGGGGACTGGCCTACTCAGCCCATCACAGCCACCACCAATACCAGTGTGGACTGCTTAGGACCCAGAGGGTTGTCCCACATGCCTGATGCCCAGGGGCTCAAGAACTCACCCATCCACCTGGCCCACCACTGCTATTTCCAACGCTCAGGCAAGCCACCTGGAAACCAAAGAATTGGCCTGCCTGGAGCAGCCAACACTGGTGCTAGTATACATCACCCTGGTGCCCAAGAACAGGCATACTCAGCCCACTGCAGCCACTGCTGGGACCCGAAGACTGGCCCATGTAGTATCCCAGTTCCTAGCAAAGCTTCACCACACTTTTCACTAAGCACATCCTAAGCCACTGAGAAAATCACAGACAACAATGATGCTGTTTACAGTTGAAGAAATCATACAGTGATTACACTACTGCACACACCCAGAATCAAAGCCAAAGCATCCTACCCAATGAACACTACACATACATTTTCAGGAAGAGTCCTCCCCTATGAAAGCAAATTCAAAAAATTAGAAGAAGCAACTGTTACACAAGATGCACAAATACCAATGTAAGAACAGAGGAAACATGAAAAGCAAGGAAAGAACACAGTAATTCTCTAGCAACAGATCCCAATCAAAAATAAATTTACAAAATACTGGAAAAAGAATTCAAAATATTGACCCTAAAGAAGCATGGTGAGGCCGGGCGTGGTGCCTCACGCCTGTAATCCCAGCATTTTGGGAGGCAGAGGCAGGCATATCACCTGAGGTCAGGAGTTCGAGACCAGCCTGGCCAACATGGTGAAACCCTGTCTCTACTAAAAATAAAAAAATTAGCCGGATGTGGTGGCATGTGGCTGTATTCCCAGCTACTCGAAAGTCTGAAGAAGGAGAATCGCTTGAACCCGGGAAGTGAGAATGCAATGAGCGGAGATCACACCATTGCCACCATTGCATTCCAGCATGGGCAACAAGGGCAAAACTCCATCTAATAAATAAATACAGCAAGCATGGTAAGATATAAGAGAATGCTGAAAAACACTACAAAGAAGTCAGACAAGAAATTCAGGATATGAGTGAGAAATCCATCAAAGAGACAGATATAAAAAAAGATGGCTCACACCTGTAACCTCAGCACTTTGAGAGGCTGAGGCAGAAAGATTGTTTGAGGCCAGGAGTTCAAGACCAGCTTGGACAACATTGTGAGATCCTATCTGTATTTAAAAAAATTAACCAGGCATGGTGGCACATGCCTGTAATCCCAGATACTTGGAAGGCTGAAACAGAAAGATTGCTTGAGCCCAGGAGTTTGAGGCTGCAGTGAGCTATGATCATGCCACTACACTCCAGCCTGGGTAACAGAGTGAGACTCTGTCTCTTAAAAAACAAGCAAACAAACAAAAACAAACAGAGATTCTGAAACTGAAAAATTCATTGAATGAAATAAAAAATACATTTGGAAGCTCCAACAATCAGACTAGATCAAGCAGACTCAGACCTTGATGATGGGTCTTTTGAAATAACTCAGAAAAATTAAATAAAAAAGGATAAAAAAGAATGAGCAGAGCCTATGTGACATATAAGACACCATAAAATCATCAAATATTCAAATTTTTTGTGTCCCAGAAGGTGAAGAGAAAACAAAAAGGTTAGAAAACCCTTTAATAAAATAATAGGTGACAACTTCATAAGTCTAGCAAGAGATTTACACATCCGCATACTGGAGGCTTAAAAATTCCCAAATAGATACAATTCAAAAGGTCTTCTCTATAGCATATTATGGTCAAACTGTCAAAAGACAAAGATGAAGAGAAAATGCTAAAAACAGCAAGAGAACAGTGTCAAGTCACCAGTCATTTATAAAGGAACCTCCATTAGGCTAACAGCAGATTTCTCAGCAGAAACCTTATAGGCCAGGATAGAATGGGATGATACATTCAAAGTGCTGAAACAAAACAATGGTTAGTCAAGGATACTATTCCCAGCAAAGTTATCCTTCATAAATGAAGGAGAAACAAGCAAAAGCTGAGGGAATTCATCACCACTGGGCTCAACCTACGAAAAATGCTCAAGGGCGTCCTACACCCAGAAGTAAAAGAGTGATAATTGCCATAGTGAAAATACTAGAAAATATAAAGATCACTGGTAAAACTAACACACAAACAAGACAGAGAAAAAGCTCAAATGTTACCACTACAGAATACAACCTAACCACAATGATAAACAATGAAAGAAAAGAACAAAGTATATACAAAACAACCAGAAATCAATTAATAAAATGGCAGCAATATGCCATCACATATCAGTAATAACTTGGAATGTAATTAAATTTTCCACTTAAAAGATATATACTGGCTGAATGGATTAAAAAACATGACCCAACTATATGCTGTATACAAGAAGCTCATCTCACCTGTAAAGACACATATAGACTGAAAGTAAAGGAATGGGAAAAGATAGTCCATGCAAACAGAAACCAAAAATGAGTAGGAGGAGCTATGTTTATATCAGAGAAAAAGTAAAAAATTATAAAAAAAGACATAGAAAGTCATTATATAATGATAAAAGGATCAGTTTAGCAAGAGGTTATAACAATCTAAACATGTATGCATCCAACATTGGAGGACCCAGATATATAAAGCAAATATTGTTAGAACTAAAGAGATACACTTTAATACAATAACAGTTGGAGACTTCAGCACCCAACTCTCAGCTTTAGACAGGCCATCTAGACAAATTTGGATGG
This sequence comes from Homo sapiens, assembly GCF_000001405.40. Classification (NCBI taxonomy): domain Eukaryota; kingdom Metazoa; phylum Chordata; class Mammalia; order Primates; family Hominidae; genus Homo; species Homo sapiens. The sequence continues at coordinate 46,865,248 of NC_000001.11, forward strand.
TCTAGATGGATTTAAATTGCACATTGGACTAAATGGACCTCCCAGACATTTACAGAATATTTTGTCCAAAAGCTACAGATTACATATTTTTCTTATCAGCACATGGAATATTTTCCAGGATAGACTATATGTGAGGACACTAAACAAGTCTGAAAACATTTTTTAAAAATTAAAATCATATGAAGTGTCTTCCCAGACCACAAAGGACTAAAATTAGAAATCAATAATAAGAGGAACTTTGGAAACTGTACAAATACATGGAAATTAAACAGCATTCTCCTGAACAGCAAATGAGTCAAGAAAGAAATTATGAAGGAAATAAAAAAAAGTCTCGAATCAAATGAAAGTTGAAACACAACTTACCAAAACCTATGACATACAGCAAAAGCAGTGCTAAGATGGAAATTATAGTAATAAGTGCCTACAGCAAAAACCTAGAAAGATTTCAAATAAGCAATCTAATGAGGCACCTCTAGGAACTAGAAAAACAAGAACAAACTAAACCCCAAATCAGTAGAAGGAAAGAAATATAAAGATCAGAGCAGAACTAAATGAAGTAGAGGCTAAAAGAACAATGCAAGGATCAACAAAATGAAAGTTGGTTTTTGAAAAGATAAGTAAAATCAACAAACCACTGTTAGACTAACAAAGAGAAAAAGAGAGAAGATCCAAATAAAATCAAATGAAAAAGAAGACGTTCAACTGATACCACAGAAATACAAAAGGTCACTAGAGACTGTTATGAACAACTATACACTAACAAACTAGAAAACCTAGAAGAAATGGGTAAATTCCTGGAAACATTCAACCTACCCAGATTGAACTGGAAAGAAATAGAAAATCTGAACAGACCAATATGAGTAGTGAGATTGAATCAGTAACAAAAAGTCTTCCAACAAAGAAAATTCCAGAACTGGATGGTTGTTCTTAAAAGCATTATTTATACAGTAGTCCCCACTTATCCGTGAGGGATACGTTCCAAAACCCCCAGTGGATGCCTGAAACCATGGATAGTACTGAACTTTGTATATACTGTTTTTTCATATACTTTGAGGCCATTATTAAGTAAAATAAGAGTTACTTGAACACAAGCACTGTGATACCAAGACAACTGATTTGATAACCAACACCAACCGTGACCAACTGGCAGGTAGCATATACAGTGTGGATACGCTGGACAAAGAAATGCTTCACATCCTTGATGGGACAGAGGGAGATGGCAGGAGATTTCATCATGTTACTCAGAATGGCATCAATTTAAAACTTATAAATTGTTTGTTTATGACATTTTTCATTTAATATTTTTGGACCACGGTTGACAGTGGATACTGAAATCATGGAAAGTGAAACCACAGATAAGAAGGAGCCATTGTAATAGCAAAACCAAAACAAAACCTGAGAATAGCCTAAATGTTCATCAACACTAGAATGGATATAGGATTCATGATTTATACATAATGGAATTCCATAGTGGAATGAAAATGACCGAAAAGAAGCTCCTCTAAAAAATGAGTGAATCCTGTGCAAAAGAAGTCAAACAAAAGAATGTATGATTTTATTCATATGTACTTCAAACAGAAGATAAACTAGACTCTAGTATTTAAAGTTGCATGCTTAGGCAACAAACTATAAACAAAAACAAAGAATGAATGTTATTAAAGTCAGGAAAACATTTACATCTTGGAGAAATAGAAGGGGTTTGTGATGGGAAGGCAGGCACGAGGTTTTTAGCAGTGCTGGTAACGTGCAATTTTTCTTTTAAACCAGGATTGCAACTATATGGCGTTTGTTAGACAACATTTTAAGCTGTACATCTGTTCTTTGTACTTTTTGAATGTGTTCTATGTTTCACCACTTTAAAAGTTTTTAAGACATGATCAGTTTGGTTTTATTAACACCATGAAATACCCAGCAGCTCAAGGTTAATCATCATTGTGGGGTGGCAGTGTTTAAGGTTCAGAGATGGTGATAAGGAAGAGGGGTGTGAATTCTCTTTCATGTCAAGTGACTGAACATCTTACTTGGGCAATCTAAGGTGGTAAAAGCTGGAGTCCTAAGAAGTCCATTTACATCTTGGAGAAAGAGGGGTTTGTTATATTCCTGCCTTCCGTGACATAAAAAAGGTAGGCAGACTATTCCTTCCGCAATTGTACCAGTGCCTGAAGTGAGGAAAGTTATAAAATAGGGCATACTGGCCGGCGCGGTGGCTCACGCCTGTAATCCTGGCACTTTGGGAGGCCGAGACGGGCGGATCACGAGGTCAGGAGATCGAGACCATCCTGGCTAACACGGTGAAACCCCATCTCTACTAAAAATACAAAAAATTAGCTGGGCATGGTGGCGGGCGCCTGTAGTGCCAGCTACTCCGGAGGCTGAGGCAGGAGAATGGCGTGAACCCGGGAGGCGGAGCTTGCAGTGAGCCGAGATCACACCACTGCACTCCAGCCTGGGCGACAGAGCGAGACTCCGTCTCAAAAAAAAAAAAAAAGGGCATACTGAATACTGTGTGATTGACACAATGTTTTTCCACATAAAAACTAGTGATAATCTTTAAATAACATAGGACTCTAGCCTGTATCTTTACCCTTCCAAATGCATACAGACTATCCCAATGCACAGTAACTCACTGATACCGGAAGAGAGAAATAATCAAATGTATAAGGGGAAAATTCAGGATGAAATAGGAATACAGATCTTACCAGGTAATAGAAGACCCATCCCCTAGGAGTTCCCTGATTTCATCTCAGCATCTCTGCTGATGCTCAGGGTACTTTGCCAAGCAGTAAAAGATCCAGGAGATAGCAGTAGTTGTGGTGTCATGTCCTGCAAACATGAACGTTTTCACTTCAGCTTGGAGATCTGCTTCAGAGAAGTCTTTGGTGTTTTCACTCTAAAAAATACAGTGATGATATTTATGCAAAGCTGGCTATGGATTGTTATATTTTTCAATTGTAGCAATGATAATACAAAAATATTAATGTTTCAAAATTCAAAATTAATACAACTAATTTGGCATATATTTTTCTATTTTACTTTTTTTCAAACCTTAACAGAACACCAGGTGATGTAAAAAGAAATGACTCAACAGAATTCAACTGGGCAGAATAAATCGAGAGTCCTATGGACATTCATATTTTTTGATTTATTAATTCTACTTAAAGGAATAAACTCTAAGAAAATGTTTAACAATTGCACAAGAGATTTATGTACGAGAATGTTTAATACCATAGTCAAAAGAAGGAAAGACCATAAGTGGCCAAAAATAGGGAAAGGTAAAAATAAGTTATGGACCATCCATAAAATGGGACATTATGTAGTAACTAAAATTATGTCTTTGAATAACTTCTTAATGATAAGGGGGAAGCTCATGATTTAATATTAGGTGAAAAGAGCGGCATTAGAAATGTATTACATATGTATATGTGAGATAATAGTAATTTAAAAATATACAAGTTGAATAGACAAAATATTGAAGGAAAATGATAGTATTACCAAATGGGATTGCAGGCAGTTTTAATTTCCTTTACTGTCTATTTAATTTTGTTTAACAATTAATGTGTACTATTTTTCCACCAACAACAGGCAAGCTAAGAGCCAAATCATGAATGAACTACCATTCACAACTGCCACAAAAGAATAGAATATCTAGGAATACATCTAACAATGGAAGTGAAGGACCTTTTTGAGAAGAACTACAAACCACTGCTCAGAGAAATCTGAGAGGACACAAACAAGTGGGAAAGCATTCCATGCTCATGGATAGGAAGAATCAATATCATGAAAATGGCCATGTTGCTCAAAGCAATTTATGGATTCAATGCTGTTCCCATTAAACTACTATTGAGATTCTTCATAGAATTAGAAAAAACTTTTAAAATTCATATGGGGCTGGGTGCAGTGGCTCATGCCTGTAATCCCAACACTTTGGAAGGCCAAGGTGGGAGGATCACTTGAGTTCAGGGGTTCAAGACCAGCATGGCCAACATGGTGATACCTCATCTCTACTGAAAATACAAAAATTAGCTGGGCATGATGGCTGGCATCTGTAATCCCAGCTACTCAGGAGGCTGAGACATGAGAATCGCTTGAACCCGGGAGGTGGAGGTTGCAGTGAGCCAGGAGCACACCACTGCACTCCAGCCTGGGTGACAGAGTGAGAGTCAGACTCTCAGACTCAAAAAAAAAAAAAAAAAACAAAACACTCACATGGAACCCAAAAAGAGCCTGAGTAGCCAAGACAATCCTAAGAAAACAAACAAACAAACAAACCAAAGCTGGAGGCCTCTTCAAATTATTCCACAAGACTACAGTAACTAAAAAAGCATGGTACTGGTACAAGAACAGACACAGAGACCAATGGAACAGAATAGGGAACCCACAAATAAGACTGCACACCTACAATCATCTGATCTTCAGCCAAGTCAACAATAACAAGCAATGGAAAAAGGATTCCCTATTTAATAAACCATGCTGGGAGAACTGGGTAGTCATATGGAAAAAATGGAAACTTCCTTACATTATGTGCAAAAATCAACTCAAGATGGATTAAAGAACCCAAAACTATGAAAACTCCAGACAAAAATCTAGGCAATACCATTCAGGACATAGGACACCGGGGCCTGTTGTGAGGTGGGGGGAGTGGGGAGGGATAGCATTAGGAGATATACCTAATGTTAAATGACGAGTTACTGGGTGCAGCACACCAACATGGCACATGTATACATATGTAACTAACCTGCACGTTGTGCACATGTACCCTAAAACTTAAAGTATAATAATAAAAAAATTAAAAAAAAAAGACGCCAAAAGCAATTGCAACAAAAGCAGAAATTGACAAATGGGATCTAATTAAACTAAAGAGCTTCTCTGCACAACAAAAGAAACTATTATCAGCATGAATAGACAACCTACAGAATAGGAGAAAATTTTTGCAATCTATCCATTTGACAAAGGCCTAATATCCAGCATCTACAAGGAATTTAAATTTACAAGAAAAACAACTCCATTAAAAAGGAGGCAAAGGACATGGATAAATATTTCTCAAAGGAAGACATACATGTGGCCAAAAAACACATGAAAAAGCTCAACATCAGTAATCATTAGAGAAATGCAAATCAATACCACAGTGAGATACCATCTCATGCCAGTCAGAATGGCTGCTATTAAAAATTCAAAAAACAACAGATGCTGGGGAAATTGTGGAGAAGAAGGAACACTTTTACACTGCTGATGGGAGTGTAAATTAGTTCAACTCTTGTGGAAGACAGTGTGGTGATTCCTCAAAGACCTAGAGGCAGGAATACCATTTGATCCAATGATCCCATTACTGGGTATATACCCAAAGGAATACAAATCATTTTATTATAAAGATACATGCACACGTATGTTCACTGCAGCACTATTCACAATAGCAAAGACATGGAATCAACTTAAATGCCCATCAATAATAGATGGGATAAAGAAAATGTGGTACATATACACCATGGAATACTATGCAGACATAAAAAGGAATGAGATCGTGTCGTTTGCAGGGACATGGATGGAGCTAGAAGCCATTATCCTCAGAAAACTAACACAGGAACAGAAAACCAAATACCACATATTCTCACTTACAAGTGGGAGCTGAATGATGAGAACACATGGACACGTGGTGCGGGAACAGCACACCTGGAGCCTGTTGGGGGATGGGGGCTGGGAGGAGGGAGAGCATCAAGAATAGGTAATGAGGCCATGCATGGTGGCTCACGCCTGTAATCCCAGCACTTTGGGATGCTGAGGTGGGCAGATCATTTGAGATCAGGAGTTCTAGACCAGCCTGGCCAACATGGCAAAACCCGTCTCTATTAAAAAAAAAGAAAAAATCAGCCAGGCGTGGTGGCACATGTCTGTAGTCCCTGCTACTAGGGAGGCTGAGGCAGGAGAATCGCTTGAACCCGGAAGGCGGAGTTTGCAGTGAGCCAAGATTGCACCACTGTACTTCAGCCTCAGCGACAGAGTGAGGCTCTGTTAAAATACAAAAAAAAAAAAGAATAGCGAATGAGTGCTGGGCTTAATATCTAGATGATGGGATGATCTGTGCAGCAAACCACTATGGCACACGTTTACCTATGTAACAAACCTGCACATCCTGCACATGTACCCCTGAACTTAAGAGTTGGAAATCAAAAAGAAAAAAGATATTAACTCAAAATGAAAACAATGAGTACTATTTTTCTAATCAGAAAATGTTATTTTATTTTTTACTATTATTTTTAGAGTCGATGTCATCCCCTGTCACACAGACTGGAGTGCAGTGGCATGATTAGCTTTGAATTCCTGTTCAAGTGATCCTCCCACCTCAGCCTCCAGAGTAGCTAGGGCTACAGGCAGTGCTGCCACACCTGGATAATTTTTAAATTTTTGTAGAGATGGGGTCTTACTATGTTGCCCAGGCTTGTCTCAAACTCCTGGCCTCAAGTGATCCTCCTGCCTCTGTCTCCTGAGTCGCTGGATTACAGGTATGAGCCACCAGGCTCAGCAGAAAATTAAATGTGTGTGTGTGTGTGTGTTTTTAACAAGTCATTAGTTCCTGGCAATTCTATTTCACTTCCAAATCCACCTCATTTTGCAGTGCCCTGTTCTTAGTAGTCCTGGTTTAGGAAGAGTCGTGTTTCACATGATCAAGGTAGCCAACACAATGAAAGTTGAGTTCACAGAGTATTTATTTATTTTGGTCCCTCACAGAGTATCTATTTATTTTTGGTCCCTCACAGAGTATTTATTTATTTTTCTTCCCTCAAATAATTCAGCACAATTAAATTCAGCAAATATTTATTGAACACTTGGAGATGATGATGGAAAATTATGTTCACGTAGTGCCATCTAGTACAATGGAAATGGCATGGGATTTGGACTGAACCAGAATTGTCTTAAATCCTGGCTTTGTTAGTTTTAGGTATGTCATCTTGAGCAGTTCACTTCACTTTTTGAGCCACAATTTCTCTTCCTTACATAAAGATATTTATAAATACCCCACAGGTTGTTATAATAAAGGTTGAAGGTGCTTGGCACATAAGCAAAAATTATGAATAAATATGTATTAAAATATATAATAACTACAAAATAAAATAAAAATATTGTTTTTCTCACCACATGTCAGGATCTTTACACATATAATCTAATTTTATCCTTACAGGATTGCTAGCCTGGTGTGCAACAATAGTTGTCATATATTGAGTGACTGTCAATTGCCAAGTCCTTCACTTTTCTCATGAACATCACATGGACACCTCATGAGCCAGTCACCAAGCACTGTGCTAATCACTAGGGAAACAGGAATAAAATATGATCCTAGTCTTCTAGGATGGGGTTTTTCAAACTTTAATTGCAAATGAAACACCGAGGGATATGTTGAAATGAAGATTCTAACCCACTAGGTCTGAGGTAGGGCCTAAGATTCTGCATTTCTAACAAGCTCCCAGGTTTTACCAATGCTGCTGGTCTATAGACCACATGTTGAGGAAGAAGGTTTCAGCAGCTTGTGGGCTTGGAAAAAGACAGACAAGTGCCCAGATAATTAAAATGTGACACTGGAGGCATGAGGGAAAGCCCTGGGAGGACAAGGAGGCAAATCTTCACAAGGGAAGTTCAATATGCATCAGTTATCATATAAGTAAGTTTTTCTAATTTATTTATTTGATATTTTAATTTTACTTATTTATTTTTTGAGACAGAGTCTTGCTCTACCACCTCCCAGGTTCAAATGACTCTCCCACCTCAGCCTCCCGAGTAGCTGGGACTACAGGCATGCACCACCATGCCCAGCTAATTTTTGTGTTTTTTGTAGAGACCAGGTTTCACTATGTTGGCCAGGCTTGTCTCAAACTCCTGACCTCAAGTGATCTGCCCGCCTTGGCCTCCCAAAATGCTGGATTACAGGTGCTAGTCACTGTGCCCGGCCTATTTCTTTATTATTTAATTATTGAGTTGCATGTGTTCAGAAGTTTAGAAGACTTACTTTGGCACTCAAAAGTATGTCCAGAAAATCCTGGCGTCTTTTCTGAGTAGTATCTTGTTTTAGCTTATCCTTAAGAGACTCCTTCCGGTCCTGGATTACTTTCTCTAGATGGAAAAATTATGATCTTTGTTATTATCAAGGTTACTGGAAAGTCAATCAAAGCCAAATGTAGTTCTGAGAAGCTGGTGCTTTATGGGGACCCCCTGGCACCCCCCCCATGTTTCTGAGTTGGTAAGGGACAGTACCACCAGCTGTCTTTTTTTTTTAAATGGTCCCATCCCTGACCTACAGGTACTTCACCCTTTAGCCACAATTTCTCTTCCTTCAAGTAAGAATGTTGAAATGTATCACACCGAGTTGTTGTAAAGGTTGGAGGTGTTTGACATATATGCTTAGAGGTGCTTGGTACATAAATTTAATTCAAAGGTTGTAAAATTTGTTTGTGATGTAGGGTACTGTTACCAATCGCTGAGCTTAATTTGTACAACCTAGGCTTTGGTTTTAAAGAAAAAGATGAGATGTCATATCTCATGGTAGAGACTGGTGCTCAAAATGAGTGGTGGAGGAATACTGAAAATATTCCCTTTGAGAACTGGAACAAGACAAGGAAGCCTACTCTCACCACTCCTATTTAACATAATACTGGGAATGCTAGCCACAGCAATCAGGCAAGAGAAAGAAATAAAAAGCATCCAAATAGGAAAATAAGAAATCAAACTATCTCTCCTTGCGGATGATAAATTCTATGCCTGGAAAACCCTGAAGACTCTGCCAAAAGGCTCCTGGAACTGATAAATGACTAGTGGAAATAGAAATTCTCTCCATAACACACATTGTTAGTTCTCTACAGTACATTGCAGCTTTCCAACTTTTCCTTTTTGTGCCTTTTCTACTGGAAACTAGGCTCTAAGCTACTTCTGTGAACAGGAAAGTTCTGCCTTTAGCAGTTAGGAGTAAAATGTCTTCCATAGCCAAATTTTAGTCTCCATATTGTCCCATCAGCATGAAAATAGCCCCTCAGTTCCTATGTTCTTTTAAGACATCCAATCTGTTTCCTACTAAAATGGTACTTAGTAAGGGGATTCTAAGTTTGGAAGTTAACTGGAACCATTTTTCTAAGGTAAATGCTTTAGCATGGGCCATAATAGCAGGCAATTTGGCACATTGCCTCCATTAAAGGAGGCTTGCCCAAAAATGACACAGTCTCTCATATTTTGGGGAGCCGGGCAGATCACACAGGTTTAGGAAGTGAAAAGAGGAATGACACAAGGTGGATAAGCTAAGGTTGTGTGGGTAAAGCATCACTTAGTTCATCTGGTTCCATAGCTTGGAGGACCACGCCTTCGACCATAGGTGGCATAGTTAACAGGGTGCTGGGACCCAAGAACCAGGGAGAGAAAACAGCCAGAAGGATGCTCCCCTGTCTTGTCCTTCACCCTGGGTCATATGGAAAGGAAGGAGACTAAAAGAACTCTCACATCTTTTTCTAGATGGGTAACAGATTATCTTCAGCTTGCACCCCTCTGGAGTGCACTCTGAAACACTGGAACTTCTTTAACCTCAGGACTTCAAAAAGAAAAGCAACTCATTTTCTTTTGCACAAGTGCATGGCATTTTTACTAAACCCTTGCAAACATCGTAAGATCAACCCAACTCTTTTAACAATCATATCAGGCAGGCCCAAAAAAGAATAGTTCCCCCAAATTAGAGAAGTAACCTCCAGGGAAACCATCTGAGGATTCCCCTTATTTGGGGCCCCTTCAAGTTCCCTTCTCATTATAGGACCTTAGGCAAATAAATGGAGACTTAGGCCAGTTTTCTAATGACCCTGATAGGTATTTAGAGGCTTTCCAAAATTTAACTCAGGTATTTCACCTGCCATGGAGGGATGTTATGCTGTTCCTAAACCAGACCCTCACAGCAGCTAAAAAGCAGGCAGCTCTGCAAGCAACAGAAAATGTTGGAGATGAGCAATATATCTCCTATAATACACCAAAAGGGAAGAAAGCAGATAGGGAAAGTAAAGAAATAGCAAAAACACCATTCCCAATTGGGAGAGAGGCAATTCTGGTAAAGACCCCTAATTGCAACCCCAATAACTCAGAAGATAAATGGAAAAGGAAGCACTTTTTAATATGCATTTTAGAAGGCCTATGGAAAACCAGGACCAACCCTCTCAATTACTCTAAACTGTCTATAATAGACCAGAAGCCAGATAAGAATTCCGTAGCCTTTACAGAAAGGCTGAGAGAGGCTGTACTAGAACCCCAATATTAGAAGGAAAGTACAGAAGCAAGCTATAGGACCAGATAGCACCTTAGAGAACCTCCTGAAGGTGGCCACTTTGGTCTTTTATAATAGGGACCAGGGGGAGGCCCAAAAGAAAGAGAAAAAGCTCAGGAGAAGGAGAGAGACGGTAGCACCAACTTTGCAGGCTTGCAAAGTCCAGGATCCCCAAGTTGCATCCGCTAGTTTCTATCGGTGTGGCATTTTAAGAAGGAGTGCCCAGGCAGCAAGACAAAGCCAGCGTGACCCTGTCCAGCCTGTGGCACAGATCACTGGACATGGAAGTGCCCCCAGAGGTGGAGGTCACTGGGTTCAGGACCACTCTCACAGATGGTCCAGCAGGACTGATGGGTCCTGGGACTCAAATGCCGACTCCAGTGGCTCAAACTGCTAGTACAGCACGGGAGCCCTGGGTGATTCTGGAAATTAAAGGAAGGAAAGCGGACCTCCTTCTGAACATTAGAGCCAGTCTCCTTTCTCCCCTTTAACTCCAGGCCTCCCCTCTTCCCATAGCACGACCAGAAGGGGCATATCAGGAAAAACTCTGATCCAATATTTTTCTCAACCTTAGTTGCAGTTAGAACTTATTGTTTACACGTGTTTCCAAACCATCGTCATAACAGCTCTACTAGCAAAAAAAGCCTCCAGGTTAACCCTAGGAAATAATTTAACTGTTTACACTCCACATGATGTGGCATTATCACTGTCCTGTAGGGGGAGCTCTTAGTTAACAAACAGCCAGTAAAGCAAGAAGTACATAAGGCAGGATAAGCAGTAGTCACTCTAAATAATGTCTCTCCCCAGGCACAAGCACTTAATTGACTGAGCTAATAGCACTTACAAGAGCACTTGAATTAAGCAAGGAAAGGTAGCTAACATTTATACCTACTCCAAGTACGCTCTCTTAGCTCTCCATGCTCATGCTGCCATTTAAAAGGAAAACCGCCAATGGACCTCCTATAAAATATCACCACAAAATTAGCAGGTTATTATCCTCAGTTTTTCTTCCATGAGCAATAGGAGGGATGCATTGCAGGGGACATCAAAAGGGAACAAATAAGATAGCCGAAGAAAATAGGTTAGCTGATCAGGCAGCTAAATCAAAGGCAAGGAAGCCTCAGGGCATCAACATGCTTCAAGCCCCTTCTAATTTAGGAAGGCTTCATAAGAGAAATTAAACCCCAGTATTCCCCTGCAGAAATAAAATAGGCCACTTCTCAAGGGCATACTTTTCAGTTCTCAGGATGGTTACAGTCAGGATGGCAAACTCTATTTGCCAGCCTCCAGCCAATGGAAAGTCCTTAAAATCCTTTGCCAAGCTTTTCACTTGGAAAAGGACAAAAACTTATCAATGTGCTCAGAGATTGTTTCAGGCAGGAAACCTCTAAATTGGTTAAGCATGTAAACTCTCTAGCTCACTTCCAATAGACGATAACACAACTAACAAGAACCCAATCCCAAGAAATAGAAACACCTTTATTTAACCCAGGAAATTTGGTATTGGTGAAAACTCTCAGCTCTTTCTCCTTCCCTAAGTCAAGCTGGAAAAGGCCCTACACTGTTCTTCTTTCAACCCCCTCAGCAGTAAAAGTTACAGGAATCAACTCCTGGATACATCACACTCAAGTCAAAGCCTGAAGAGCTGAGGGAGCAACCCCTGACAGCTCAGAGGAATGTCTCCATATCAATGTGAAGAAACAGAGGATCTTAAGCTGAAAATCATAAAAGATAAGTAACTGAGTGACGGCTACTTATCTTACTCAGTCCCTCTCCTACCTCACCAGATACTTTTCACTATTTCTAACCTTTCCTCTCAAAGATCATCACCAGATACTAAAACTTCTTTTTAACACATATTTGCAGGGAGATTTTAATTATTCATAGAATCGCATTTGTAATTTTGTAAATCCCCAAAGGGAAATGTTATGTAAACTTTTCAAAGGAAATTATTTACTATGCCACTCTTGTGGGAATTGTTATAGTCATGCTACTATTTGCAAAAGAAGTATACACTGTAGCACCCACAATGTGGAACTCTGGTTGTAAAATTCTAATTGCTGTAATATCTTGCCTAATTATTATCCTTATAACAGGATTAATAATTGCAGGAAAGATTTAGTCAAGGTTGTTTTGCTTATGGCAGGAGTAATAGTTATGGACAAGAAACAAGTATGAAAATTTTACTATCATTAAGTTTAATAGGACTTTTTACTGAAGGTTCATAATATAATCCATTTTAAGCTATGAAGAGAAGGTTATAAAGAAGAAGATTTTATAAAAGAAAGGATTTTGTATGGTAAATACTTGTCCTAAAAAAGATGACTGGTTGTTTAAAGGAAGAATGTTTAGGACATGTCAGAAAGTTTAAGTGTGTTGTAAGAGGGTCTATGAAAGTCAGAAAAAATTAATAATTAAAGAAAAGGAATTGTGAGATTAACGCTAAAGTTGTTTTAGCATCAATATCATATTTCTCCCAATCATATTGCAAGTTATAAAAATGGCCTAAGCCTGAACTTATTCTCTAAGCAAACCTAACTGCTGTGAAGGGGCATTGGACGACAATTCCTTCTTGCTACTGCCTGCTGAAAAGGGGCGTTGTGTGGGAGAAAGGCAGTTGGGCCTCCTCCTGAGGTTGATCTAAGGGTTCTCAAAAAAATAGCTTGTTCATGTGTGGTTCTGCCTGCAGCACTGTTTGGAGTTTGATTGCTTCTAGGTGAAAAGAGATAAATTTTACAAGAAGGTTTAAAATATAGGGTTAGAATATATGAGTATTAAGAGTATCACTGTTAATGGGGATCCTATAGGCCATAACAGAGTTTGATACCTGTTACACCAATGGATTGCAATATTGGTTTGCCTCCATTAGGTGTCGCTGTGCATTACCAGAAACATTAACATAAAAGTAACATTTTTCTTAAGAAAAGCATACATTTCCCCCTTGACTTGTCATTAGAGAATAACTTCCACAATGTGGAATTCTGGTTGTAAAATTCTAATTGCTGTAATATTTTGCCTAATTATTATCCGTATCCTGCACATCCTGCACATATACCTCGGAACTTAAAAAAAATTATTAAAAAAACCCATCACAACAATATTTAAAAATATGAGAAGTAGTAAATAGAGGTTCAAATGGTGTAAGATCCTTGCATTTTCAGGGAAGTATAATGTAATTACATATGTTAGATTCTAATAAATAAAGACTACATGTTGTAATTTCTAGCATACCCATGAAAACTAAACTTATGATCTAAAACAGAAAAAATAATAATATAAAATGATCCAGCAATTAATAAAAGAAGGGATAAAAATCGGTTAAATAGAAAACAAATAGTTACACGGCATGTTGAAATCCAAATATTCTAGTGATTACATTAAATATAAGTGGTTTAAATGCTCTAACCAAAGCACAAAGATTTTCAGACTACATAAACAAAATCTAAATAAATGCTGCATATGAGAAATAAACCTTGGCTGAGCACAGTGGCTCACGCCTGTAATCCTAGCACTTTGGGAGGCTGACGCAGGCAAATTGCTTGAGCTCAGGAGTTCGAAACCAGCCTGCACAAAATGGTGAAACCCTGCCTCTAGTAAAAAAAAAATACAATATTTAGCCGGGTGTGGTGGCACACACCTGTAGTCCCAGCTGCTTGGGGGGCTGAGGCAGGAGGATCACTTGAACCCAGGAGGTTGAATCTGCAGTGAGCTGAGATAGTGCCACCACACTGCAGCCTGGGTGATAAGGTGAGACCCTGTCTCAAAACAAAACAAAAACAAAAAACAAAAAAAAATTGGAGAATCAAATAGACACATTTGAAGAATCAAATAGACGAAAAAAAAATGATAAAGGGATGTCACCACCAATCCCACAGAAATACAAACTACCATCAGAGAATACTATAAACACCTCTAAGCAAATAAACTAGTAAATCTAGAAGAAATGGATAAATTACTGGACGCATACACCCTCCCAAGACTAAACCAGGAAGAAGTTGAATCTCTGAATAGACCAATGACAGGCTCTGAAATTGAGGCAATAATTAATAGCCTACCAACCAAAAAAAGTACAGGACCAGATGGATTCACAGCCAAATTCTACCAGAGGGACAAGGAGGAGCTGGTACCATTCCTTCTGAAACTATTCCAATCGATAGAAAAAGAGGGAATCCTCCCTAACTCATTTTATGAGGCCAGCATCATCCTGATACCAAAGCCTGGCAGAGACACAACAAAAAAAGAGAATTTTAGACCAATATTCCTGATGAACATTGATGCAAAATTCCTTAATAAAATACTGGCAAACCAAATCCAGCAGCACATCAAAAAGCTTATCCACCATGATCAAGTGGGCTTCATCCCTGGGATGCAAGGCTGGTTCAACATATGCAAATCAATCAACGTAATCCAGCATATAAACAGAACCAAAGACAAAAACCACATGATTTTCTCAATAGATGTAGAAAAGGCCTTTGACAAAATTCAACAGCCCTTCATGCTAAAAACTCTCAATAAATTAGGTATTGATGGGATGTATCTCAGAATAATAAGAGCTATTTATGACAAACCCACAGCCAATATCATACTGAATGGGCAAAACCTGGAAGCATTCCACTTGAAAACTGGCACAAGACAGGGATGCCCTCTCTCACCACTCCTATTCAATGTAGTGTTGGAAGTTCTGGCCAGGGCAATCAGGCAGGAGAAAGAAATAAAGGGCATTCAATTAGGAAAAGAGGATGTCACACTGTCCCAGTTTGCAGACGACGTTATTGTATATTTAGAAAACCCCATTGTGTCAGCCCAAAATCTCCTTAAGCTGATAAGCAACTTCAGCAAAGTCTCAGGATACAAAATCAATGTGCAAAAATCACAAGCATTCTTATACACCAATAACAGACAAACAGAGAGCAAATCATGAGTGAACTCCCATTCACAATTGCTTCAAAGAGAATAAAATACCTAGGAATCCAACTTACAAGGGATGTGAAGGACCTCTTAAAGGGGAACTATAAACCACTGCTCAATGAAATAAGAGGACACAAACAAATGGAAGAATATTCCATGCTCATGGGTAGGAAGAATCAATATCGTGAAAATGGCCATACTGCCCAAGGTAATTTATAGATTCAATGCCATCCCCATCAAGCTACCAATGACTTTCTTCACAGAATTGGAAAAAACTACTTTAAAGTTCATATAGAGCCAAAAAAGAGCCCTCATTGCCAAGTCAATCGTAAGCCAAAAGAACAAAGCTGGAAGCATCACGCTACCTGACTTCAAACTATACTACAAGGCTACAGTAACCAAAACAGCATGGTACTGGTACCAAAACAGAGATATAGACCAATGGAACAGAACAGAGCCCTCAGAAATAATACCACACATGTACACCCATCTGATATTTGACAAACCTGACAAAAAAATAAATGGGGAAAGGATTCCCTATTTAATAAATGGTGCTGGGAAAACTGGCTAGCCATATGTATAAAGCTGAAACTGGATCCCTTCCTTACACCTTATACAAAAATTAATTCAAGATGGATTAAAGACTTAAATGTTAGACATAAAACCATAAAAACCCTAGAAGAAAACCTAGGCAATACCATTCAGGACATAGGCACGGGCAAGGACTTCATGTCTAAAACACCAAAAGCAATGGCAACAAAAGCCAAAATTGACAAATGGGATCTTATTAAACTAAAGAGCTTCTGCACAGCAAAAGAAACTACCATCAGAGTGAACAGACAACCTACAGAATGGGAGAAAATTTTTGCAATCTCCTCATCTGACAAAGGGCTAATATCCAGAATCTACAATGAACTCAAACAAATTTACCAGAAAAAAACAAACAGCCCCATCAAACAGTGGGTGAAGGATATGAACAGACACTTCTCAAAAGAAGACATTTATGCAGCCAACAGACACATGAAAAAATGCTCATCATCACTGGCCATCAGAGAAATGCAAATCAAAACCACAATGAGATACCATCTCACACCAGTTAGAATGGCAATCATTAAAAAGTCAGGAAACAACAGGTGCTGGAGAGGATGTGGAGAAATAGGAACACTTTTACACTGTTGTTGGGACTGCAAACTAGTTCATCCATTGTGGAAGACAGTGTGGCGATTCCTCAAGGATCTAGAACTAGAAATACCATTTGACCCAGCCATCCCATTACTGGGTATATACCCAAAGGATTATAAATCATGCTGCTGTAAAGATATATGCACACGTGTGTTTACTGTGGCACTTTTCACAGTAGCAAAGACTTGGAACCAAGCCAAATGTTCAACAATGATAGACTGGATTAAGAAAATGTGGCACGTCTACACCATGGAATACTATGCAGCCATAAAAAAGGATGAGTTCATGTCCTTTGTAGTGACATGGATGAAGCTGGAAGCCATCATTCTCAGCAAACTATCACAAGGACAAAAAACCAGACACCACATGGTCTCACTCATAGGTGGGAATTGAACAATGAGAACACTTGGACACAGGAAGGGGAACATCACACACTGGGGCCTGTTGTGGGGTGGGGGGAGGGGTGTGGGATAGCATTAGGAGATATACCTAACGTAAATGACAAGTTAATGGGTGCAACACATCAATATGGCACATGTATACATATGTAACCTGCACGTTGTGCACATGTATCCTAGAACTTAAAGTATAATAATAAAAAAAAGGAAAAGAAAAAGAAAAAAATACATAAACCGCAAATATAAGGGCACAGAAATGGAAATAAAAGAGTATGGAATAATATACTATCAAAATACTAACCAATGGAAAGCAGAGGTTATCATACTAGTATCAGATAGAGTAGATCTTAAGACTAGAAGCATTATTAGAGAAAAAGAGGCCAATTTTATCAAGATAAAATGATAAATCAGAAATATATTCCAATTGTAAATGGCTATTGTCATAGGTAGACCTATGGTCCCTCAAAGTTATCTATGTCCTAAGTCCCCAAAAACCCATGCAAAAGGAATCCTCAGTGGTGTGCTGTGTTGTTTGATGAACTGTGCATAGTAGGCAGTACCCACTCATGTTCAGTACTTGCTCAGATGTCCTGCTCTGTCTTCCTACAGAAATGTACTTCCTTTCACTTTTACTTTTCTTCACATCTGAAGCTGCTCCATAAGAAATGAAGCAAAATAGACAGATGTTTTGCTTATTGTATTAGTTCTAACTCCAAACATTAAAATGCAGCTATATATAGTCAATAATATAATACCCTCTACATAGCATTTATGTAGCACATTCATTTAAGAGGTACAAATTAGCATTTCTGAATGATGACCATGCCATATGTCCATAGTAGAAGCAGCCATAACCAGAGTCAATGTCTCAGACAATGAGATGTCTCATAGTGGACTCTGGCCATGTAAATCCCAGGACTAACCTGTGAACTGATGAAGTTCTTGGTTAAATTTAGAAAAGATTTGGCCTTGAGAGCTGAATTTGAAAACCAGGTCGTTGTGATGTAGAAAATTGTTCATGCGCTGGTTGGAGATTTTGCTAAGGTTGAACACTGCTTTCAGGTATGAGTCCAGGGTACTGGAATAGGGAAGATGGAACAACATGTTAGTGGGTGACACAGTTATTGGCAAACAATTACCTTCCTTTTACCACTGACCTGTCCAACTGGATGCTGCCCTGGTGGCTGAAGGCACACTTCATGATGCTGTCCAGGGTCATCAGGGAGACATGTTGAAAGAGCTCCAGACGTGAGTTTTGGGCAATGTGTTCCTCCCATTTGTTCTGGGGCAGGGGATGAATATCATGATCATACACATGCCCATCTTTTCCCAATTTCTAAGTTATTTTATGTCCCTTTTAGAGTTTGCTGGGGTTTGAAAATATAAAGTGTACAAAATGAATTTGCCTTATTATGACAACCATATAAAATAAAACACCTTGTCAGTACTGAAAATGATACTGTGCCTTAGATGCTATTTGTGACTTTGTAAGGGTGGGGAAATAGCTATTTTTCCCTCTTTTTCAAGTTTCATTAGTACAATTTATATGACTTTTATCATGGAAAAACTAAGCTGACAAAACATGGAATAAAAAATAAATAAGAATTCAAAAACATCTGTAGAGAGCATAAATAAACAGAGGTTTTTGATTCTAGGAAAAGATCCCTAAAAATATTTAGTACTTGACAAGTTTTTTCCCAGATCCATTGAGAATTTAGAAAGGAATTAGAGATAGTTCTTGTTCTCAAAGAGTTTGCAGTTAAGAGTCAAGACAGAAAACCCTCAACTATATATTAGAATTCAGATGTATTTACCCCCTTGGACATACCTGCCAATATCCCAGAAAATTTCACTTTGTCAAAAGCCAAATGTTTATTGAGACGAAGTTCTCCATTTCAATATAAATATTTATACACTGTTAAGCTGTTATTAACTCTGTAATGTGAATTAATTAATTAATTCAATTTGAAAGCTTTTTTCCAAACATGTTACTAAAATCAGATGTTCTGAAAGATTGCAACTGTCATGGAGCCAAGAAGAGTAGAGAAAGAGCATGAGGTAGGTGATAATGGGGGTGGTGTCTGTTTGGATGTGGGTAAGGGCATTGCAAGGAGAGGCAGTGGTTGGAGCAGGCTGAAGGGGGCATCATCAGGAAGGAGCCTTAGACTCGAAGAGAGGTGCATCAGTTCAGGGTGTGCTCTTCCAACTCAAGGAGGCTTGAGTTTGAACTCAACTCTTCCCCTAATCTGCCTTATGATCATGTATTTTTAGTAGAGATGGGGTTTGGCCATGTTGGCCAGGCTGGTCTTGAACTCCTGGGCTCAAGCCATCCGCCCACCTTGGCCTCCCAAAGTGCTGGGATTACAGGCATGAGCCACTGCACCTGGCCTGCCTTGTGACTTTAAACAAACTGCTTAATCTCTGCATCTCAATATCCTTACTAGCAAAATGGAGATAATACAGCAAAATTGTAAGACTGTAGTAGTATAAAAGGATATAATAAGCTTGATGCATAGTAAGTGCTTAAAAAGTATTTGCAGTCGCTATATTTATATGTTTTGCTTTGATTTTTATTTTGGAATGGGACATGGGCATGGTGACGAGGGTCATAAAGGATAACAACATGGCACACTGGAAAATATGGGGCCAGTATGAATCCAAGCTGACGTGTTCAGGGGAACCCATGTCTCTGAGCCCCTGTATCATTAAGAAGTCTTTGTGACTAGGATTGAGATCCTGTGTATAGAATTGCTTTACTCCATGCCTGGGATCTTAGAAACTTAGTCTTTGAGTTGTCGCAATCACCTCATTCAGGACCCCTGAAACAGACCTTAGGTGTGCTCAAAACCACCTCGCATGTCTTTGCCATCCAAACTCCAAGAGGACAGGTGTGGATACATACAACTGTGTCTTCTCTATGGGTTCTAGATTGTCTTGTGACATCTCTGCACCCTCTTCTGCCTCAGCCAAAGCTAAAGCTCCCTTTTCTCCTTGACCACAAGGCCATCTTTTCTCTGAGTCCCCATCTCTAGAAATCCTCCCCATTCTCCAAGACTCAGCTCGTGTCACCTTTCTTAGGAAGTCTTTCCTGACTCGACCTCCTGAACATGATACATTTCTCTATGTTGGCATGGCTACTCCTGTGGGTGTCTTTGCTCTTCTGCCTTGTGTTCTCCAAATGTAGTGAGTCTACTGGACTCACTCACTCATTCATTCAGCTACTTCTCATTGAGCACCTACCCTGAGTCCATCCCTGTGAGAAGTGTTGGGTATACAAGACAGGGTCCTTGCCCTGATGATGATGGTCATGGTCTAAACATCAAATAACCCCATATAAACTGCTGTGATCATGGTTCTGAGGGAACACAGAGTCTCCCACACCATACGGCTGGCAGCACCTCACTTCAGAGGCCAGGTACGAATGCTCTCTTCTCCTCTTACCAGCATCATCCGAACACTCTTAGACATCATGGTGATGAATATTTTCAGAATGCTGATGTTGAAGCCAGGTTTCACAATCTGGCGGTGCTTTTTCCATTTAGAACCATCCAGGGTCACAAGTCCTCGACCTTATGAAATGAGAGGGGCAACTGTTTCTATCACAGGCCAGGTAAGTGAAGAAAGACTAGGTAGGCAGCGAGCAATTCCCTATCTATGACACTGGAGAAAAGCTAGAGTGGACAGAGCTTTGAAAGAGTGAATGAGCAGGAGTAGACCTAACCCTTTGGGAATTAAGTCCAAATCAGAAAATTTGTTTATACAATGAACTCAAAAAAAGGTCCATCCTATCCTATTTGATGGTCAGATTCATCAGCCTCTTGATAAGAGTTCAAATTTAGGGTGGGTGAGAATTGCCCGAGGTGCTTGCTAGAGGCAGATTCCTTAGCTTAATCCTTCAGAGCCAATAATTCCTAGATGTTGAAGTAGAATCAAGGACTTTTGAGTTATGACAAGGGTCCCAGCTAGTTCAGGTCCACACTTTGAGAAATACTGCCTTAGACTGGCACAAAGTTCCAGACTGAAGCAGAGGTGCTGCTTTCTTTCCATCACTTTTGTGCTTCTCTTCAGGCTGAGGATCAATGATGGAGGACTAAAGGGGCTTTTCTTTATCATTCCTGCTGGACAAGTGGGTTTGAGGTCTCCACTGAGTTCATAAAAGACTTAGTTTATGAGAGTGGATTCTTTCAAAGGGATCCTCAAGAGCAAGATTTTCCAGGGGCAATTAGATTGTGGAAAACTGATAATGAAATTTGTGGTGAATAATATTTTAAATTCTCTGTAAGGTGGGAAATCTAAGGAGAGGGAGAGAAGGTGCCCATGCACGTTTGATCCAGGGATCTGGGGCTACTACCCAGATCCTGAATCTTCTGGTGTGAACTTGCTTAGCTGCACAGGCAGGTTGCCCAGAAAAGGGAGGGGAAGTGTGGAGGGAAAAGGAGAGAGAATGATCTTAAGCAACTTTCACAATGGCAACCTCTTCCAGGGCACCATTCTCAGTAAGGTCCATGTTAGCAGGCTGAGGGACTCTCCTTCTCTTTCCATGATCCTCAAGTGGGGACTACCTGGGATAGTGACATCAGTTGGTGTGAGGAGGAGAGCATACAACCCCCCGGGCCCCTTCTTATTCCTCCACCCCTACCCCTAGTTACACCAGAAATAAAGGACCAGTCCCAAACAGGTAGAATAAGAGGAGAAGCTATGAAAGACAAGGCAAGATTGAGCTCAGGTTTCTGAAGCAAAAGCGAGTGTAGGTTGTGGTAAGGTGAGGGAGACAGGAGCATTTCGTGTCTATCAGGAAAGTAATTTCTCCCCCGACCTCCACCTCCACCAGGCTCAGATGAGAAAGGATCAGACACACATACTGATATGGTTTGGCTCTGTGCCTCCACCTGAATCTTATGTCAAATTGTAATCCTCAGTGTTGGAGGAGAGGCCTGGTGGAAGGTGACTGAGTCATGGGGGTGGATTTTCCCCTTACTGTTCTTGTGATAGAATTCTCCCTAGATCTGCTTGTTTAAAAATGTGTAACACTCCACCCCTACTCCTGGTGGCCACGTGAAGGTGTGCCTGCTTTTCCTTTTCCTTCCACCACAACTGTAAGTTTCCTGCAGCCTCCCAAGAAGCAGAACCCTGTACAGCCAATAGAACCATGAGTTGGTTAAACCTCTTTTCATTATAAGTTACCCAGTCTCAGGTATGTCTTTATAGCAGAATGAGAATGGACTAATACACATACCAACCCAGGATTCAAGGATTTTGTGGCTAACAGCACTTTTGGGATCTGTAAAACAGAACAAAGGAGGCAAAAGATGGCATTAAGTGAAAATCACGAGTTAAAATGAGAGGAAATTTTTGTATGTTTCCATATTCCTTGTGGGTAACACAAATAGCTAGTGTGCAAGGTGGTTGGAGGCTAGTTCTTCAGTACCGAGAGTCCCAGGGAAGCCACAGAATTAGAATGAGAACTTGTTTATTCTTTCTCCACAGCACTTGGTGCTACGAGGTCAATAGCAGTGGAAAACAGAGCATAATTTCCTTTGTATAATTTTCAGAGTATAATTTTCTTTCAACATAAGTTGAAAAAATACATTTGTTTTTGTTGGGGAACTCTGACAACATTTTAAAGCTCCAGTTCCTTTTCACATAGACATGTACAGCTAGACACAGGAACATGACTTTGAGATAAATTGTAGATTTTACCCTTGTTGGATTTGTTTGAGAAAGATGTATATAAATGAATCAGAAGAAAAGATAAGGGACATAACCTAGGTTTTACAGTTTTGGGAAAACAAGAATTAGTGTCCTTTATTCATTCCATCAACATCTTTATGTGGGATAAAGACAGGGAAATAAAAATGGGGGAGAAAACATATGAACATCTAGGAAAAGAGAGGATTGTTAACATGAGATTCACTTTCTGCAGAAGTCCAGGTGAAATGAACCTATAAAATACCTTGAGTTCTGAGGGTAAGAAGATATCTTATGGCATTCACTCTCTCAGTCCCTAGTGTATTCTCTCTCTCTCTCTCTCTCCCTCTGTCCATAGACTTCAATATAAAACCACTGCCCTCTAGACATTTCCCTTTGTGTACCACACAGACACCTCAGGACCCCAGCAAATCCAAACCTGATCTATCCCTTCACTACCAGATAGCCTCCTCTTCCTCTATCCACTTAAAGGCACAAGTGTATTCCCTATTTTCCCTACCAAAAGTTGGGACTCCTTCTTAACTAATTCCACTTTCTCATCCTCCTAATCTACTTGTTGGAAGATAATTCTGGCATTTCTTCAGAAATGGGTAAAAGAGATTGATAGAATTGTTAAGGATGTTTCCAAAACTATTTTGGAAAGAATGTATGTATGTCTACATTTAAGCCTAATAAGCGTGAGCCTTTCTACTCTAGACATTCCAGGGTCCTAAAAAATAATGTCTAAGAGTGACATCAGCAAAAATGGTGGATTAGGAACTGTCCAGGGCCATCCCTTCCCAAAGCAAAAACAAAAATTATCTGGCAAAAACTGTTATAGTCAACTTTAGCAGATTTCTGGAAGACAGTTAATTGTTTACAGCAACCAGGTGCACACTTAATCAGAAGAAAGGCCACTGAAAAAGGATAGAAAAGATTGGTGGCATTGCAATTTAGCTTTGCCCCACATCCCTCTCCAGTACCATGGCAATCTTGAAGATGGCAGCCTGCATTCTCAGTGGGTTCTGATTCCTGGATCCTAGAGAAAGCAGAGTGGTCCTTGTTCTCAAGGAATTTTGTTTGTTTTGACTTCTGTGTGGGTTTTCTGAAGGAGAGGGGCTTTCCTATGTTTTACCTAACTCAGAATTCTCTCAGGGCAGGGAAGTGTTCCTCAAAAACATTGAGAGGCAAAAGAACTAGCACTGATTCCTGGGACAAAAAAGAACAATTGAGGCAATAATAAACACACCAAAATCTAGAAGGAAAAGCTGGGAATGAGAATTTTGTTTTGGAATCAATGCTTTAAAAAGTTCTCACATATAACAGGGAACCTACACATACCCAGGGTAGGATGCATGGTTGGAAAAGACCTGATAAGACCACAGGCTTTCAACTTTGACTAGTCCTTACACAAAGTGCAAGAAGAAAGAGAAAGCTAAGGCAAACTTGTAAATGCCCTGATTAAATATTAGAGGTGTGCCCCAACCCAGAACCAACCAGGAAAGACCTGGAGAGTATTTTTATTTTCTTTCCTACCTTTTTTTCTTTTATTCCTTTTTTTCTTACATAACATTTAAAATGTTCAGTTTTAAACAAAAAAATTACAAATCATGTAAAAGAAACAAGGAAGTATGGCCTATGCACAGGAAAAAGAAATGAAAAGAAAATGTTATTGAGGAAGCATAGACGTTGGACTTACTAGACAACTTTAAATCAACTGTCTTCAATATGCTCAAAGACCTACAATAAACCATGGCCAAAGATGAAACAAAACCAAAATACTCATGTATGAACAAATAGAGAATATTAACAAAGACATATAAGTTGTAAACAGAAACAAATAAAGTTCTAGAACTGGAGTATACAGTAACTGAAATAAAAAGTTCCTAAGGTTTCAACAGTTGATTTGAGCAGGCAGAGAAAAAATTATCAAAGTTGGAGTTAGGTCAATTGAGATTCTTGAATCTGAGGAGCAGAAATAGGAAACAGAATGAAAAAATGAATGGTCCTAAGAGACCTGTGAGACACCATCAAGCATACTAACATATGCATAATTGGAGTCCCAGAAGAGCAAAGAGAGAAAACTAAGTTGAAGAAATAATGGTTAAAAATTTCCAATAGGTTTAAGGTATTAATTTTAATCCCATGTTAATCACTATGAAAATAACTGAAAATATACAGAAAAGGAAATGAGAAGAGTAACATAAAAATGTTACCATACCAAAAACCAAAAATCAATTAAACACCAAAGTAGGCAGTAATGGAGGAAGTGAGGAACATAAAATATATATGACAGGCTGAGCACAGTGGGTCACACCTGTAGTCTCAGCACTTTGGGAGACTGAGGGGGAAGCATTGTTCGAAGCCAGGAGTTTGAGACCAGCCTGGACAACATAGTGAGACCCTTGTCTATACAAAAGAAAAAATTAGCCAGGCATAGTGGTGCAGGCCTATAGTTACAACTGCTCAGGAGGCTGAAGTGGGAGGATTACTTGGGCCCAGGAGCTAGAGGATGCAGTGAGCTATGATGACACCACTGGACCCTACCCTAGGTGACAGAGCAAGACCCTGTCTCTAAAAAAAAAAAAAAAAAAGACATATAAAAAACAAACAGTGAAATGTTAGAAATAAGTCCTTCCTTATCAGTAATTATTTTAAATGTAAATGGATTAAACTTCAATTAAAAGGCAGAGACTGGCAGAATGGACTAAAAAAATGGGATCCATTAATATGCTGCTTACAAGAGACTCACTTTAGATCTGAAGAAACAAAGAGGTTAAAAGTAAAAGGGTAGAAAAGGTATTCTATGCAAACAGTAAGGAAAAGAGAGCTGGGTGATTATCAGTTAACTATACTTTAAAATATTGTGACACAAAGAAAGACATTATATATTGTTAAGGGGTCAATCCATCAAGAAGATATAACAGTTATAATATATAAATATATACCTAACAATAGAACCCCACAGTATATGAGGCAAAAGCTGACAGCTTTGAAGGGAGAAATAGACAGTTCTAAAATTATAATTGGAGAATTCACTACATCCCTTTCAATAATGGACAGAACAATGATACAAAAAATTAATAAGGAAATAGAGAACTTGAACAACACTATAATTATGCCAAACAGACATGTTCTAAAAGCTCCACCTAACAACAGCAGATTACATGTTCTTCTCAAGTACACATGGGTCATTCTTTAGCATAGATCATATGGTAAGTCACAAAAAGAGTCTCAATAAATTTAAAAAGATTGAAATCATACAAAAATACCTCTCCATAGAATAAAACTAGAAATCAATATCAGAAGTAAAACGGGAAAATTCACAAAACATGAATATTAAACAAGACATTCTTAAACAACCAAAGGGACAAGGAATAAATCATAAAAGACATTAGAAAATATTTTGAGGCAAATGAAAATGAAAACAACTTACCCAATGTTATGGGATTCAGCAAAAGCAGTGCTTAATGAGATTTTTATAGCTTAAATGTCTTCATTAAAAAATAAATTCCTTAAATCAATAACCTAACTGTACACTTTAATGAACTGGAAAAAGAAGGGCAAATGAAACCCAAAGCTACTGAAGGAAGGAAATGATAAAGATTAGAGCTGAGGTAAATAAAATAAAAACAGGAAAAACAATAGAAAAAAATTAACAAACAAAAAGTTATTTCTTTGAGAAGATTAACAAAATTGACAAAACTTTAATTAGATGAACTATGAAGAAAAGTGAGAAGAATCAAGTTACTACAATCAGAAGTGAAAGTGGGAACGTTACTATCAACTTATTATTACAGATAATAAAAGGATTATAAGAGGACACTATGGACTACTCCCTTGGACTCCGTGGTGGTCTGTTAGTGGGAGATCCTTGTTGCTGTCCCTTCACCTCCTTCAGCCTTGCAGAACCTTACAGGTCCCTGTCATAGGTGAGTGCATCTCCATGTTGGCTAGGCTGATGTCCAGATTGGCAGTTCCTGCTAGGATCTCTACTGCCTGGAACATGGCCTCTAGCCTGATGGCAAGGCCAAGAGACAAGACTAGTGTGGGAGGAAATAACTCCTTCAATACCTTCTTCAGTGAGACAGGTGCTGCCAACCATGTGACTAGGTCAGTATTTGTAGATGTTGAACCCAGGGTCATTGACAAAGTTCACACTGGCACCTACTTCCAGCTCTTCCACCCTGGGCAGCTCATCACAAGCAAGGAAGATGCTGCCTATAACTATACTTGAGGGCACTTTTGCATAGGAAAGGGGATTATATTGACCTCATCTTGGACTGAATTTGCAAGCTGGTTGACTAGTGCACAGGTCTTCAGAACTTCTTGGTTTTTTACTGCTTTGGTGAGGGGACTTGTTCTGGGTTCACTTCTCTGCTGGTGGAATGTTCTTTCTGTTGATTATGGCAAGAAGTCCAAGTTGGAGTTCTCCGCATACCCAACCCCCCATATTTCCACAGCTATAGTTGTATAGCTCTATCTTCATCTCCCATACCACCCTGTAGCACTCTGATTGTGCCTTCATGGTAGACAATGAGGCCATCTATGACATCTGTGGAGAAACCTCAATATTGAATGCCCAACCTATACTAGCCTTAACTGCCTTATTAGCCAGATTGTGTCCTCCATCATTGCTTCCCTCAGATTTGATGGAGCCCTGAAAGTTAATCTGACAGAAGTCTAGACCAAAATGGTGCCCTGTCTCTGCATCCACTTCCCTCTGGCCACATATTCCCCCACCATCTCTGCTGAGAAAGCCTATCACGAACAGCTTGTTGTAGCAGAGATCACCAGTGCTTGCTTTTAGCCAGCCAACCAGATAGTGAAATGTGACTCTTGCCATGGTAAATACATGGCTTGCTGCCTGTTGTACCATGGGGACATGGTCCCCAAAGATGTCAATGCTGCCATCACCACCATCAAGACCAAGCCTACCATCCAGTTTGTGGATTGGCATCCCATTGGCTTTAAGGTTGGTATTAATTACCAGCCCCCCAGTGAGGTACCTGGTGGAGACCTGGTCAAGGTATAGAGACCTGTGTACATGCTGAGCAACACCACAGCAGTTGCTGAGGCCTGGGCTTGCCTGGACCACAAGTTTGACCTGATGTATGATAAGCCTGCCAAAGCTGGAGAACTCATACACCTTGATTTGAAACTTACTGCAAAGCTATAGTCACCAAAACAATGTGGTACTGCCATTAAGTGTAGATATCAGAGTCCAAAAATAAACCCATACATCTGTTGTCAATTCATTTTCAACAAGGATGCAAATACCATTCAATGGGGAGAATGGTCTCTTCAAGAAATGGTGCTGGGAAAACTAAATACCTGTGGGCACAATAATTAAGTGTACCTTTATCTCACTCTATATACAAAAATTAACTAAAAATGTACCAAAGGGGGAAAAAAAACAATGAAATCACATCATTGCAGCAACATGGATGCAGGTGCAGGACATTATCCTAAGTGAATTAATGTAGGAACAGAAAACCAGATACTTCATGATCTCACTTTTAAGTAGGAGTTAAACATTCAGTACTCATGGACATAAAGATGGCAACAATAGACACTCTGGACTACTGGGGTGGGGGAGGAAGGAAAGGGGGCAAGGATTGAAAAACTAATTGTTGGGTACTGTGCTCAGCACCTGGGTGATGGCATCATTTATACCCCAAACTTCACAGTATCATGCAGTATACCCAGGTAAGAAGCCTGCACATGTACCTCTTAATCTAAAATAAAAGATAAATAAATAAATAAACAAATGCCCCTACTTTAGGCTTCTTTTACCCAAAAAAAGGACTAAAGACCTATGTATAAGAGTCAAAACTATAAAACTCTTAGAAGAAAAAATAGGGGAGGGTCTTCATGAATTTGGACTGGGCAATGGTTTCTTAAAAATGATAGTAAAAGCACAGGCCACAAAAGGAAAAATAAATAAGTTAGATTTCATAAAAATGAAAAGCTTTTGTGTATCAAGGGCCACTAAAAGGGTTAAAAGACAAACCACAAAATAATAGAAAATGTTCGCAGATCATATATCTGATAAAAAAACTTGTGTACTATATATATTTAAAAACTATTACAACTGAACAATAAAAAGACAGCCCAATTAATCACGGGCAAAGGACTTGAATAGACATCTCCAAAGATAAACAATGGGCCAGCAAACAAATAAGATGATATTCAGCATCAATGGGCAAACAATAAGATGATATTCAGTCATTAGGGAAATGCAAATTAAAATAAAATTTGTCTTGGCCTGGTGCGTTGGCTCATGCCTGTAATCTCAGCACTTTGGGAGGCTGAGGCGGGTGGATTACTTGTCAGTAGTTTGAGACCAGCCTGGCCAACATGGTGAAACCCCATCTCTACTAAAAATACAAAATTAGTCAGGTTTGGTAGTGCACGCCTGTAGTCCCAGCTACCTGGGAGACTGAGGCAGGAGAATCACTTGAACCCAGGAGGCACAGGTTGCTTTTAGTGGCCCTTGACACACAAAAGCTTTTCATTTTTATGAAATCAGCATTATGCATAATGGCCAAAAGTTGAAACAATTCAAAGGTCTATTAACAGATGAATGCATAAACAAAATGTGGTATATTCATACAGTAGAATATAATTCATGAAAAGAAACAATGCTACAAAATGTATGAATCTTGAAAACATTATGCTAAGTGAAAAAAGCAAAATGCAAAGGGTCACATATTGTGTGATTCCATTTATATGAAAAATCCAGAATAAGTAAATTCATAGAGACAAAAATGCAGATTAGTAGTTGCCAGTGACTGGGGCAAGGGAGGAATGGGGAATAACTGCTTAAAATGGGTATGAGGTTTCTGTCTGGACTGATGAAAAATTCTGGAACTAGACAGAGATGATAGGTGGATAGCACTGTGAATATACTTAGTGTCCCTGAATTGGATCTTTAAAACGGTTAAATGGCAAACCTTATGTGTATTTTGTCACACACATAAAAGTCAATGCCTATTTCTAGGGGTGAGGAAGAGCATTTTTGGCAATAGCCCCTATATATGGTCAGGATCTTGTCGTGTCTGAATTCCTCAAATGTAACACAGACCCTGGTGTGCACAGTACTAACCTGAGTTCCTCTGCATTGCCCCTATAGGACTTAGGGAGATAGTGGGGCCGATGTTAATGTGAAGCTCATGATACCTATTATGCCATGAGTAATAAACAGTCTAAATCCATTCAGGCCTGCTGGCTTTTTGCTGACTGAATTTATGAATGTGCAGTGAACCAGCTAAGTAGCTTAGGGACTGCTTGACAGCTTGATACCCCCATGTCAAAAATATTGGTACATTCATTAGTATCTCTTGAATTCATACAATTATTTCCACCTCCACCCCTCTACCTTTGTCCAGGCCTCCATCATCTGTCCTTTGGACAGTGCAGCAGGATAAGGTGGATTCCTGGTCTCCAGCCTTGATTCCCTCCAGCCATTCATCATACAGCTGTCTGAGTGATGTTTCAAAACACACAGATATTCACAGTACTTCTCTCCTTTGATGCTCACCATTACTCAGCCTACAAAGTTCTGAATGACTGGGCCCATGTCTACCAGCCTCTTCTCTTGCTTTGTCTCCTTCTCCATATCTGGGACAATTTGGCCATCAAAAAAGATGATGATAATGAAATTCAATACACTGATTTCTTAACAATCCATGAATCCTTACTGGTATGCAGAAAGAGAAACAGAGGGACAGAAAGTGAGACAGTGAGAGAAAGGCAGATGGGGGTGGGGAGAGGAGGAAAGTTCCTCATTATAGATAGGGAAAGCTGAAAAATGGAGAAGAAATAGAAAATCCCTATTTTTTTAACCTCTATTAACTCAGATAAAACTTATGCATAAAAAGTTGTTTGGCTCTGGCTATCTATCTATCTATCTATCTATCATCCATCCATCTATGAGCAAATGCAGACTTTATACCATATAAAAAATTAACACTAAATGAATCAAAGAACTGAATGTGAGAGCTACAACTTAAAACTCTTAGAAGAAAACATAAGGAAAACTTCATGACATAGGAGTTGGCAATAATTTTTTGGATATGATGCCAAAAGCACAGGCAGTGAAAGAAAAAATAGATAAACTGGACTTGATAAAATAAAAAACTTTTGCTCACCAAAGAACACTATCAACAGAGTAAAAAAGACACCAACAGAATGGGAGAAGATATTTACAAATCATATATCTGATAAGGATTAATATCCAGAAGATATAAAGAACTACTGCAACTCAACAACAAAAGAAACCAAAGAACCAATTGAAAAAGGTGCAGCAAACTTGAATAGACATTTCCCCGAAGTTGATATATAAGTGGCCAGTAAGCATATGAAAAGATGTTCAACATAATTAATCATTAGAGAAATGCAAATAAAAACCACCATAAGATACCATTTCACATCCATTAGGATAGCTATTATTAGTATTAGTTTAAATAATACAACATATTTTTTATTATTTTTTTTTCTTGAGACGAAGTCTTGCTCTGTCACCCAGGCTGGAGTGCAGTGGTACTATCTCAGCTCATTGCAACCTCTGCCTCTCAGGTTCAAGCAATTCTCCTCCCTCAGCCTCCCAAGTAGTTGGGACTACAGGCATGTGTCACCACGCCTGGCTAATTTTTGTATTTTTTTTAGTAGAGACGGGGTTTCACCATGTTGGCCAGGCTGGTCTTGAATTCCTGACCTCAAGTAATCTGCCTGACTTGGCCTCCCAAAGTACTAGGATTACAGGCTTGAGCCACTGCATCTGGTCTATTTTTTTTTAAATAGAGATGGGATTTTTTCATGTTGCTCAGGTCTTAAACTCCAGGGCTCAAGTGATCTGCCTGCCTTGGCCTCCCAAAGTGCTGGGATTACAGGTGTGAGCCATTGTAGCTATTATTATTATTTTTTAAATCCCCAGAAAATAACAAATGTTGGTGAGAACGTGAAGAAATTGGAACCCTTGTGCATTGCTGGTGGGTATGTGAAATGGTGCAGCCACTGTGGAAAATGCTATCACAGTTCTTCAAAAAATTATATATAGAATTATCATGTGACTCAGTAATTCCACTTTTTGGTATCAACTTGAAATAATTGAAAGGACCCAAACAGATATTTGTACATGCATGTTCATGACAGCATTATTCACAAAAGCCAACTGATAGAAGTTATCCAAGTGTCCATTGTCAGAGGAATGGATAAACAAAATGTGGTACATACATACAATGGAAATTCAGCCTTAAAAAGAAAGGACGTTTTGATATATACTACAACATGGATGAACCTTGAGGACATTATGCTACATGAAATAAGCCAGTTACAAAAGGACAATATTGTATGGTTCTACTTATGGAGGTACCTAGAATAGGGAAATTTAAAAAGACAGAAAGTAGAATGGTTGTTGCCTGAGGCTGGGGGGAGGGGAAAATGGGGAGTTAGAGTTTAATGTGTACAGAGTTCCAGTTTGGGAAGATGAAAAAGTTCTGAAGATGGATGGCGGTGATAGTTGCACAACAATGTAAATGTATTTAATGCCATTAAACTGTATACTTAAAAGTGATTTAAAATGGTAAATTTTTAGGTTATGTATATTTTACCACAATAAAATGAATGTAATTAAAAGAAAAGCACATATGGGAATATGATATCAATTAATGACACTAGAGAAGGGTACAATGGGTGTTCAAAATTTCTCTTGTAGGGTTGAAAATTTTCAAAATAAAAAGCTGGGGATAAGATGATTTGGGTGGGTCTGGCCAGAAATAATAAGAGCAGGATTCTCAGCTCTCCTTTTTTGGCCACTGTGCTTCTGCAGTGGGACTCAAAAAGAAGTACTAATGTGTGGCAGATAAATAACTTAACATCCCATACTCTGTATATTATTCTGCTCTTTTCTCATGTAACTGTACAGTTATCACACTTCAAGGCATAAAATTATCCTTTTCTCTGAGGAGGAGACAATTTTAGGCACCAGCAGGGAATACAAACCAAAGGAAAAGAAAACAAAACAGTAAGAGAAAAAAAGCAAGAGAGGGAGAGAAATTCTTGGCTTCTCTGGGAAGGAGCTAAGGTTGTGAGTTGAAGACAATGGGGACTGAAGAAAATATGAACAGGAAGGATGGCTTTCCCTGTATGGCCTGCCCAGATGCCCTTACAACCAACCACAAAAAAAGAAAAACAGCCAAAAACTAAGGCTCCCTCCTCAAGGGAGTGAACACACTGAAGAGAGAATTTGTAGATAAAGAAGAGAAAATAACTCCAAAGGAGAAACAATCACTTTCCTCTTTCATCCCTTTTGGGCAAAGGTCCAAAGGTGAGAGCAGAGCATAAAGGGGAGCAGAGTAAAGTTTGAAACTGGATAGCCAGACATTTCTTGCACCATTACCAGGAAGAAAGCTGAGATGGTGATTCTGGCAGAGTGCCCTGTGAAATGAGAGAGCCACAGGCTGCTTGAAATTTTGCAGAAGCACCAAGAGTGGTATGGAGGCATTTTATAACTGAGTAACTCATGTAGGTAGCTGGGAGAGTGAGGCGAAGGCCAGCCTTATATGCCAACAGGCAGTTGAGGAAAGCCCAGTGGGGGAATCCTACACACATCTTGCCACAGCCAAGAAGCAGCTCTGCAATTCCACGGAATTCCGACACTAGGGACCAGATGGAGAACTGGTGTCCACTTGCCAGAGCCTCCACCTGGCACTGGCCATTCCCAGAGGACAGGCATGATTAGTAGGCAAAGCATCTATGGGGAACACTCATCTCTGTGCAGCACTGGCGTTAAGCCAATTGTAAGCAAACCACCACTGCATGCCCAACCCACTGTATGTTCACAGTGGTGGTAAGTGGTAGTCCTGGGGGTCTGAGGTAAGTAAATGTGATGGAAGCATCAGAAAAAATTTGTCATGTAGGGAGAGAAGATTGCTTGGAAATGGATCAGAGAATCCTCTACAACAACCCTCAATAGAGTCCTGACTATGATGTTGAGGAGGACATGGAATCTTCCCTTCAACCTATCAAATGTTGGATTTCCCTTAAAAATGCTTCAACCTGTCCTTCCCTAGTGCCACAGACACCCTGAGACCCTCTTTTTTGCTGCTGTGTACTGTGAGCCCCTCTTGGTTTTTACCTTGTCTTTTCAGGAGAATCTTGACATAGTCTGGGTCATGGATATTGAAGAACATCGTAAAGGGTCCAACCCACAAGGGAACGGCACATGGGTATTTTTCCATCAGCTCAGGATACACCTCAAACTCTTTTACTGGGTAAGACTGTCATAAGATAAGTCATGACTGGTTAGTAAAGGTTGTCATCCCAGGAGGATCCCTTTCCCTCAGATGGACCATGTGCTAAATTGAGGGTCTGTGGACACCACCCCATCAGACAGGTTCACATCTGCTGACGGCAAGTTTTCTTCTCCATGTGACTCCGGCACCTCCACGGAATCTTCCTGGCCCAGGGCAAGTGCTCAGGACCTGTTGCTGAGCGATTGGTCTTCTCACTCCAGCGTCAACTTTGGACATTTAAGTTCAAATCCCAGTTCTGACACTTTTAAATTATCTACGTCATTAGGGCCATGATTTCCTCACAGAAATATATATTAGGAAAACCAAATATATTTCACAAAGCTGCCATGAAAATTAAGTGAGATTATAAACATAAAATTCCTGGCACAAGGTAAACCGTTAGTAACCACTGATTCCCTACCTCATCTTTGCTCTGGATATACCCGCTCATGCTTTATCTGTCTCCAAAGCAGCGAAGTCTCACATGCCTTTTTTTTTTTTTTTTTTTTTTTTGAGGTGGAGTCTTGCTCTGTCTCCCAGGCTGGAGTGCAGTGGTGCTATCTTGGCTCACTGCAAGCTCCACCTCCTGGGTTCACACCATTCTCCTGTCTCAGCCTCCCGAGTAGCTGGGACTACAGGTGCCCGCCACCACACCCGACTAATTTTTTGTATTTTTAGTAGAGACGGGGTTTCACCATGTTAGCCAGGATGGTGTTGATCTCCTGACCTCATGATCTGCCTGTTTCAGCCTCCCAAAGTGCTGGGATTACAGGCGTGAGCCACCATGCCTGGCCTCTCACATGCCTTTTACTCCTTTGTGGTTGCTGCTCATCTTTCAACTTTCCTTTCTAATTTGTCAAATGTTTTCCTATTTCCAGCTTCATTAGAAGCTGTAGCATCTTTGCATATTTCCTGTTAACAATTGGCTTGGTCTATTTCTCTGTAGAACACCCAGAGTCCTGAAAGTAGTAAAGACCTTGGCCTTGAAGCAGGAGACCAGGGTTCAAGTTTCATTTCTGTCATTTATGAGATGGGTAGCACAGGAAAGTTGCATCTCTATTTTAGGCTTCAGTTTTCTTACCTGTAAAATAGGAATAACAATATGTTTCCTCCCCTATCATAGAATTTTTGTAAATATCAAATGAGATTGGTGTGAAAGCATTTTGCATATTACATAATGCCCCACCAATATGTGCTGTTTTTTTTAATACCTCATCTTTCTGTTCCTTAACCTCCCCAACTAATTTTCCCCTCTTACCTCCTTGTGGCCATAGAACCAGTGCGCAGGGGGTGCAGGAAACAGGTGCATGGCTCTGATCGTCCATCTCCTCCTCTGGTACAACCTGATTACCTGAAACAGCAGCAGAGACATGCAGAGGAGGATCAGCAGCAAGAAGGGGTGAGCCATGAGTTCCTGAAGCCAGGAGGGCTCCATTCTTCTCAGAGGTCCTGAGCTCTGGAAAGCCTGAGAGAACTGGGCCAGGGAGAATGCAGGTCTCTCATAAACCCAAAGGAGATGCCCCCTGGGCAACACTGGGCTTTCAAAATACCATATTAAGAGAGGGTACATAAGGAAGAGGAAGCTAATTAAGTCTGCAGGGTGAAAACTGCTGAGATGTTGCCCAGCAGTTCCAGATTCCAGAAGAACTAGATTTTCAGATAGGAGCCATGTGCATGACAGCTCATACCTGTTGCGGGAAGTCAGGGACCCTGAACAGAGGGACTGGCTGGAGCTGAGGCAGAAGAACATAAATTGTGGAGATTTCATGGATATTTATCAGTTCCCAAAATTAATACTTTTATAATTTCTTATGCCTGTCTTTACTGCAGTCTCTGAACATAAATTGTGAAGATTTCATGGACATTTATCACTTCCCCAATTAATACTCTTATAATTTCTTATGCTTGTCTTTAACCTCTTAATCCTGTTATCTTCATAAGCTGAGAATGTACATCACCTCAGGACCCTCTGATGATTGTGTTAACTGTACAAATTGTACAACATGTGTGTTTGAACAATATGAAATCAGTGCATCCTGAAAAAGAACAGAATAATGGCGATTTTCAGGGAACAAGGGAAGATAGCCCTAAGGTCTGACTGCCTGTGGGGTTGGGCAGAATAGAGCCATATTTTTCTTCTTGCAGAGAGCCTATAGATGGACATGTGAGTAGGAGAAATATCACTGAATTCTTTTCCCAGCAAGGAATATTAATAATTGATAACCCTGGGGAAGGAATGCATTCCTGGGGGTAGGTCTATAAACGACCACTCTGGGAGGGTCTGCCTTATGCAGTTGAGATAAGGACTGAAATATGCCCTGGTCTCCTGCAGTACCCTCAGGCTTATAGGATTGGGGAATTCCAGCCTGGTAAATTCTAGTCAGACTGGTTGTCTGCTCTCGAATCTTGTTTCTTGTTAAGATGTTTATCAAGACAATGTGTGCACAGTGGGACATAGGCCCTCATCAGTAATTCTAATTTTGCCTTGCCTTGTGACCTTTATTGCCCTTTGAAGCATGTGATCTTTGTGACTTACTCCCTGTTGGTACACCCCCTCCCCTTTTAAAATCCCTAATGAAAACTTGCTGGTTTTGTGGCTTGGGGTCACCATCATGGTCCTACCAATATGTGATGACGCTGCCGGAGGCCCAGCTGTAAAATTTCTCTCTTTGTACTCTTTCTCTTTATTTCTCAGACTGGCCAACACTTAGGGAAAATAGAAAGAACCTACATTGAAATACTGGGGGCTGGTTCCCCTGATATCTAGTGTGCCAACATGGTTTTTCTTTTTCCTAAGTGCATGTGGGAACCCGATTCCCTTTGGTAGGTGCAGAGAAACGTTCGTTGGTTCAGTCCACAGAAACACTTGTTCGGCTCCGTGATGATTGATGAGTCTGTCTGTGTATTGTCTGGGTTAACTATGGGTCACACGGAGTCTAAACATTATGCTTATCTCTGCTATATTAAACTCCTGTTAAAACAGGAGGGGGTTCAAGTGTCCATGGAAAATATGGTCACTCCATTCAGGGCAGTGGAAGAACACTGTCCTTGGTTTCCTGAAAAAGGAATCTTAGATGTACAACTATGGGATCATGTTGGTGCAACATTCCAGGAACTGATCCCCACAGGGGGTTATGTTCTCATCCCTGTGTGGGGTGAATGGGCCTTGGCATGTGCTGTCCTAATGACATACCTATCCCATTACCCCCTGCAGTTACCACAATTTTCTGAATCTTGTGACTCTCTATCTGTTCCTCAGCCTTCCTCTCCTGCATGGCCTTCGTTATCTGATCAGCCTCTCCCTTTGCCTACTCCTTCCCCACCTGATGATGTTGAGAATTCAATATCTAACTCCAGTGACTTTGGCTTAAGGTCACTCCCTGATGATCTTATTTTTTTTCATGAAGAGCTGGTACTTGTAGCTCCCGTGGCCCCAACTCAGACAGCCTGGGACCATATATATGCTAATTCTTCCCTCTTCAAAACTTTGCAGCCTTTGTCTCCAGAGCAACCTAATGGCTCTGGAACCAAACTAAAGTTTACCTATAATTCTGCAGGCCCTCCCCCATATGCTTCAGCCCCTCACCCTCCTGTTGTTTTGGTTTCTCAACTGGTCACTTTGCCATCCACTCAGCCTACTTCTCTGTACCCTTCTTCACACATGGATGCCAGTAATCACCAGTGTACTTCTGCTTCTTCTGCTCCCCCAATGCTCCTTTCTCATGCTCTCATTCCAGCCCGACCTCCTCAACCTTAGTTTCCCTTATCTACACATGCTTTTCCTGTCACTTCTATGCCAACCCCATCTCAGGTGCCTACTCTTGAAACTTCCATGCAATGCTTATTATGCCAAAACAAAGAAACAAGTGGATTAGATGTGTGGGCTTATCCAGTCACGCTAGATCCTCCTAATGCTCAAGGCATCCAAATGCATCATGCACTGCTCAATCTTACCTTTTTAAAAGAATTCAAGGATGCTTGTACTCAGTATGGTCCTACTTCTCCATATGTTAAATTGGTATTTTGTACTGAGGTCGTTTTGCTTCCTTTAGACTGGTACCTTTTGGCAAAAGCCATTCTAACCCCATCTCAGCATTTACAATTCCATACCTGGTGGTCAGAGGAGGCCTGTCTGGAGGCTCAGCTAAATCAGGCTGATGTCATTCTAATTACTCAGGCTCAGCTCACAGGCTCCCATAATTTCTCTGATACTTATGCCCAATTAGGCTTTGATTCTCTTACCATGGAACAAATAACAAAGGTGTATATGAGCGCTTGGGATAAATTACACTCCCCAGGCCAAGTTCCTGTTTCTTTTACTACTGTTAAACAAGATCACAGTGAATTATACCCTGATTTTTTAGCTAAATTACAAGATGCTGTTGAAAAATCTGTCTCTGATGAGTATGCTCAAGGTATTCTCCTTCCTATGTTAGCTTTTGAGAATATAAATCATGAGTGTAAAATGGCCATGTGTTCCATCCAATGACAAAATTTACCTGATCATGAGGTGTTGCCTGCATATATTAAAGCTTATGAAAGCACTGGATCAGAGACCCACAAAGCTATTCTGTGGGCACGGGCCGTGAAGGACAGCAATCAAATTGGCTCCACTGATTCTTTTCTTGGAGCCTGCTATAATTGCAGTCAACTTGGTCATACTTGAAAAAATTGCACTGTTAAAAACTTAAAAGTGGCCAAGCCAGTTCAACAAACAAGGCCAAATGCTGCTGCTACTGTTTGCCCACGTTGTCACAAAGGTAAACATTGGGCAAGTACTTGCCACTCTAAGTATGATATAGATGGAAACCCCGTGCCACAGAACCAAGGAAATGGGAAGTGGGGCCAGTCCCAGGCCCCAATATCAAATGGGACACCTCAGACTCAGACCAGCATTGAGTTTCCACTTCAAGTGGTCCTAACGCAGCCCCCAGCACAAACAAATTTACCTACAACCAACCCAAATGGGTCCCAGCCTCTTCTTCTGTCTCAGTACAATGTTTGCCCACCTCCACAATAGGGGGCAGGGTGGTTGATCTCTGTAGTACCATTCCTCTAAATTTACTACTGAATTCTTTGCCTTTAATTGTCCCCATGGGGGATCACTGGCCCTTTACCTCAAGGTTCAGTGGGCTTGGTGTTAGGTAGGGCATCCACCTCTGCTAAAGGAATCATCATTCATACTGGTCTCATTAATTCTGATTCCCTTGATGAGATTAAACTCATCATGTCCACCAAAGTTCCTGTTTCCATTCTGGCTGGTGAGTCAATTGCTCAATTCCTTTTACTACTTAATATATTTTTAAACAAAGGAGATAAGACACATGGCCCTGGGATGGGCTCTGGTGGTGAAAAAGCCGCTTATTGGATTAATGTAATTTCTAAACAATGGCCCACCTGCACCATACACATTCAAGGAAAAAAGTTTGAGGGCCTCGTAGATACTGGGGCTGATGTTTCTATTATTTCCTCTAATTTATGGCCTTCCTCCTGGCTTAAACATCCCACTAACATAGACTAGTAGGTGTTGGAAAAGCTGATGAAGTTTACCAGAGCACATTTATCTTGCCTTGCACTGGCCCTGATGGTCAGAAGGGTAAAATTCAGTCTTATATCATGCCAATCCCCATTAATCTTTGGGGTAGAGATTTGCTGGCACAATGGGGGGCTGAAATTAATACTCCACATAACTCTTAGAGTGCTCCAAGTCAACATATTCTACCTAATTCTTTGCCTTAAACTCCCAAATCAATACCTGGGAACTTGAAACATTCATAACGTGGAGAAGAGGATATGCTTGTGTTTCACCAGGAGATATCAATCCCTTGTCTGGGTGCCCACTAGGAAACTTAAACTTCGTGTGAATACTGACAACGAAAATCACAGGGAAAAGACATCCACAACAGAGACCGCCCTCAGACGTGGTGAGATCTGTGCCAACTCCTCAGAAGCTGATACACCAAATCATAATGGGTCTGGTTCAATCCTCCCTGATGGCAACAGAGACCCCTCTAACTAATCCCACTTCTCCTAATTACCTTTCTTTTTCTCCTCACAAACCTAAAAATCTCACCATTTCTATTAGCCTGAAAATAACATCCCTCTGTTCTTCTCTTCCTCCTTCAGCACTGCATCTTGCTTACAATAGGTTTTATTTAATAATTCTCCTCCTTATATGTTCTGTCTCACCAGTTTCCCCTCACGCTGATTTACCTGCTACACAAAATTATTCTTATTGGGCTTATGTGCCTTCTCCTCCACTTATTCGACCTCTCACCTGGATGGATGCTCCTGTGGAAATCTATACTAACGATAGTGTGTGGATGCCTGGAGCTACAGATGACCACTGCCCCGCTCAACCAGGAGAAGAAGGCACTGCCTTTAATGTTACTATGGGTTATAAATACCCCCTTCTGTGCTTCAGACATGCACCTGGTTGTATCCATCTAGAAACTCAAGTCTGGGCTGCTTATCTTCTGGAGAGATCAGGTACAGAGGAACTGGGACATTTGGTCTCCAGCCTCTCCCTTTCTCCTTTAAGACAAATGAAAGGGGGAGGAGTAATGGGAGATACCCCATACTTTCAATATAAACCTGCATTAAAACCATGCCCTAAAAATTTTGAGGGCCCATCTAAAACTTTAATTTGGGATGATTGTGTTAACTCACAATGCAGTAATATTAAAAAATGACTCATATGGTTTAATAATAGACTGGGCACCAAAGGGCTATTTACAAAACAATTGCTCCTGTGGTGGAAGGGAATGACTGGAGGCTAGTTACTTTATTTCTTATTGGGAGAATGAGAATCAACATTCTACTTTGCATAGGAGGTTCAGCTCATTCTTTCCCTTAAAATGGGAAGATAAAGGGATTACCCTCCCCGCCGCCCGAGGCCTCATATGATATTCCCCATTCTGAGCCCAGAACACCCAGAACTTTGGAAATTGGCTATTGCCATGTCCAGACTGTGAGTATGGGAAGGGGAAACTTTTCTGTCTGTTGTCCCTGCTACTGTCCCTTTCCCTCAGTATCAACATAAATTCAGACATTCTGCTTTGCTTACCTCCAACCTGATTATTCCCATACAGAGTTGTGTTAAGCCTCCTTACATGCTGTTAGTGGGAAATATCAAATTTTGGATGAACAATCAAACTGTCCAATGCACCAATTGTCATTTATACACTTGTGTTAACTCCTGTTTTGACTCCAGGAAAAGTGTAATGTTGGTTTAAGCTCAAGAAGAAATCTGGATTCTGGTAACTTTGTCCAGACCTTAGGAATCCTCCCCCTCAGTACATTTAATTAATGAAGTGTTACAGCTAATTCTAAAAAGATCCAAGAGATTTGTTTTCACTTTAATTGCTGTGATCATGGGCCTATTTACAGTCACTGCACTGGCCACCACTGCTGGAATGGCATTACATCAATCTGTTCAAATGGCTCATTATGTTAATGATTGGCAAGCCAATTCCACCTAAATTCTAAACAAGGCATTGATCAAAAATTGGCTAATCAAGTTAATGATTTAAGACAGTCTGTTATTTGGCTTGGAGATCAGGTAGTGAGTCTTGAACATTGCATGCAAATGCAGTGTGATTGGAATACTTCCGATTTCTGTTATCACCCCATATTCCTACAATGAGG
The DNA here is from genome assembly GCF_000001405.40 of Homo sapiens. Classification (NCBI taxonomy): domain Eukaryota; kingdom Metazoa; phylum Chordata; class Mammalia; order Primates; family Hominidae; genus Homo; species Homo sapiens. The sequence continues at coordinate 46,906,647 of NC_000001.11, forward strand.
CTCATCATTCATGGGAAATGTTCAAAGGACACCTTCTGGGTGGGGAAGATAATTTATCTTTGGACATAACTAAATTAAAGAAACAAATTTTTGAAGCCTCTCAAGCTCATTTATCCATTGTGTTTGGAGCTGAGGCATTAGATCAGGTGGCAGAAAGTCTTTCTAGACTAAACCCCATGACTTGGATTAAGTCTACTGGGGGCTCCACTGTAGTAAATTTTGGAATTATGTTTCTCTGCTTAATTGGCTTGTTTTTAGTGTGCCAGACCAGTCAAAGAATCCTGCATCAAAATTGAGAGAACAAACAAGACTTCACCATCATGGCACATTTATATAAAAAGAAAGGGAGAGATGTTGTGGGAAGTCAGGGAACCCGAATGGAGGGACTGGCTGGAGCCAAGGCAGAAGAACATAAATTGTGAAGACTTCATGGACATTAATCAGTTCCCAAAATTAATACTTTTATAATTTCTTACGCCTGTCTTTACTGCAATCTCTGAACATAAATTGTGAAGATTTCATGGACATTTATCACTTCCCCAATCAATACTCTTATAATTTCTTATGCCTGTCTTTACTTTAATCTCTTAACCCCATTATCTTCATAAGCTAAGAATATACATCATCTCAGGACCCTGTGATGATTGCATTAACTGTACAAATTGTAAAACGTGTGTTTGAAAAATATGAAATCAGTGCACCCTGAAAAAGAACAGAATAATGGTGATTTTCAGGGAACAAGGAAGATAACCACAAGGTCTGACTGCCTGCAGGGTCAGGCAGAATAGAGCCATATTCTTCTTCTTGCAGAGAGCCTATAGACAGATGTGTGAGTAGGAGAAATATCACTGAATTCTTTTCCCAGCAAGGAATATTAATAATTGATAACCCTGGGGAAGGAATGCATTCCTGGGGGTAGGTCTATAAACGACCACTCTGGGAGGGTCTGCCTTATGCAGTTGAGATAAGGACTGAAATATGCCCTGGTCTCCTGCAGTACCCTCAGGCTTATAGGATTGGGGAATTCCAGCCTGGTAAATTCTAGTCAGACTGGTTGTCTGCTCTCGAACCCTGTTTCCTGTTAAGATGTTTATCAAGACAATGTGTGCACAGTGGGACATAGGCCCTCATCAGTAATTCTAATTTTGCCTTGCCTTGTGACCTTTATTGCCCTTTGAAGCATGTGATCTTTGTGACTTACTCCCTGTTCGTACACCCCCTCCCCTTTTAAAATCCCTAATGAAAACTTGCTGGTTTTGTGGCTTGGGGTCGCCATCACGTTCCTACCAATATGTGATGACACTGCTGGAGGCCCAGCTGTAAAATGTCCCTCTTTGTATTCTTTCTCTTTATTTCTCAGACCAGCTGACTCTTAGGGAAAATAGAAAGAACCTACATTGAAATATTGGGGGCTGGTGCCCTGATACCCATATGAAAGCTTTGCTGCACTGCTGTGCCCTTCCAGAGTCTAAAAGCTCCCATCTAGTCATCCTTTGTAGCACCTCTATATATTCTTGTAAAAAAATCTCCCTCTCTCATTCTCTGTTCTTTTTTGTTTACATTTCTGGTAGAATTTATCTGTTTAGAGAAGTTTCAGGTTCACAGAAAAATTAAGCAGAAAGTTCAGGGAGTTCCCATATATCACCCCTCCCTTCCAGCTTCCTGATTATCAACATCCTCCACCCGAGTATAACACTTGTTACATTTAATGAACCTGCAATGACACATCATTGTCACCCAAAATCTGTAGTTTACATTATGGATCACTCTTTGGTGTTTTACATTCTATGGGTTTTGTCAAATGTATAATGACATGTATCCACCATTGTGATACCATATTGTTTCCCTTTCCTAAGAAATCCTCCTGCTCTGACTATTAATGTCTTTCTTCCTCCATCCCCTGGCAACCGCTGATCTTTGTACTGTCTCCATAGTTTTGCCTTTTCTAGAATGTCATATAATTTGAATCATATAGTGTGCAGCTTTCTCACATTGGCTTCTAGAAATGTCTTTTGAGCAAGCATGAAGGGCCAGCTTGGGGGGGTTGAGAAAAGGGCATCTTAAGCTTAAAAGGTCTTTAAAAATTAAAAGGCTGGGGAAAATGTTTCTATTTATCTTGGGGAAAAAAATCTATCAAAAAACCATCAAAGAATTTCTATTGGCCACCACATGTGGTGGCTCACACCTGTAATCTTAGCACTTTGGGAGGGTGAGTCAGGAGGATTGCCTGAGCAACATGGCAAGACTTTGTCTCTACAAAAAAGAAAATATATTAGCTGGGCACGTTGGCACATACCTGTGGCCCCAGCTCATTCAGAGGCGGAGGTGGCAGGCTTACTTGAGCCTAGGAGATTGAGGCTTCAGTGAGCTATGTTTGTGCCACTGCACTCCAGCCAGGGCCACAGAGGGAGACCTTGTCTCAAAACAAAACAAAACAAAACAAAACAAAACAACAACAACAACAAAAATTTATATGAAAGAGAAGGCACATACAATTACTACATGTCAACTAAAAAGAAAAAACTAAAGAGGCCGGTCATGGTGTCTCACACCTGTAATCCCAGCACTTTGGGAGGCCGAGGCCAGCAGATCACCTGAGGTTGGGAGTTCAAGACCAGCCTGACTAACATGGAGAAACCCCTTCTCTACTAAAAATAAAATACAAAATTAGGTGGGCGTGGTGGCTTATGCCTGTAATCCCAGCTACTTGGGAGGCTGAGGCAGGAGAATTGCTTGAACCTGGGAGGTGGAGGTTGTGGTGAGCCGAGTTCACATCATTGCCCTCCAGCCTGGGCAACAAGAGCAAAATTCCATCTCAAAAAAAAAATGTAAAGAAAAAAAGAGAAAAGGTACAGTCCCAGGACAGAGTAATCCTGAGGAAAAGCCCTGGTCTTGAAGTCAGAAACTTCAGGCTCTTATGTTTATATTCAGAATGCAACAGAGTATTCTAATGTCTTCCTGAGGTTGTTGGAATGGGAGACTTTTACACCATCTTTAACAATGTACTTGCATGTGTGTCTGACCTGTGTCTTAAAGGGTAAGAACTGATCTTTTCAAACAAGACCAAAAGTGTCCTTTTTGTTTTTAAAAAGGAAATATTATTCTTTTTGGATTAGATAAATGTTACTTGGGAATTATAAACAATTGCTAAAAATATAGAAAAAGCATGAAAAATTAAAAATCACCTAGAACATCTATTACCTTATTCACACTTCCATGAACCTGAGTGGCAGTGCTTTGTTAAATTTTACACCCTAGGTGTTTTAGTGGCCCCTAATATGTAATGCTTAGAGTTTTTACCATTCAAAATAGAGGGAAAATATCCCCTAATTAGCATTTTTTGCAGATTGTCTGATATTCAGGAAGATTTCTGATATTAAGCAGAAAGTACTTGTGATATTTTGATGTGGGATAGAGCATAATATTTTTCTGTTGCTCCCGTTCAAGTGAAGGGGATTTTCCTGTACTTTTGGGAGGAATTTACTATGCAGGGGACTGGGATTTTGCCGGGATAGTTTTACCTAGCTTCAGGGCTCAAAGACTCTCTCTTCTTTTGTAACTCAGGACTTTTCAAAATTATGGCCTCGTAGTGATTTTTGAAATCACTTCCTGTCTCCTCCTTTCTCACTATTACAGGACTCATATACTTCCTTCACTCCTCTTCCTTTTTGGATTCTATTGCTCACAATTCTTCCCAATGTGGGACTCTGTCCTGGAAAGGAAATTTTACTGATTAGTTTTCAGGGTTCTTAGGCCCAAGAGAACCTTATAATCACTAATCTTTCCCCTCCCACTTGTCATCCACCTTTGTTGAGTTGTCCGTAGCTCTTTTTTCTTTCTATCCTAGTTGCTCTGCTTGCTTTTGTGAAGGGATCAGGATTTTAAAAAAGTATACTTTAAATGCATCATCCCATGTGTTTTTGTCCTCTATGGTTTCTGATGAGAAACTAGTTATTAATCTCAACGAGGATTCCTTGTGATGCAGGGCAGGTGAGCTTCAAAGTGGAGCTTAGCTTACTAGGGTTCCTGGCTTTGCCCAGGAAATAATTCAAATGCAGGCCAGAGGCAGAAGAAAACAGTTTTACTGAAGAGGCAGTGTTATAATTCTGGCAGTGTTACAGCTCTATGACTGCTCCTGCAGAGCAGGGCTATACCATACTACACCATACGCAGAGAGTAGCAGCTCAGGGCAGTTTTGCAGTCATATTTATACCCACTTTTAATTGCATGCAGATTAAGGAGTGGTTATGCAGAAATTTCTAGGGAAAGAGTAGTAACTTTTGGGTCATTGGGTTATTACTATAGAATTGGGCAGTAGTTCCTGGGTGTTGCCATGGCAATGGTAAATTGTTGTGGCACACTGGTGGGTGTGTCTGATTGAAAGCTGTTTTCTTCCCAGCCCTGATTTAGCTAGTCCTCAATCTGGTCTGGTGTCTGATCCTCACCTCCTACCTCGCTTGTATGTGACAAATCACTTCTTTCTTGTTGCTTGCAAGATTGTATGTGACAAATCACTTCTTTCTTGTTGCTTGCAAGATTATTTCTTTTAACAGTTTAATTGTAATATGTCTTGCTGTAGGTATCTGAGTTCATCCTCCTTGGATGTCATTGAGCTTCTTGGACACTGAATTTCTTAGATCTGTAGATTTGTGTCTTTCCTCAAATTTGGGAAGTTTTCATTCATTATTTCTTTAAATATTTTTCCATCCTTCCCCCTAACCCTCTTCTCATACTGGGACTTCTGTAATGCATATATTGCTATGCTTGGTGGCATCCAATGAGACAAGTATTCCTTACATATGTGATCACTGATGTGTCTGTTTCTTTATCTCTGTAGTAAGCCAGTGACTTGAAAAAAATTTCCTTAAATATCTGGATAAAAAAATTAAAAAAAAAGAGAAATAAAAGAAAAAGGATTATTTCTTTAAATTCTTTTAAAGGTGCCATCTTGGTGGCAGGTGCCACCAGGGAAGCCATTCCTGCCTGAGGGTGTTGAAACAATATGAAGCTTCTGTGCCAGTCCTTCAGTGAGCTACTAGACAGATCAAAACACACAATTCCAGTTTTTGGCAGACAACGTCCTTATTGCCAAGCCTGCACAAGTAAGCCATAACAGAAATGTGGATCATCATCCTCATGACTACCATGGGACATGGGAATAAGAGATGACAGATGCTATGCAAAATGCCAAAATTTACCAGCCTAATTTTTCATTAAACATTCCCCTGTTTGCTATAAGTGTTTGGTTAGATTCCAGAGTTATAAAATAATTGATTTTGATGGTTTTTTGGTAGGTGAATAGTTGCTTTGATGGAAGGAGTGATTCTTGGAAATTCCTACTCTACCATTTTCCATGAGGTCATGAAAACTTTATGCTAAGGAGAACAAAATTGGACAATATTGTATCATTTCATTTATATGAAAAAAATCCAGAAGGTAAATCCATACACACTGTAAAAAAATTTGTGGTTGCTGGAATTTGGGGGAGGAGGGAATGGGAAGACAGGAATAGAGGGTGTTTTTTGAGGGTGATGAAAAAAATTAAAACTACAGAGGTGGTGGTCGCACAACATTGTGAATGCATGAAGTGCCACTGAAATGTACACTTAAAAATGTAATTGTATATTATGATAATTTCATTTCACTTAAAAAAAACGATGTTGCTATCTTGCAAAATAGAACCTAGTTGGCAGTTACTTGTTTCCAGCATTTTGGTGACATCATTCCATTGTCTTCTAGCTAATACTGTTTCTATTGACATGTCTGTTAGTCCTTTATTGGTCTTTTAAAATAAATTTCTTATTTTTTCTTTGGATACTCTCATTCTGTAGATTGTCTGTTTACTCTGTTGTTAGCTTCTTTTGCTGTGCAGAAGGTCTTTAGTTTAATTAGGTCCTATTTGTCAAGTTTTACTTTTGTTGAGATTGCTTTTGGCATCTTCATCATAAAATATTTGCCTGTTTCTATGTCCAGGATGGTATTGCCTAGGTTGTCTTCCAGGGTTTTTGTAGTTTTGGGTTTTTACATTTCAGTCTTTAATCCATTTTGAGTTGATTTTTGTATATGATATAAGGATCTTATGCATGTTTTATGTGATATATGCAATCTTCCACATATGGCTAGCCAGTTATCCCAGCACTATTTATTGACTGGGAAGTCTTTTTCCAATTGCTGTTTTTTGTCAGCTTTGTGGAATATTAGGTGATTTTAGGTGTGCAGCCTTATTTCTGGGTTCTCTATTCTGTTCCATTCATCTATGTGTCTGTTTTTGTACCAGCACCATGCTGTTTTGGTTTTTGTAGCCTTGTAGCATAGTTTGAAATTGGGTAACATGATGTTTTTAGCTTTGCTCTTTTTACTTAGAATTGTGTTGGCTATTCAGGCTCTTTTTTGGTTCCATTTGAATTTTAAAATAGTTTTTTCTAGTTTTGTGAAGAATGTCTTTGGTTGTTTGATAGGAAAAGCATTAAATCTGCAGATTGCTTTGGACAGTATGGGTGTTATAATGATATTGATTCTTCCTATCCATGAGCGATGAATGTTATTCCATTTGTTTGTGTCATCTCTGATTTCTTTGAGCAGTATGTTATAATTCTCATTGTAGATATCTTTCACTTCCCTGGTTAACTGTATTCCTAGGTATTTTATTCTTTTTGCGGTAATTGTAAATGGACTGGGTTCCTGATTTGGCTTTTGGCTTGGCACTTGTTGGTGTATAGGAACACTAGTGATTTTTGTATGTTTATTTTGTATTCTGAAACTTTACTGACATTGTTTATCAGCTGAAGGAATTTTTGGCAGAAACTATGGGAATTTCTAGACATGGAATCATGTTGTATGCAAACAGGAATAGTTTGACTTCCTCTCTTCTTATTTGGATGCTGTATTAGTCAGGGTTCTCTAGAGGGACAGAATTAATAGGATAGATGTATACATAAAGGGGAGTTTATTAAGGAGTATTGACCCACATGATCACAGGATGAGGTCTCACAATATGCCGTCTGCAAGTAGAGGCACAAGGAAGCTAGTCTGAGTACCAAAGCTGAAGAACTTGGAGTCCAGTGTTTGAGGGCAGGAAGTGTCCCACCCAGAAGAAAGATGTAGGCTGGGAGGCTAAGCCAATCAAGTCTTTTTCACATTCTTCTGCCTGCTTTTATTCTGACCATGCTTGCAGCTGATTAGATTCTGCCCACCCAGATTGAGAATGGGTCTGCCTTTCCCAGTCCACTGACTCAAATTTTAATCTTCTTTGGCAACGCCCTCACAGACACACCCAGGAACAATACTTTGCATCCTTCAATCCAATCAAGTTGACACTCAGTGTTAATCATCACAGATGCCTTTTATTTCTTAAAAAACCTTTTTTTTATTTCAATAGGTTTTTTGGGGGAATAGGTGGTGTTTGGTTATGTGAATAAATTCTTTAGTGGTGATTTCTGAGATTTTGGTGCACCCACGACCCAGGTACTGTGCACTGTACTCAATGTGTAGTCTTTTATCCTTTCACCCCCCATCCTTTCCCCCAAGTCCCCAAAGTCCAATGTATCATTATTGTGCCTTTTTGCATCCTCATAGCTCAGCTCCCAACATAAGTGAGAACATATGATGTTTGATTTTCCATTCCTGAGTTCCTTCACTTAGAATAATAGTCTCCAATTCCATCCAGGTTGCTGCAAGTGCCATTATTTTGTTCCTTCTATGGCTGAATAGTATTCCATAGTGTGTGTGTGTGTGTGTGTGTGTGTGTGTGTGTGTGTGTGTGTATATAATCTATCCTATTAATATATGTGTGTGTGTATATATATATATCACATGGTATATATACACACACATACACTATATATACACATATATATGTATATATCACATGGTATATGCATACACACACACACAAACACCACATTTTCTTTATCCACTTGTTGACTGATGGGCATTTGGCTGATTCCATATTTTTGCAATTGCAAATTATACTGCTATAAACAGACATGTGCAAGTATCTTTTTTGTATCATGACTTCTTTTCCTCTGGGTAGATACTTAGTAGCAGTATTGTGGGATCAAACAGTAGATCTACTGTTAGTTCTTTAAGGAATCTCCACATTGTTTTCCATAGTGGTTGCGCTAGCTTACATTCCTGCCAACAGTGCAAAAGTGTTCCCTTTTCACCACATCCACACCAACATTTATTATTTTTGATTTTTTTGATTATGTTCATTCTTGCAGGAGTGAGATTGTATGGCATTGTGCACTTGATTTGCATTTCCCTGATAATTAGTGATGTTGAGTATTTTTCCATATGCTTGTTGACCATTTGTATATCTTCTTTTGAGAACTGTCTATTCATTCCTTATATCCCTTTTTGATGGGATTTTTTTTCCTGCTGGTTTGTTTTAGTTATTTGTAGATTCTGGATATTAGTCCTTTGTTGGATATATATAGATTGTGAAGATATTCTCTCACTTTGTGGATTGTCTGTTAACTCTGTTGATTATTTCTTTTGCTGTGCAGAATCTTTTTAGTTTAATTAAATCCCACCTATTTGTCTTTTTGTTGCATTTGCTTTTGGGTTCTTGGTCATAAAGTCGTTGCCTAAGCCAATGTCTGGAAGGGTTTTTCTGATGTTATCTTCTAGAATCTTTACGGTTTCAGGTCTTGGATTTAAGTCTTTGATCCATCTTGAGTTGATTTTTGTTTAAGGTGAGAGATGAGGATCCAGTTTCATTCTTTTACATGTGGCTTGCCGATTATCCCAGCATCATTTGTAGAATAGGGTATCCTTTTCCCACTTTATGTTTTTGTTTGCTTTGTTGAAGATCAGTTGGCTGTAAGCATTTGGGTTTTTTTCTGGGTTCTTTATTCTATTCCATTAGTCTATGTGCCTATTTTTATACCAGTACCTGGTGTTTTGGTGACTACACCCTTATAGTATAGTATAGTTTGAAGTTGGTAATGTGATGCCTCTAGATTTGTTCTTTTTGCTTAGTCTTGCTTTGGCTATGTGGGGCCTTTTTTGGTTCCATATGAATTTTAGGGTTATTTTTCTAGTTCTGTGAAGAATGGTGGTGGTATTTTGATGGGAATCACATTGAATTTGTAGGTTGCTTTTGGCAGTATGGTCACTTTTGCAACATTGATTCTACCCATCCATGAACATGGGATGTGTTTCCATTTATTGTGTCATCTATTATTTCATTCAGTAGTCTTTTGTAATTTTCCTTATAGTTGTCTTTCACATCCTTGGATAGGTGTATTTCTAAGGTTTTTTTTTTTTCTATTTTGAAAGGGGTTGAGTTCTTGATTTGATTCTCAGCTTGGTTGCTGCTGGTGTACAGCAGAGCTACTTATTTGTGTATATTAATTTTGCATCCTGAAACTTTGCTGAATTTAATTACCAGTTCTAGGAGCTTTTTGGATGAGTCTTTAGGGCTTTCTAGGTATACGATCATATCATCAGCAAACAGTGACAGTTTGACCTCCTTTTTACGGATCTGAATGCCCTTTATTTCTTCCTCTTGTCTGATTGCTCTGGCTAGGACTTCCAGTACTATGTTGAATACAAGAGGTGAAAGTGGGCATCCTTCTCTTGTTCCAGTTCTCAAGGAGAATGCTTTCTACTTTTTCCCTTTCAGTATAATGTTGGCTGTGGGTTTGTTGTATGTGGCTTTTATTACCTTAAGGTATGCCAATTTTGTTGATGAGAGTTTTAATCATAAAGGGATGCTGGATTTTGTCAAATGCTTTTTCTGCAGCTGTTGAGATGATCATGTGATTTTGTTTTTAATTCTGTTTATGTGGTGTATCACATTTATTGACTTGGGTATGTTAAGCCACCCCTGCATCCCACTTGATTATGGTGGATTATCTTTTTGATATGCTGTTGGATTCAGTTCACTAGTATTTGATTGAGGATTTTTGCATCTATGTTCATCAAAAATGTTGGTCTGTAGTTTTCTTTTTTCTTATGTCATTCCCTGGTTTTGGTATTAGGATGATATTGGCTTCACAGAGTGATTTAGGGAGGATGCTCTCTTTCTCTATCTTATGGAATAATGTATATAGAATTGGTACCACTTCTGTGAATGTGTGATAGAATTCAACTGTGAATCCATCTGGTCCTGGACTTTTTTTTTTGTTGGCATTAAAAAGACTTAGAATTTCAATCTCGCTGCTTGTTATTGGTCTGTTCAGAGATTCTATATCTTCCTGGTTTAACCTAGGAGGGTGGCATATTTTCAGAAATTTATCCATCTCCTCTAGGTTTTCTAGTTTATACCTGTAAAGGCGTTCATGGAAGTCTTGAATAATCTTTTGTATTTCACTGGTATCAGCTGTAATAGCTTCCGTTTCATTTCTAATTGAGCTTATTTGGATCTTCTCTCTTGTTTTCTTGGTTAATCTCGCTAATAGTTCATCAATTTTATTTATCTCTTCAAAGAACTAGGTTTTTCATTTCATTTATTTTTTGTATTTTTTTTGTTTCAATTTCATTTAGTTCTGCGCTGATCTTTGTTATTTCTTTTCTTCTGCTGGGTTTGAGTTTTGATTATTCTTTCTCCAGTTGTGTGAAGTGTGACCTTAGATTGTCCATTTTTGCTCTTCCGACTTTTTGATGTAGACATTTAATACTATAAACTTTCCTCTTAGCACTGCTTTTGCTGTATCTTAGGGGTTTGATAGGTTGTGTCACTATTATTGTTCAGTTTAAAGAGATTTTAAATTTCCCACTTGATTTCATTGTTGACCCCAAAATTATTCAGGAGTAGGTAGTGATTATTTTTGCTCTTCTAGGTCTAGCCACCCAGCGGAGCTACGAGGCTCTAGGCTGCTACTGGAGAGTGTCTGTAAAGAATCTTATGACATGATCCATCTTCAGGTTTCTTAGCTGTGGATACCAGTGCCTGCTCCAGTGGAGGTGGCAGGGGGGTGAAGTGGACTCTGTGAGGGTCCTTGGTTGTGTTTTTGTTTAGTGCACTGGTTTTGTTTTGGTTGGCCTTCAGCCATGAAATGGAACTTTCAAGAGTGCATAAGCTGTGGTCCTATAGGGAGGAAGCAAACTTGCCTTAGAGACACCTGGTTATCTATTCAGATTTTTCAGGTGGTGGGCAGGGCCATAGTGCTCCCAAGTGATTATGACCTTTGTCTTTGGCTACCAGGGTGGGTAGAGAAAGACCACAAGGTGGGGTCAGGGTAGGCATGTTTAAGCTCAGCCTTTCCTTGGGTGGGGCTTGCTGCAGCTGTTGTGGGGGATGAGGGTGTAGTTCCCAGTCCAGTGGAGCTATATTCCCAGAGGTATTATGGCTGTCTCTGGTAAGTCATACAGGTCACCAGGGAAGTGGGGGAAAGCTGGTAGTCAGAGGGCTCATCCTGTTTCCACACAGCCTGTAGTCCTAAAGGCCAGTCTCACTCCTACTGTGCCCTCCCCAACTGCAGTGAGTCTATTTCCAGGCAGCCAGTGACCAGGGCTGAGAACTTGCTCCAGACCACGAGCCTCCTCATTGAGAAAGGAAGCAGAATCACAGTTTTTGGCTTCTCAGGGAGCCTGCAGCAGTAATCCAGTTACTTCAAAGGTCTGTAGATTCTCTTAGCTTTCCCGGTATGTTCATGCAGTGGTTCTTGGAGTAAAAGTTCACGATGTGAGTCTTCACACACTGTTCTGTCCAAGTGGGAGCTGCAAGCTAGTTCTGCCTGCTATCTGTCATCTTCAAACTATGTCTTCCTCTTGCCTGATTGCTTTGGCCAGGACTTCCAATACTATGTTGAATAGGAGTGGTGACAGAGGGCATCCTTGTCTTGTGCTGGTTTTCAAGGGGAATGCTTCCATCTTTTCCTCATTCATTATGATGTTAATATGGGTTTGTCATAGATGGCTCTTATTATTTTGAGGTGTGTTCCTCAATACATAGTTTATTTAGAGTTTTTAACATGAAGTGATGTCCAATTTTATCAAAATCCTTTTCTGCATCTATTGAGATAATCAAGTGACTTTTATACTTAGTTCTCCTTATGTGATGATCCGCATTTATTGATTTGTGTATGTTGAACCAACCTTGCACCCTAGGGATGAAGCCTACTTGAGCATCATGGATTAGGTTTTCGATGTGCTGCTGAATTTGGTTTGCAAGTATTTTGTTGAGGATTTTTGCATCAATGTTCATCAAGAATATTGGTCTGAAGTTTTCTTTTTTTGTTGTGTCTCTGCCAGGTTTTGGCATCAGGATGATGCTGGTCTCATAGAATGAGCTAGAGCAGAGTCCCTCCTCCTCAATTATTTGGAATAGTTTCAGTAGGAATGCTACCAGTTCTTCTTTGTACATCTGGTAGAATATGGCTATGAATTAATCTGGTTCTGGGCTTTCTTGCGTTGGTAGGCTATTTATTACTGATTTAATTTTGAAGCTTATTATTGGTCTGTTTAGGGATTTGACTTCTTCTTCGTTCAGTCTAGGGAGGGTGTATGTGTTCAGAAATTTATTCTGCTCTTCCATATTTTCTAGTTTTTGTACATAGAGGTGTTCATCCTACTTTCTGATGGTTATTTTTATTTCTGTGGGGTCAGTGGTAGCATCCTCTTTGTTATTTCTAATTGTGTCTATTTGGATCTTCTCCCTTTTCTTCTCTATTAGTGTAGCTAATGCCCTATCTATATTATTAATTTTTTCAGAAAGCAAACATTGAATAGTTTTCCACTAAAAAAAAATTAACTGAGTCCTAGGATCCTATGGGACAATATCAAATAATCTGATATACATGTAATTGAAGTCTCCAAAAGAGAAGAGAGTAATACTGAAGCAGAATATATATATATATATATATATACACACACACACACGTGTAGTTTTTTTCTTAAGAAGTAATGGCTAAATGTTTCACAAAAATGTGATAAAAATATAACAATGAGTTATAGTTCAAGAAACTCAGTAAATATAAATACAACCACACTCAGTAACTATATAGTCAAAGTGCAGAAAACAAAAGATTAAAAATTTTTAAAGTAGAAAAATGAAAACACATGAAATTTAAGAGAATAAATGTAAAAATATTACTGACTTTTTTTTAGTATACTTTAAGTTCTGGGATAAATATGCAGAACTTGCAGGTTTGTTACGTAGGTATTGCTGGTTTGCTGCACCCATCAACCCGTCATCTACATTCGGTATTTCTCCTAATGCTATCCCTCCCCTAGCCACCCACTTCCAGTTCCAGTGTGTGATGTTTCCCTCCTGTGTTTATGTATTCTCATTGTTAAACTCCCACTTATTAATGAGAATGTGCGGCGTTTGGTTTTCTCTTCTTGTGTTAGTTTGCTGAGAATGATGGTTTCCAGCTTCATCCATGTCCCTGCAAAGGACATAAACTCTTCCTTTTTTATGGCTGGATAGTATTCCAGGTGTATATGTGCCACATTTTCTTTATCCAGTCTATCATTGATGGGCATGTGGGTTGGTTCCAAGTTTTTGCTATTGTGAACAGTGCCACAATAAACATATGTGTGCATGTGTCTTTATAGTAGAATGATTTATAATCCTTTGGGTATATGCCCAGTAATGGGATTGCTGGGTCAAATTTTATTTCTGGTTCTAGATAATTGAGGAATCGCCACACTGTCTTCCACAATGGTTGAACTAATTTACAGTCCCACCAACAGTGTAAAAGCATTCCTATTTCTCCACATCCTCTCCAGCATCTGTTGTTTCCTGACTTTTTAATGATCGCCATTCTAACTGGCATGAGATGGTATCTCGTTTTGGTTTTGATTTGCATTTATCTAATGATCAGTGATAGTGAGCTTTTTTTCCTATGTTTGTTGGCTGCATAATGTCTTCTTTTGAGAAGTGTCTGTTCATATCCTTCACCAACTTTTTGATGGGGTTTTTTTTTTCTTGTGAATTTAAGTCCCTCGTAGATTCTGGATATTAGACCTTTGTTAGATGGATAGATTGCAAAAATTTTCTCCCATTCTGTAGGTTGCCTGTTCTTTCTGATGATAGTTTCTTTTGCTGAGCAGAAGATCTTTAGTTTAATTAGATCCCATTTATCAATTTTGGCTTTTGTTGAAATTGCTTTTGGTGTTTTAGTCATGAAGACTTTGTCCATGCTGATGTCTTGAATGATATTGCCTAGGTTTTCTTCTAGGGTTTTTATAGTTTTAGGTTTTATGTTTAAGTCTTTAATCCATCTCGAGTTAATTTTTGTATACAGTGTAAGGGAGGGGTCCAGTTTCAGTTTTCTGCATATGGCTAGCCAGTTTTCCCAGCATCATTTATTAAATAGGGAATCCCTTCCCCCTTGCTTGTTTTTGTCAAGTTTGTCAAAGATCAGGTGGTTGTAGATGTGTGGTGTTATTTCTGAGGTCTCTGTTCTGTTTCCTTGGTCTATCTCTCTGTTTTGGTACCAGTACCATGTTGTTTTGTTTACTGTAGCCTTGTAGTATAGTTTGAAGTAAGGTAGCATGATGTCTCCAGCTTTGTTCTTTTTGCTTATGATTTTATTGGCTATACATGAACTTTTTTGGTTCCATATGAAATTTAATGTAGGTTTTTCTAATTCTGTGAAGAAAGTCAATGGTAGCTTGATGGGAATAGCATTGAATCTATAAATTACTTTGGGCAGTATGGCCATTTTTACTATATTGATTCTTCCTATCTATGAGCATGGAATTTTTTTCCAATTGTTTGTGTCCTCTTTTATTTCGTTAAGCAGTGGTTTGTAGTTCTCCTTGAAGAGGTCCTTCACGTCCCTCGTAAATTGTATTCCTAGGTATTTTATTTTCTTTGTAGGAATTATGAATGGGAGTTTATTTATGATTTGGCTCTCTGCTTGTCTATTATTGGTGTATAGGAATACTTGTGACTTTTGCACATTGATTTTGTGTCCTGGGACTTTGCTGAAGTTGTTTATCAGCTTAAGGAGTTTTTGGGCTGAGACAATGGAATTTTCTAAATATACAATGATGTCATCTGCAAACAGAGACAATTTGACTTCCTCTCTTCCTAATTGAATACACTTTATTTCTTTCTCGTGCCTGATTGCCCTGGCCAGAACTTCCAATACTATGTTGAATAGGAGTGGTGAGAGAGGGCATCTTTGTCTTGTACTAGTTTTCAAAGGGAATGCTTCCAGCTTTTGCCCATTCAGTATGATATTTGCTATGGGTTTGTCATAAATAGCTCATATTATTTTGAGATATGTTCCATCAATGCCTAGTTTATTGAGATGTTTTAGCATGAAGGGGTGTTGAATTTTACCAAAGGCCTTTTCTGCATCTATTGAGATAATCATATGGTTTTTGTCATTGGTTCTGTTTGTGTGATGGATTACATTTATTCATTTGCATATGTTGAACTAGCCCCTCATCCCAGGGATGAAGCCGACTTGATTGTGGTGGATAAGCTTTTTGATGTACTGCTGGATTCAGTTTGTCAGTATTTTATTGAGGATTTTTACATAAATGTTCATCAGGAATAATTGTTCTGAAATTTTTTTTGTTATTGTTGTGTCTCTGCCAGGTTTTGGAATCAGGATGATGCTGGCCTCATAAAATGAGATAAGTATGAGTCCCTGTTTTTCTGTTGTTTGGGATAGTTTCATAAGGAGTGGTAGCAGCTCTGCTTTGTACCTCTGGTAGAATTTGGCTGTGAATCCATCTGGTCCTGGGCTTTTTTTAGTCTGGCTATGTTCTATCTATTTAGTTGATCTTTTCAAAAAACCAGCTCCTGGATTCATTGATTTTTTTGAAGGGTTTTTCATGTCTCTATCCCCTTCAGGTCTACTCTGATCTTAGTTATTTCTTGTCTTCTGCTAGCTTTTGAATTTGTTTGCTCTTGCTTCTCTAGGTCTTTTAATTGTGCTGTTAGGGTGTTGATTTTAGATCTTTCTTGCTTTATCTAGTGGGCATTTAGTGCTATCCATTTCCCTCTAGATACTGCTTTAGCTGTGTACCAGAGATTCTGGTACATTGTCTCTTTGTTCTTATTGGTTTTAAAGAACTTAGTTACTTCTGCCTTAATTTCATTATTTACCCAGTAAATTTTTCTCCAATCATTCAGGAGCAGGTTGTTCACTTTCCATATAGTTGTGTGGTTTTGAGTGAGTTTCTTAACCCTGAGTTCTAATTTGATTGCACTGTGGTCTGAGAGGCTGTTTGTTATTATTTCCATTCTTTTGCATTTGCTGAGGAATGTTTTACTTCCAATTATGTGGTCAATTTTAGAATAAGTGCTATGTGGTGCTGAGCAGAAAGTATATTCTATTGATTTGGGGTGGAGAGTTTTGTAGATATCTATTAGGTCCACTTGGTCCAGAGCTGAGTTCAAGTCCTGAATATCCTTGTTAATTTTCTGTCTCATTGATATGTCTAATATTGACAGTGGGGTGTTAAAATCTCTCACTATTATTGTGTGGGGGTCTAAGTCTCTTTGTAGGTCTCCAAGAATTTGTTTTATGAATCTGGGTGCTCCTGTATTGGGTGCATGTATATTTAGGATAGTTAGCTCTTTTCATTGCATTGATCCCTTTGCCATTATGTAATGTCCTTCTTTGTCTTTTTTTTAATCTTTGTCGGCTTAAAGTCTGTTTTATGAGAGACTAGGATTGCAACCCCTGCTTTTTTTTTGCTTTCCATTTATTTAGTAAATATTCCTCCATCCCTTTATTTTGAGCCTTTATGTTTCTTTGGACGTGAGATGGGTCTCCTGAATACAGCATACTGATGGGTCTTGACTCTTTATCCAATTTGCCAGTCTGTGTCCTTTAATTGGGGCATTTCGTCCATTTTCATTTAAGGTTAATATTGTTATGTGTCAATTTGATCCTGTCATTATGATACTAGCTGGTTATTCTGCACTTTAGTTGATGCATTATTTTCATAGTGTCATTGGTCTTTATATTTTGGTGTATTTTTGCAGTGGCTGGTACCGGTTTTCTCCTTTCCATAGTTAGTGCTTCCTTCAGGAGCTCTTGTAAGGTAGGCCTGGTGGTGACAAAATCCCTCAGCATTTGCTTGTTTGTAAAGGATTTGATTTCTCCTTCACTTATGAAGCTTAGTTTGGCTGGATATAAAATTCTGGGTTGAAAATTCTTTTCTTTAAGAATGTTGAATATTGGTCCCCACTCTCTTCTGGCTTGTAGGGTTTCTGTAGAGAGATCCACTGTTAGTCTGATGGGCTTTCCTTTGTAGGTAACCTGGCTTTTCTCTCTGGCTGTCCTTAACATTTTTTCCTTCATTTCAACTTTGGAAATCTGATGATTATATGTCTTGGGGTAGCTCTTCTCGAGGAGTATCTTTGTGGTGTTCTCTGTATTTCCTGAATTTGAATGTTGGCCTGTCTTGCTAGGTTGGGGAAGTTCTCCTGGATAATATCCTGAAGTGCATTTTCCAGCTTGGGTCTATTCTCCCCAACAGTTTCAGGGACCCTAATCAATCATAGGTTTGTTCTTTTCACATAGTCCCATATTTCTTGGAGGCTTTGTTTTTTCCTTTCCATCTTTTTTCTCCAATCTTGTCTTCATACTTTATTTCATTAAGATGATCTTCAATCTCTGCTATCCTTCCTTTCGATTGATTCATTCAGCTACTGATACTTGTATATGCTTCACAAAGTGATTTTGGTGTGTTTTTCAACTCCATCAGGTCATTTTTATTCTTCTCTAAACTGGTTATTCTAGTTAGCAGTTCTTGTAACCCTTTTTCAAGATTCTTAGCCTCCTTGCATTGGGTTAGAACATGCTCTGTTAGTTCAGAGGAGTTTGCTATTACCCACCTTCTGAAGCCTACTTCTGTCAATCCATCAAATTCATTCGCTGTCCAGTTTTGTGTTCTTGCTGGAGAGGAGTTGTGATCATTTGGGGGAGAAGAGGCATTCTGGTTTTTTGAATTTTTGGCATTTTTGCACTGGTTTTTCCTCATCTTCGTGGATTTATCTAACTTTGATCTTTGAGTCTGATGACCTTTGGATGGGGTTTCCGTGTGAAGGTTGTTTTTGTTGATGTTGATGTTATTGCTTTCTGTTTGTTAGTTTTTCTTCTAACAGGCCCCTTTTCTGTAGGTCTGCTGCAGTTTGTTAGCAGTCCACTCTGGACTCTATCTGCCTGAGTATCACCAGTGGAGGCTGCAGAACAGCAAAGATTGCTGCCTGCTTCTTCCTCTGGAAGCTTCATCCCAGAGGATGAAGCTGGCATCTACCAGATGCCAGTCGGAGCTCTCCTGTATGAGGTGTCAGTCAACCCCTGTTGGGAGGTCTCTGGCAGTCAGGAGGCATGGGGATCAGGGACCCACTTGAGGAGGCAGTCCCTTAGCAGAGCTCAAGCACTGTGTTGGTAGAACCCTGCTTGTCAGGATCCACCGCTGTCTTCAGAGCCAGCAGGCAGGAAAGTTTAAGTCTGCTGAAGCTATGCCCACAGTGAGATGGGAATTTTATCTATAAGCCCCTGGCTGGGGTTGCTTCCTTTCTTTCAGAGATGTCCTGCCCAGTGAGGAGGACTCTAGAGAGGCAGACTGGCCACAGCCGCTTTGTCTCACTGTGTTGAGTTTTGCCCAGTCCAAACTTTCAGGTCATTTTAGCACTGTCAGGGGAAAACTGCCTACTCAAGCCTCAGTAATGGCAGACGCCCCTCCCCCAACCAAGCTCAATCGTCCCAGGTTGACTTCAGACTGCTGCGCTATCAGTGAAAATTTCAAGCCAGTTGTTCTTAGCTTGCTGGGCCTTGTGGGAATGGAACCCACTGAGCGAGACCACTTCGTTCCCTGGCTTCAGCCCCCTTTCCAGGGGAGTGAATGATTCTGTCTCACTGGGGTTCCAGGCACCACTAGGGTATGAAAAAAAAACCTCCTGCAGCTAGCATAGTGTCTGCCTGAACAGCTGCACAGTTTTGTGCTTGAAACCCAGGGGCCTGGTGGTGTAGGCACATGAGGGGATCTCCTGGTCTGCAGATTGCAAAGCCATGAGAAAAGTGTAGTATTTGGGCTGGATAGCACAGTCCCTCATGGCTTCCCTTGGTTGGGAAATGGAGGCCCCCCACTCCTTGCATTTCCCCGGTGAGGTTGTGCCCCACCCTGCTTCTGCTCACCCTCTGTGGCCTGCACTGACTGCCTAACCAGTCCCAAAGAGATGAACAGTCTACCTCAATTGGAAATGCAGAAATCACCCACCTTCTGTGTCGGTCTTGCTGGGAGCTGCAGACCAGAGCTGTTCCTATTTGGCCACCTTGGCAGTAGATCCTACAGTGTTTTACAACCATCATCACTACCTATTTCCAAAAGGTTTTCATCACTCTAAAGAAACTCTGTAATCATTATATGATAACTCTGCCTTCTCCCAGTCCTTGTTATTCTCTACTACTTTGTCTAATCTATGGATTTGCCTAATCTACTACTTAAGAGTGGAATCACATGATATTTTTCCTTTTATGTCTGTCAAATTTTATTTAGCATGCTGTTATCACTATCATTCCTGCTGTAGTGTGTATCAGAACTTCATTCTTTTTACGACTGAATAATATTCCATTGTCTGTATACCACATTTTGTGAACCCATTCATCTGTTGATGGACACTTGGGCTCTTCAACCTGGTAACTACTATGAATAATGTTGCTGTGAACATTGGTTTACAAGGATCTGTTCAAATCCCTGCTTTCAAATCCATTGGGTATATATACATCCAAAAGTGGAATTACTGGGTCCCATGGAAATTGTGATTTTATTTTTCTGAGGAACCACAAATTGTTTTGCAAATTGACCACGCCAATTTACATTCACCAGTAATTCATAAGAGTTTCAATTTCTCCATATTCTGTCCAATATTTCATATTTTCCATTAAAAAATAATTATAGCCTTTCTAAAGGATATGAAGTGGTATCTCACTGTGGTTTTGATTTGCATTTCCCCAATGACTAATGAAGTTGAGCATCTTTCCAGGTGCACTTATGGATCACTTGCATATCTTCTTTGCAGAAGTTTCTATTGAAGTCCTTTGAATTTTTGAATGGGATTGTAGTATTTTGTTGTTGTGTGTTGGAGTCCTTTACATGTTCTCATTTGATTTGTGAATATATTCTGCCATTCTGTGGGCTATCTTTCAATCCTTCTATCCATTTTTTTTTTAGTTTGTATATCATGTATGTAAAACTTCAACATCATTCTTTTACATAGAGATATTCAGGTTCTCCCTCCTTGTGCACCTTCCCTATCTCTTTGATCACTCTGAGGTCTCCACCTCTCCAATTGCAATGAGACTTTCACTTATATGATTCCCTTCCCCTCATCTTTTCAACCAGGTATTAGGGGTAGTAATGGGAGTGAGTGCACACTGTCCTGTGGTCTTTGAGTATGGCCAACATGAGCCCTTGTAAATCCCCTGATGCCAGGTGACTGGCTGGCCATCCTGTCCATGAGGTTCCCAGGTCACTCTCCTTTCCCAGTGTTTCCATCTCCCTCCACTCCTGGCTGATTACCGACTGTCCAGCCCTCCCCTTTCCTGCCTGTTCTCAGAGCAGGGCTGAATTAATCCAATGACCGGGGAACTCAGGGGACTTGGAGGGAGGTCCTAGTTGCAGGCACAAACTAGAAGAGAAGCTCTTTCAGGGTAACAGAATGAGCTTTCAGACCTCAGGCAGAGGAATTCCTCTCTATGGCATCCAAGGTCCTGGGCTAGGAATGGGCAACAGGTGAGAGGAACACCTGGGTTCAGATTTAGGAAGAGAAGCAAGGTCTGCATTGAGAGAGGCTGGGACAATCAGTGACACTATCCCAGGGGTAGTACATGGGGCCTGGGTGCTGGAACAGGGCCCAGGGTCAGCACTACCAGCACCCAGGCAGTCACCAAGTGTGGACAGGGTTGAGGATGCCCCTACCCCATCAGGGTGGCCAGCCAGAGAGGCAGACGACAACCAAGAAGTTGTGCTGTTGGGAAGGAGCTGCTTGGGGTCTGACAGCCTCTTCCACCAGCCAGACCCATTTGCCTACCTGGGCTCCTCCCACCCCTGACTGGACAGCTGCCCACTCCATGAGCTTCCAGAGAAGCCTGCAGGTTCCGTATGTGAGGAAGGTTGACAGGTACCTGGTGACGTTGCTAGGCTGGGGTCTCTTTCTACACCTCACTGGGGCTGTGGATAGCTGAATTTACAAGATCCTCATGACAGACCAGGCCTTTGAGGCTTTCTTGCTCAGCTCAGTGCAGCCTCACTATAGCTGGGATGTGGGATGTTCCCAACCAAACTCCTGAAGCCTTGATCCCCAACACAGTAGTGTTGGGAGGTGGGTCCTAGTGGGAGATATTTAGATCGTGGAGACAGATCCTTTATGAAGAGATTAGTGCCCCCTTCCACCTCACAGGCTTGAGTTTTAGCTGTATCTGGAATGGACAGGTTTCCAAGACATCGGGATCAAAACAGAGTCTTGCTTCCTTGGTCTCTCTCCTGCTTCCTCTGTCACCATGCAATCTCAGCATATGCCACTCCCCTTTTGCTTTCTGCCATGTGTGGAAGCTGCATGAGGCCTTCATCTGATTTAGCTGCCAAAACTTAAACTTTTCAGCCACCAGATCATGAGCAAAATAAACTTCTTTTCTAGATCAATTACCCAGCCTTGGGTATTCAGTTACAGTAACACAAAACACAGCAAGGCAGGCCCTTAGCTCAGCCTTGCTGTGATTCATCTTGAATCTAAATCTTGAATGGAATGGAGGCCTGGAGTCTTTTCCCTACAGGTGTGAGCTTCTCCCTCTGATCTCCTAGATAAATATCGTTTGTCTAAACTCAGCTACCATGGGAGCCTCAGGAGCTGGAGAGGGTGTGGGCACCAGGGGAGACATGGTATGAGGCTGTGTGCAGGGGGATGGATCAAACCAGGCCCTGCTAGGGTTCTGGCACAATTGGGCACACCTCATCTCCATTTTCCCTCTTCAGTAGGGATTTATCTCCCTGCCTTAGTGTCTCCTCTTCTAACCCTATCACCTTCCATGTGAAGCTGGACAAAGCATGCAAGCTTGTGAACCTTATTCTAGAGAAGAGGGAAGATAGAGGGATTGTCTGGCTGACAATCACGTATGTAGGTAGGTAGCATACAGGAGAGATTTAGATGGACACATTGGATGACAATCCGGTAGGGGCTGTGCTAGGATGAACAATGGGTCTCCATGTTGTCCACATCCTAATTCATGAAACCTGTGATTGTGGGACTGCATATGTCACAATGGACTTTTGAGTAAGTAACGGATCTTGAGGTGGTGACATTATCCTTGATTATCTTAATAAGCTTGATGTAACTAACCACAAGGGTCCTTATAAGAGGGAAAGAGATGTGAAGACAGTCACAGAGAGAGAGATTTGAAGATGCCATTGGCTTTAAAGAGGAAGGAGGGGACCGTACCAAGGAATGCAAAAAAGGCAGCTCTGGAGCTGAAAAGCCAAGGGGCAGGGCTCTCCCTGAAACCTTCTGGGGGTGGGGGTCTGGCCCTCTCCAGAACTTGTTTTAATTCAGTGAAACCCATATATCTGACTTTGACCTCCATAACTGTAAGAGAATAAAAGTCGTTATTTAAAATCACTGAGATTGTGATAGTTTATTACAGCAGTAATAGGAAACTAATATAGGAACAGACAAGCAGGCAGGAAGAAGGAGACAGGTGTATGGGCAGACAGTCTGGAGGGCAGGCAGGAGTTTGGGAGGTGGGTGGAGATTCAGGGATGTTGGGGTGTTCAGACCCAACACCAGGTCGTGGGGGTGACAAAGTCCGGCAGAGTCAAAGCAGTGAGAAAAGACAGTTTGAGAGAGAAAGTGGGTCCAGGGCGCCAAAGCTAAGGATGGAGGCTGTGAAGGCCCCGAGCTCTGGAAGTGCAGATTATTTATTGGTGATCAAACAAAGAAACAGGTGGTGAGAATGTGGGGGTCGAAAGGGCATGTTGCATTAAGCACATGATTTACAGCTGTGACGGTTTAGCATCTGCTCTGCTACTTGAGATAATGGAGAGCAGGTTCTTTTAACTCAAGATACAATTGATCCTGGGAGAGCAAGGAGCGAGGAGGCAGCAAGTTCAGACACATTCCAGAGCCACGAGCCCTGGATTCTATCCAAGCCACGAGGGGTTTTATGCCCCGGGCTTAGATTATGGTGCGTCAGGGTAGCCTTCCACCCTTCAGCACAGAGCTTGGTGTTCCAAAGGCCACAAGGGGTTTTAGACCCTGGATCCTGGACATGATCCAAGACTCTTTTACATTATGTCAGACATGCAAGCTCGGCCTCAGCTTCTCCCAACACTCAGCTTTTCTCCCAACAAGAGATACAGGTGGGTAGGAGACAGGTAGACAAGCAGGTAGGGAGCCTGGAGAAAGGTGAGAGAGAGAAGGGCAGGCAGACTGGGGGACAGCAGGCAGGTGGGAAGAAGGGAAGGTGGGCAGACAGAAAACAGGATATGGGCAGACAGGAAGGGGACAGAAGCGGGGGTCAGGAAGACAGGACGGCAGGTGGAGGCCCTCAAAGCTGGTCCTTGTCTTCACAAGGGTTAGGGAGCCTCCTGAGACGCAGGTGGATTCCATTTTTGGATTTCAACACAAGTCGTGCAATGGGGATGGGGATCCTGGTGGGATCAGGCAGCAGCTCAAAGCGGAGCAGGGTCAGGGCCGTGGCCACCTTCAGCTCGTTCATGGCAAATTGTTTCCCGATGCAGTTCCTGGGCCAGGTGGAGATAATGAATTGAGAAGTGTCCTCAGGCCCCATTCTGATCTGAGCAGGTTTTGGCCCCTGACCCCAGCCCTGAGCTGGACATTCAGTGCCCAACCTCATGTGTCCAGCCCCTGCACACATACAGCCCATGGACACTTCTACCCCGTCCTGGCTTCACACTATCCCAATCCTTGGACAGAGCCGTCTTCCTGGGCTAGCTCCTAACTCCTACCCTCTACCTCTGCTCTCAGCAGCCTGAAACCCTCTATCAAGACAAGGCCAGGGCTCTAAGGCACAGAGTCTAATCACATGAATAGATAAAGAGTTAATCAATGGTTTGTTCACTCCTCCACAAACATTTCTTGTTCTCCAGTGTGGAGGTCAGTTCAGGTCCTGTAGGGTGAGGGTGGGCCACACTCTCAGGTGCTTCCCATGTAGTGGGACACACAGGGACCTGAATCCTCATAGGGGCCCCGATGGGTGTATTAAGGGAGTCAGAAGGGCAGTGGGAGGCTTCCTGGAGGAGAACTGGGTGGGTGATCCTCAGTGTTGCCCCACCTGCCTCCCACCCCAGGGTCCGGGCTCCTGTCTAACCTCACTCCTCCATCCACCAGCCCCTGTAGCCTTCTAATTCTACTCCAGAAACATCCTTCCTTGCCCTTCCTCAGTATTCTTGCCTGGACTTTATGGTTTTCTGCTTCCCCTCCCAGCACACTGAAGCCACAGCCCAGCTCAGACCCTCCCACGCTCTTCATCACAGGTGGGACAGCATCCCAATGCCTCAGCTGGCAGATAAGCCCTCCATGGGCTCTTGCCTCACCCACATTTTACCTGTCCAGCCCACGTCCTGGCCCTGTTCATGTGGAGATGGCTCAGAATGTCCTCCCTCCACCTCTGCCTGCCACATCCTCAAGGCTAAAGTCAGATCCCAGCTGCCTCTCACTCCCTGCCAGCTGGGCCTCTCCCTCCCAGGCCCCCAGGTAGCATTCACGATTTATCCATGAACACTCACAGTCCAGTGCCAAGGACAGCACCAGGGACAGGGACACTCAACACGCCACTCAGTGAGTGAATGAGTGAAAGGATGGTTGATGGAACGATGTGTGTCTGGAGCACAGGATATATTTCTGTACAACACATTTTTGTACTTTTTATCTCTGTTTTCTCATCATGCTGCATAGGACTTGACCCAGAGAGGTAGCTTAAGAAATACTTCTATATTTGAATGATGTTAAGTTTTAAAATGAATAAAATATAATGAAATACACTGAGAGTAAATATTAATTCTGAGCTAGAAATGGACCTTAGGAATGCTCTCCAGTTCTCTAGTGGCAGCGACATGATTTGCAGGCAATGTTTAGGAGGACTTTCTCATGCTGGGATAGACAGACCAGTGCTGGAGAAGGAGTTTCAGGAGGAAGCTTTTTCTTAAAGCCTGTTCTGTGTAAGTGGACTCACCGTTTCAAAAAGTCACATAATTATTTCTTTGAACAAACTTTGTTTCTACTAAGAATTTATATCGTTTTTGCCTGTGTGTATGTCACAGGACGATTCCTGATGCCACAATGATCTCCACCGCAACCATTCTGGAGTTTTCCTCTCCAGCTCAAAAGCAATTTCAAGTGTGTTTTATATTTCACATACCAGGAGGCTTCAAATGTTGTGCGTTATATGATAATTATTGGGCTTTTCTCTCCAAGACAGTGTACTGTTCACATTTTTATGTTTTTGGCCAATATTGTGCTAAGTGGATTACAGGACTATGGTATAAAGATCTCAAGGCATGTACAGAATTTGTCAAACGGGAAAATAGATGTAAATATGTGAACACTATATAATGCAGTAAAAATTTCATTGGGCAAGACAGAAGAATGTATGATATGACACACACTGTTGTAAAACTTTCTTCAAAGGGCTACCTTAACCTCTCCCTTATATGACTTGAAAGGTAGGACTTGCAGGTCATCTGTATTATAAACAGATGCAAAGACTTCAATGATTCATCTCTACGACAGACTAGTGAATTAAATAGGGAAGGTAGTGTGCTGCATTGAGGATGTGTGGGGGGAGAGAAATCTACAGTTTACTATTCCTGACAACTGAGAAAAGCAAACAGCTGAAGTTGAATTTACTGGAGAATATCTAATTTTGAGAATTCATATCCTTAAAGTGAGGAAAATACATGAATATACTGAAGTTTGGAACATGCACTGACAGTGAATTCAGGCTGCCCATTTGAAGAAGCAGAGGGAGCAAAGTCTCCATGGGGTGCTCTGAATGCCACCTTCCTTTTGTACACAGAGACGCCCACACCAGGTGCCTGACTTTCCCACAAATACCAACATTTAAGAGCACACCTGAAGATGCCACATATGAACATCAGGCTCACAAAGATCAGAGGGTTGACCAGAGACTTCCCTCATTCCTCTATTCGAATTACCACACAGGACGTCTCACCTTGATCCTCCTGAGAAGGGCAGGAAAGCGTGGCTGTGTTGAGCAGAACCCGGTGCAAAACGGAAAGGGTCAAACACCTGCAGAGAGAGCACCAGAGCCAGGATAGTTAAGGATCCAGCACCTACTTGCCACCCATGGGGGACAGGACTCCCAGAGGTGGAAGCAGGAGAAGGTATTGGTCTTGAGGGATCACCTCATTTCCTCCTCTCAAGGACCACATACCTCTGGGTTGGGCCACACTTTTGGGTTGTGGTGAAGGCCATAAATGGAGAGGAGGACCATGATACCTGTGGTGCAGGTTGGAAACAGAGAGAAGACCAATCATTTGCATGGGGTGGCCTGGTACTTCAGCCAGCAGGCACAAAAGAAGGCCCAAAAAGCCTACTTTCCACAAATTTTCACTTTGACTGGGATGATTCTGCCATTATGCAGGTGGGTTAGGCTTAACAAAGCATGTGAGTTCAGATGATGAATAGACAACCATTTATGCAGGAATGAGAAGCAAGAAAGAATCAGAGCATTACTCTTTAGAGTAAGTCCAGTGACATTTCACATTCATCAAATATCCTCCAAGGGTCATTGGAGAATATACATGAACTCACTCAGTACAACAACGCTCCAAGTAAGACATTCTTTTGCTCTCAGTTTTCAGGGGAGATACCTGAATCTCAGAGAGACCAATTGTCTTGTCTATGTTCACACAACTAGGTTATGGCAGGACTGGGACCAGAACCCAGGGAGTTGCACCTTGGTGTCCCCAGATCTGGTCATCACTTTCTCTCTGCCATCAACCTGAGGGTTCCTCAGAGACTGGACAACAGCTGACCCAGGAAATGAAATTCCTGATAAGCCTCTTTTGCACTGACCCCATGAGGAAAGAAACACATCCCTCTCTGCCCTTGTCTGATTCTCTTTCCAGCCCTGCACATCTCAGGGAATAGAATTTTACAGTTACTGACCCAAGGCCACATTCAGAGATTAACATTTATTTCTTGAACTTTTGGTGGGTTCAAGCTCTCAGCCAGACTTTTCAAATTCTTTATCCCAAGTACAAAGTATGTTTTTGATTTTTTTAGAACAAAAGGGAGACCCAGAGATGTGCAGAATTCTGATGCACACATGGATTTCTCACCCTCCACACGTCCCTGTGGAGAGTTTAGGTGAGAGGGTGGGGGAACTTCATACCTTTGGGCAAGGAGCGCCCATCAGGGAAGGTGACGGGAGTGCTGAGCTCTCTGCCAATGCCTGGCACCGGTGGGTAGAGCCTCAGTGCCTCCTTAATGCACATGGTGGTGTAGGGCATCTGGTCCAGGTGGTTCCTGAAACAATTCCATCCTGAACACCAGCAAGGCCTGGGCAGACCAGGGGCCCCTGTGGAGAAGGCAGGGAACCCCATCTTTTGAGCCCTCACTCACCAGGTGATGGAGGCTCCATCACCCAGGAGGCTGTGGATCTCCTCCCGGCACCTCTCCTGATGCTTGGGGTGTGTGGCCAGAGCATAGAGGATCCAGGAGATCCCACTGGCTGTGGTGTCGTGGCCCTCAAACATGAACGTGTCCACCTCAGCACGGAGGTCCTTGTCTGACAAGATGCTCCCATTCTCCATCTGGGAAGACCGTGGTGAAAATGCAGGGCTTGTCTCTTGCTATGTACTTCTGGGCAAAGACTCAGGCCTCTCCTACACATACTCACTTTGGCCAAGAGGAGGATATCCAGAAAATCCAAATGCCTCTTCCTCTTGATCTTCTCCAGCTCCCCCTCCTTCTGTAGTTGAGCCTTCCTCAGTTGGATCACTTGGTCTGTACCAGAACAATGGTTACCAGGCAGAGCTGAGACCGTCAGCAGCCCCCAGGAGGCCTAGCTGCCCAACTGCCCCAGTGTGGGTGCCTGGTAGATCTCAGCATGAATGTGAGTGTGGGTGCAGGGTCAGGGGTGGAAGCTCTAGTACTGTGTGAGGCAGGGCACCCCTCCCGCCAGTGGCACAGTTCATGGAGGCTCCTCTTGAATGCTGTTTGGACAGGGTCTCATTCAGTTATCTCCATGTGGGGACATTGATAAACCAAGGCACAGAATCTGGCCCCTCACATCTCAGCTCCCAGCCCCTGAGCAAGGGAATTCCCCAGGCTGAGTGTGTTCTGCGTTCTGCAGGGTTACTAGGGGCCTTCTCTGGCTGAGGAGTCAGGGCAAGTTCTTTCGCTGTGCCTGGGAAAGGCTGGGAGACAAGAGGAAAAGACAGAACCTGTGTGCTGATGGGCCAGCTGGCAGGCGCGGTGTGTCCAGCGGCCAGCAGAGGTCAGGCTGTAGATGGTGTCATTCTGGTGAAAGGCATTCCTCACACGGGAAAAAACCAGGTTGTTCAGGTCACTAATGGCCTGTATGTAGGACTGAGAATTCCTGAGGGAGAGTATGAAGAAGGGACTGCAGTAGGGGTGGGCCCATTACCCGGAAGTAGAATGGGGTCTGAGAGGAGGCAGCCTCGGATAATGGGGACAAGCAGCCTTGAGGCAATGTTTCTTCTATCTTACAGCCCTATTATCCTTTGGCCTTTATCAGATGGTATGAACATCCAGGGTCCACCTGTGCTAGGAATTAGGCATCTGTTCCTGAGACTTTGTTTGGTCTGGACTGGAATTAGAGTTTGGTCAGGGACTGACTCTTCCTTTGTGTGGCGGTGAGCCTTCACGCTGCCCCACCTGCCCCTCAGGTATGTGCACTCCACTTGATAAGAACAAGGGCCCTGCAGCTGGAGGGTTGTCACTGACCTGTCCACCTGGATGCTGCCCTGATGGCTGAAGGCACACTTCATGATGGTGTCCAGGGTCATCAAGGAGACGTGCTGAAAGACCTCCAGAGGGGAATCCTGGCCAAGGAGCTCTTCCCATTTGTCCTGTGGTGGGAGGGGGCATGGACCTTCTTAATCTCCAAGAAGTGCTTTGCTAATAAGGCCTGGCTTTTTCATGTACCTGCAGATATCCTGTTTTTTCCTGTAGCATGCAGATATCTTGGTTGGGATTCCTCACTTTACAGAGCAGATGCATTGTAGAAACTGAGACTGTAAAGCCAGTGTTGGTAAACTGACGCCTAATTCTCACACACTTTTAATACAACATTCAACAGATCCTCTCACAATAGCATGGATTAAGTATTGAATTTTGAGATTCAGTTAGGACATATGGTTGTGAAAATTGTATTGCTATTGTTGTTCTGGGATAAATAATGGGGGACTCTTCAGTGTTCTGAGAGCTGAGCTAGTTCTGAGGGACTAGTAGGAAAGTTTCAGTGCCAAAGATAGCTTGAGGGGCCGGAATGGGCACTCTGTTGTAGAGAAAACAGGGACTTCAATTCTTTTCCATTCATCAAAATGTGCTGGGCACAGTTGGGTGAGAAATCAGAGTCCTGACTGGAGATGATGCTATCTATGGAAGGTATTGCTCTGAGAACATAGACCTGGTGTTCATTTCCTTCCCAGGGTGGCTTAAATCCATGCAGAAACCCGGGGCCCCAGGCCAGAGCCTGGGTGGGTGACATCTTGGCCTGTCCATGCTGCCACTGAAGCTGCCATTGCCCAGGCCAGCCAGCATAGGAAGTCCTACTGTCCAGCAAGATTGCATACTCCTCCAGTCCCTTGTGCTGAAGGTTCCAAAGTGGGAGGAGAAGGGCCTTGCATTCACCATGAATCTCTATTCCTATGGTGGGGAACAAAGCGTGGATATGACCTGATGCCTGGGTGTTCTCCTACCTTATACAACTCTGGGGAACCCTCTACTCTCACAGCAATGACCTGAGAGTGTTGTTCCATGTGTCTATGTCTATGTCTGCCTGTGGGACACAGGGTTGAGAGTGGAGTTGGTGAGAGTGTGTGCTGTGAGTGGGTGTGGGGAGAGGAGAGAGACATGGACTCACCAGCATCACTCGTACAGAGTCTGCCATGAGCCCCACATAGGGCTTCAGGATGTCATAGTGGAAGGCTGGGGTCAGCATCCGTCGATGCTGGAACCATGTCTGCCCATTCAACAGGAGCAAGCCGTACCCTAAGAGAGACATGAATGTGTGTTTGTGTGTGTGTGTGTGTGTGTGTGTGTGTCAGGGGCTGCAAGGAGCTAGGGATGACTGGTGACAATTTGGGAGGGAGAAAGGTGGCTTCTCAAGGGGAGAACTATCCAGAAGAAGCCACGTCATGGGCAAATGCAGGAAAAGGAGGTATATTTCAGGCATGTGAATATTCTGATTGAGCTGCTACATGCATGTGATTATGACAGCTGTGAGATAAAAGTTGAAAAGGGTTGTGGGCAGATGTAAAATAAATGTGAGGCCAAGGATGTCTGGAGAGAACTGAGACATGAAATAGAAGAAGCTGAGCCTCAGGAAGGTTTGTACCAGCATTAGGAAGGGGTGAGGGTCTTGTTAGAAGAAGGAAGTGAGGCTTGATTTGGGGATAAGGTCATGATAGTGGTGGCCTCTAATCTGTTGTTCTCTGTGAGCCAAATAAATAACTCAAACCTGACTAGGGAGTGGGCTGCAGTCCTAGTTTGCACACATACCAATCCATGGAGCCAGGAATCTGTAGGAACCATGGGATTTCGGGTCTGAAAGGCAAGAAAGGGCTTTATAGGAAACTAGGAGTTACTAAGAAGGCAGTCTTAGAGGCTGCATCAATTCTTGGTGTCTGTCAGTTGGCAGTTTGACCCATGTCACCTCCCACTTGACTCCCATCCACTTCTATTTCTGTCCTGAAGGTCAGTGTGGGCTCAGGAAGACAGACTCAGTGTTCCAGCAGGAAAACATCCAGAGGGTTAGGAAGGTGAATTGGTGAGAAACATAGGCTAGGTCTTCAATGACAATGAATAACATAGAGCCATGGGTTTTTCTACATTGATGATTTCCTAGTCACCTCCTGACCAAGACAGGCAACAATTAGAGCTTTGAAACCCAGGTCAATGTGGGTATGAAATTTGTTTTACAGATCTGGGACAATTTACATTTCAGAAAACCTCAATTTTCTTAATAGAGAAATAGAAAAAAGAATAGAAAATTCAGCCCCACATATTGTTTTAAACATTCGGAGTTCAGTAACTATTTTTGACTATAGCCTGGGCATGGTGGGCTTGGTGGATGCGTGGGAGAGGTTTCAGATATTGATGTTTGAACAGCCACTCTCTTCTGGAATTTTACAGACCCAGGAGCATGTGTCAAGAGGGAAGACACATTGCAGTTGGGATGGGGGTTCGATCTCACCTGATCTCCCCAGAATCACCTTCATATAGTCAGGGTCATAGAGCTGGACACGAACTTTGCCTCCCCATAGCCAATGAGGACAGGCACTTGGGAATGTCTCCACCCATTTCTGAATCCGTTGTAGCTCCTGGTCCTGTTGGAGCTGTCAACAAGGGTAGACAGATGAACACTTTCATTTACTTCTAGTCTTTGCAGCAGGAGTGAAGGGCAGGACAACTACAGGAGCCATGTAGCGCAGGTTAGGGATTTAGATCTGTTTCTGATGACCTGAGCTGTGATCCAGATTCTTGCTCTCTCCCCAGGACTTGACCTTAGGCCAAGCGCTATGAGCCCTCGCTCAATGCTGCCAGCAGAAATTTAAGTCAGCCATTGTCTTCATGTTGTGTAACATCTCTGGAAGTCATAAATACAACAATTTCCATGGGCAATGTGTATAACTCATATTAGTTGATAAGTAGATTTGTAAAATCATTTAGTATATCTAGAGAATAAAATGAATTAATGTAAACATTTTAAATTACACAATGCCTTTATATAATCATACTTGTTATATTTTCAATATTATCCCAGCATATACGGTAAATATTTGTTAAGATAAAATAGCATTTGGGATGTGTATTGGTAAGCAAAAAAAGATTAACTATAAAATTGTGTGCATAATAGTATTCTACATGTTGAATATGTACAGATTTATGGGATGGAGTCTGAGTATATGCATATGGTGCTGGTGTTGGACAATAATTTTGAGATTTGGGTTTCTTATTCTCATTTTCACTTATCAACGAATTATGAGCTCCCTGCTGCCTGCAGTCATCTTTCTAAACTCTTCGATGTGGATCACAAAGCCCTTGGCTTTCTGGCTTCAACTTCTCTTTTCTTGCCTCCAGCCCTGCTGGCAATTCCACCATCACCCGTTTGTTTCAGCTCCAATGCCGATGCCACCACTGCTGCTGAATCGCACACCAGCTACACCTGCTCACTCTTCTGGGCCCTGGCACTTGCTCTTTTCTCTACCTTGAATGCCCTTCCCCTCTGCCACAGAGCAGCCACCTCTCCTCAGCTTTCAAGACTCAGCTTTGCTTTAATCTCATCTGGAACCCTCAAAGACATTGGGTCCTAGTGATGTTCCATGTAGCCAACTCTTCTTTATTTCAACTGCTTCTAGTAAATCAAAGCAACTGTCTACCACATAGGTATCGAATATCTGCCCATCTCCTTCTGATAATCATATTGTCCAGCTCTGAGGCAGCTTGCCCTACTGTGGGGTAGGCTCCTTCATTCAGCCCATGCTTACTGCACACATACTATGTGCCCAGTGTGGCTCAGGCACTGCGTTAGGATACAGCTGTGGTCCTTATCTGTGTGGAATTTTCAGTCTAGTTGGGGGGTAAGAAAGATTAGAGGCTGTGCAGTAGGGGATAATGGACATGATATGGAATGAAGGACAAGCATCTGGGGAAGCTTTGAAGAGGGACCTAACTCAGAACTGAACATTAGAAAGCTCTTCCTCACTCACTGAGTCATCATTTACTGAGGGACTATTGGGTTACAAACATAAATCAGAGATGGTCTCTCCCAGAAGAATCCCACACTTATGACACTGCAGAACAATAACTGAGTCAAGTTAACACTGCTCTGGCCTCTTGAGAAGGATAGCTCATGGAAAAAAGAGTCAGCCCTTCACTACTGGGAGACCCAGGAGGCCTTCTTGAAGGAGGTAG
Source organism: Homo sapiens (assembly GCF_000001405.40). Classification (NCBI taxonomy): domain Eukaryota; kingdom Metazoa; phylum Chordata; class Mammalia; order Primates; family Hominidae; genus Homo; species Homo sapiens. The sequence continues at coordinate 46,939,717 of NC_000001.11, forward strand.
CTTGGTGCTGGGCCTTGACAGATAGATATGCGTGAGAAGATAATTCCAGGTAGCAAGCATAGTGTGATCAGAGACCTAAAGGTTGAAATGCAGAGGCAGGTAGTGAGGTAGTGAGTAACATATGGTAAAAGAGGAGAATGGGAAAGAAGGCAGAGTGGTATTGGGACCAGTCCATATAGGGTTAGAACTTTGGCAGGTCCCCACATTTGTTCTGCTCTGCTGAGAACTATGTTGCCTCCTTTGCTGAGAAACAATAGGCCTCAGTTCCCTGCAACCCCTATCTCTACTTAAGTGTGTTCAATTCATAGCACCTTGGTGAGTCCCTCTCCATGCAGCCGTTTACCTGCTCTGTTCCTACCCGCCCCCCTCCCCTTGTAGGGATAGCAGTGCACAGGGGATGGGCTGTGTCCCTCCTCAGCCCTCTTGCTGCTCCTTTCTCTTCTTCCTCTGTTCCTCTACACCTGGTGTGTCCAATCTTTTGGCTTTCCTAGGCCACATTGGAAGAAAAATAATTGTCTTGAGCCATGCATAAAATACACTAACACTAATGATAGCTGATGAACTCAAAAAAATTGCAAAATAATCTCATAACGTTTTAAGAAAGTTTACGAATTTGTGTTGGGCCACATTCAAAGCCATCCTGAGCTACATGCAGCCCCATGGGGCGTGGGTTGGACAAGCTTGCTCTACACACCTGAGCTGATCATCAAGCTGTGCCAGGATTTTGCTGATTGCCGGGGCACAGGAAGGGGATGACATGCTCACCGCCAGGGAGCTCACAGTCCGGGTGTGTGGGAGGAGAGCCAGGAGGTCAACACACCCTGTTCAATGTGCAACTCAAACACCAGTCTCCTCACCTGGAGAACATTGTGCAGGCTGCCCCCCTCATGTGTACCCATAATTGTCAGGTTTTCAGATCCTAAATCACCTGTTGTGGAAATTCCGTGAGTCTTGGGGAAACTTACTTAGCCAGTTGGTCCCCTATACCAGCAGATCTCTGCCTCAGATATCCACCCCAGCAGAGTGAGCTCCTTTCCTGCAGTCTGACACCTTCTCAAATTCCTGCCTGTATTCTTCACAGACCATAAACTCCTCATGGCATGGATTCCTCAGATGGGTGTCTGTGCTCCCTGGCAAACACAGGGCCAGGCAGAGTGATGGCATTGAGTGACTGGGCAGAGAGCATCTAGAAGCCTTGTTCTTTGATGAAAGCCAAGGCTTATGGGGTAATCAGTCTGGAGACAATCAGGCATTGCCCTCCACATGCAGGACTGCCAAGACACACTTGATATCTGCAGAAGGAGGGCACGGGTGATAGAGCTGAGGACCAGCAGGATGGGCTTCATGGGAGAAGTGAGCTCCTCATGACTGGGAAAAGCTGAGACCAGAGAGGTAGGCTGGGTGTTCCTTTGAGTCCTCACATTTGTTACAAAACAAGGCTTTGCTCTATGGATTTTGTGACCAGGGTCTCAGAGCCCCATCCCTCTTTGCCCTCCCACTCCCCCATTGAGTTCCTCCCTACCTCCTGGATGTGCCCGAAGAGCCAGTGGGAGGGAGGGCACGGGAACTGCTGGAGGGCTTTGAGCAGCCACTGCCTGTGCAGGTAGAGCTGAACTGCCTTGATCAGCAGCAGAAGCAGAATGAGCAGGGAGGCCGCTTGGAGGATTCCAGAGACATCACCCAGGAGTCTGCTGGGGCTCAGCACAGAGACACTCATGGTGCAGCACCTGCTGGATCTCTGAGTGCCCCTACCTCTCTCTGACCACCCCCGTCCCCCTGTGCTCAAATCCAGGGAGGATTGTCCCGCCCACTTGTGGGGAGAGTGAAGGAGGAGGGCAGAACTTGGACCTCAGAGTTCAGAATCAATTGACTATGGATGATCCACCTAGGGCAACAGTGGGAGAAAAGCTTCATCAGCTGTCTACCACATTCCCCTGTCCATGTACCTCACAAATATTTAATGAGCATTTACTGTGTGCCAGGCAGTATGCTAGGTGTGTGGGCACCGCTGCGAGGAAAACAGACTTGAATGCTGACCTCAAGGAATTTGCATTCTGCTTTACTACATTGCAATAATGTTCATTCAGTAGCACTTTTTTTTTGTTATGTGTTCAAAGAAAATTCTCAACATGATATGTACATTTAAACTTAACATTAACCAAGCCCTGAATCATTACTTTTGTCTTATTGCAAATCTAATTTTATTTACCATAAAAACCACTTCCATCTATATATTGAGTGAAGAGTGGGAATTATGTCTTTCTAGTAACTGGATGATGATATGGACAAACAGATGCTAATATAGCAGCTGTTCAAGTACTTTATTTTATTCCATTGGGGAAACTGGTCTCATAATATGCATAGCATGATTTTTTTTCTCAATTCATATACATGACAATTTAAAAAAATTCTACATCATGTTAGGTATGACTTTTTCCCCTATTGATAGGTCTACCTTTTCTACCAGAGTAAGTCCTAGAGCAATTTTAGTCCTACTTCAGTCTAGTACTATAGTCACAGCAGGAGCCTGTTTACCAATTCTCTTTCACCCTACAATAGTATGTAATTACACAATCAGAACTTTGCACTCTGTTTAGGAGTCCTGACCAAGGACAATCTGTACTAAACAGAAATTAATATTTAAAAAATGATTGCTTTGCCAACCTCAAGTAAAGTAGGTTAAATAGCAACTGTTGCTATGAATTAACCCTCCCTGGCATTTTTACATGCATATCTGTGCATGAGCATTCTTTTTTTCCTCTTTTTATAATTTCAACTTTTATTTTAGATTCAGGTACGTATGCAGGTTTTTTACACTGGTGTATTGTGTGATGCTGAGGGTTTGGATACAAATGATTCTGCCACTCAGGTAGTGAGTATGGTATATATTAGTCAAATTTCCAATGCTTACTCATATCTGTACCTACCCCTTTAGTAGTCCCCAGTGTCTATTGTTCCCATATTTATGTCCATAAGTATCCAAAATGTAGTTCCCACTTATAAGTGAGAACATGCGGTATTTGGTTTTCTGTTGCTGTGTTAATTTGCTTAGGATTATTGCCTCCCAATTCATCCATGTTGCTGCAAAGAACATGATTTCTTTATTTTTTTATAGCTGTCTAGTATTCCACTGTGTATATGTATCACATTTTCTTTATCCAGTCCACCATTGATGGGCACCAAGGTTGATGCCATGTCTTTGCTATTGCGAATAGTGCTGTGATGAATGTATGAGTAGAGGTGTCTTTTTGGTAGAGCAACTTATTTTCTTTTTGATATATAGCTAATATTGGGATTGCTGGGTCAAATAGTAGTTCTATTTTAAGTTCTTTGAGAAATCTCCAAACTGCTTTCCACAGTGGCGGAACTAATTTACATTTCCACAAACAATGTATACACATTATGTTTTTTTTCTGCAGCTTAGCCAGCATATGTTGCTTTGAAACTTTTTAATAATAGCCATTCTGACTTGTGTGAGATGTGGTTTTGATTCACATTTCTCATTAGTGATGTTGAGCATTTTTAAAAATATTTTTTGGCTGCTCATATGTCTTCTTTAGAGAAGTGTCTGTGTCTTTAATGGGGTTGTTTGTTTTTCGCTTGTATTGGAAGTTCTGGCCAGGTAAGAGAAAGAAGTAAAGGGTATTCAAATAGGAAGAGAGGAAGTCAAATTGTCTCTGTTTGCAGATGACATGACTGTATATTTAGAAAACCCCATCATCTCAGTCCAAAATCTCCCTAAGCTGATAAGCAACTTCAGCAAAGTCTCAGGATACAAAATCAATGTGCAAAAATCACAAGCATTCCTACACACCAATAATAGAGAAACAGAAAGCCAAATCATGAGTGAACTCCCATTCACAATTGCTACAAAGAAAATAAAATACCTAGGAATACTGCTTACAAGGGATGTGAAGGACCTCTACAAGGAGAACTACAAGCCACTGCTCAACAAAATGAAAGAGGACACAAAGAAATGGAAAAAAATTCCATGCTCATGGATAGGAAGAAACAATATAGTAAAAATGGCCGTACTGCCCAAAGTAATTTATAGATTCAATGCTATTCCCATCAAGCTACCATTGACTTTCTTCACAGAATTAGAAAAAACTACTTTAAATTTCATATGGAATAAAAAAAGAGCCCCCATTGCCAAGGCAATCCTAAGCAGAAAGAACAAAGCTGGAGGCATCATGCTACCTGACTTCAAACTACACTACAAGGCTACAGTACCCAAAACAGCATGGTGCTGGTACCAAAACAGATATACAGACCAATGGAACAGAACAGAGGCCTCAGAAATAACACCACTTATCTACAATTATCTGATCTTTGATAAACCTGACAAAAACAAGCAATGGGGAAAGGGTTCCCTATTTAATATATGGTGTTGGGAAAACTGGCTAGCCATATGCAGAAAACTGAAACTGGACCCTTCCTTAAACCTTACACAAAAATTATTTCAAGATGGATTAAAAACTTAAACTTAAGATGTAAAACCATAAAAAGCCTGGAAGAAAACCTAGGCAATACCATTCAGGACATAGGCAGGGGCAAGGACTTCATGTCCAAAACGTCAAAAGCAATGGCAACAAAAGCCAAAGTTGACAAATGGAATCTGATTAAGCTAAAGAGTTTCTGCAGAGCAAAAGAAACTATCATCAGAGTGAAAAGGCAACCTACAGAATGGGAGAAAATTTTTGCGATCTATCCATCTGACAAAGGGCTAATATCGAGAATCTACAAAGAACCTAAACAAATTCACAAGAAAAAAACAACCCCATCAAAAAGTGGGCAAAGGATATGCACAGACACTTCTCAAAAGAAGACATTTATGCAGCCAAAAAAACAGCAAAAAAAGCTCATCATCACTGGTCATTAGAGAAATGCAAACCAAAACCGCAATGAGATACCATCTCATGCCAGTTAGAATGGCAATCATTAAAAAGTCAGGAAACCACAGATGCTGGAGAGGATGTGGAGAAATAGGAATGCTTTTACACTGTTGGTGGGAGTGCAAATTAATTCAACCATTGTGGAAGGCAGTGTGGCAATTCCTCGAAGGTCTAGAACCAGAAATACCATTTGACCCAGCAATCCCATTACTGGGTATATACCCAAAGGATTATAAATCATTCTACTATAAAGACACATGCACATGTATGTTCATTGCAGCACTGTTCACAATAGAAGACTTGGAGCCAACCCAAATGCCCATCAATGATAGATTAGATAAAGAAACTGTGGCACGTATACACCATGGAACACTATACAGCCATAAAAGAGGATGAGGTCATGTCCTTTGCAGGGACATGGATGAAGCTGGAAACCATCATTCTCAGCAAACTAACACAAGAACAGAAAACCAAACACCACTTGTTCTCACTCATAAGTGGGAGTGGAACAATGAGAACACATGGACACAGGGAGGGGAACATCACACACAGGGACCTATCTGGCATGGGGGGTTAGGGGAGGGATAGCATTAGGAGAAATACCTAATGTAGATGACGGGTTGATGGGTGCAGCAAACCACCATGGCACATGTATACCAATGTAACAAACCTGCACTTTCTGCACATGTATCTCCGAACTTGAAGTATAATAAAAAAATGAATTGTTTAATTTCTTTAGGGATTCTGGATATTAGACCTTTGTCAGATGCATAGTTTATGAATATTTTCTTCCATTCTGTAGGTTGTCTGTTTACTTTGCTCAAGTTTCTTTTGCTGTACAGAAGCAGTTTAATTAAGTCCCACTTGTGAATTTTTACTTTTTTGCAATTGCTTTTGAGGACTTAGTTATAAATTCTTTCTCAAGGCTGATGTAAATCATCATGTTTCCTAGGTTTTCATCTAGGATTCTTATAGTTTCAGGTCTTACATTTAAACCTTTAATCGATCTTGTCTTTTTTTTTTTTTTTTTTTGATGTTGGCTCACTGCAAGCTCAGCCTCCCAGGTTCATGCCATTCTCCTGCCTCACCCTCCTGAGTAGCTGGGACTACAGGTGCCCACCACCACGCCCAGCTAATTTTTTGTATTTTTAGTAGAGATGGGGTTTCACCATATTAGCCAGGATGGTCTCGACCTTCTAACCTCGTGATCTGCCCACCTCGGCCTCCCAAAGTGCTGGGATTACAAGCGTGAGCCACCGTGCCCGGCCCCTTTAATCCATCTTAACTTAATTGTTATATGGTGAAAAGTCAGGGTCCAGTTGCATTCTTTTGCATATGGTCACCCAGTTTTCCCAGTACTATTTATTGTATAGGGAGTCCTTTTCCCATTGCTTATTTTTGTCAACATTGTTGAGGATCAGATGGCTGTAGGTGCATGGCTTTATTTCTTTTTTTCTCTTTTTGTAAAATATTATTTGTTAAATTTTTGATTCAGAGGGTACATGTGCAGGTTTGTTACATGAGTATATCGCATGATGCTGAAGTTTGGGCTCCTAGCCCAGGTAGTGAACACAGTACCTAATAGGTAGCTTTTCCATCCTTTCCCCCTCCCTCCATCACATCCCTTTTTGGAGTCCTCAGTGTCTGCCATTCCCATCTTTGTGTCTATGTGTATCCAATGTTTAGGTCCCAGTTATAAGTGATAACATGCAGTATTTGGCTTTCTGTTACTGTGTTAATCGGCTTAGGGTAATGGCTTCCAGCTGTATCCATGTTGCTGAAGAGGACATGATTTCATTCTTTTTTTTTTATATTATACGTTAAGTTCTAGGATACATGTGCACAACTCGCAGGTGTGTTACATATGTATACATGTGCCATGTTGGAGTGCTTCACCCATTAACTCATCATTTACATTAAGTATATCTCCTAATGCTATCCCACCACCCTCCCCCCACCCCACAACAGGCCGATGCGTGTGCCCCTACCTTTCCTACTGATCCATACCTCCTGGGTCCTGACTACGACTTTCCTGAAAGTGTAGCCCCAAAATCCTCCTTACTTCTGAATCGACTTCCTCTGATCCCTGCCTCCTAGATACTAATGCTTCAGGCTTTCACTTCCTCTCCCAAGTATTAGAGCAGGTTGTATCTCCAAAGGGATCTAAGGAAGCTCTATGCTGCATCCTCAGGCCCCTAGGCTATGAACCCAGGGAGTCTTATACCTGGTGTCCCTCCCAATTTAGGCATACAGCTCTCCACATGGGCAGTTATGTGGGACCCGTTCCCCACCACCCTTGCCAGGGCCTTAGAACTGATAACCTAGTACTTTAACAACTGGAATTGGGTCTACAACAACATACTAGATCAGGATGAAAGCAAATTGAGTAAATAAAAGGGAGGCACATATTCCTATAGTGGCAAATGGGGGCAACCAGCGAACATCCTTCCACTGTGTTTCCAAAATCCATCTACAAAGACAGAAAGGAGAAAGAGAAGGAGAAAGATAGAAGTAGTAAAGAAAAAACAGTGTACCCTATTTCTTTAAAAGCCACGGTAAATTTAAAACCTATAATTGATAATTTAAGGTTTTCTCTGTGACCCTGTAACACTCCAATACCACTTTGTTGTCAGTGTAAACAAGGGAATAGCCCAAAAGCACTGAGGCCACTGACAACCAGTGGCCTTCCTATCAAAAATCCTTAACCCAGAAACCTGCAGATGGCCCACATGCATTCAATATTTTGTGGCAACTGCTTTCCTAACAGAAGGAAGTAGAAAATTAGCCTTTAGAGGAAACCTCATTGTGACCACCTCACCAGTTCAGAACTATCCTAAGTCAAAAAAGCAAAAAGGGTAGGTTGCTAACTCAAAAATCTTAAAGTATGGGGCTATTCTGTTAGAAAAAATAGTTTCACATTAACCACTGAAAATTCCCTTCCCCCAGCAGATTTCCTGACGGGGGATTTAAATCTTAATTACCATACGAAGGTCCAACCAGACCTAGGAGGAACTCCCTTCAGGACAGGACAATAGATGGTTCCTCCCAGGTGATTGAGAAAAAAACACAATGGGTATTCAGTAATTGAAGGAAACTCCTGTAGAAGCAGAGTTAAGAAAATTGCCTAATAACTGGTCTGCTCAAACATGTGAGCTGTTTGCACTCAGCCAAGCCTTAAAGTACTTACAAAATCAAAAAACTCTATCTCAATCCGACTCAAAAGGTTACCCACACCCTCTCTGAAATGAATTTGCATAAGAGAGAACTGTTGCTTGTAGGAATGCATCTTGATGGGGCATCTGGGTTATTAGGAAATACTCAGGAACCCAGCCCAGCTCTAGAACTCATGCCTGAGCACAATGGCAATGTCGGGCACACTGGTAAAGGACCACTAGAATCCAGCAGCCTGGACCCCTTTCTTTGTGGTCAAGAAAGGTGGGAAAACAGGTGCAGGACTGCTACATCCACCAACTTTCTGGTATTTTTTTTTTTCACAATAGCCCTAGAAAACTAAAATGGGTGGGATAACAATCACTTCTCTCAATATCTTGATCTCCTGACCTCGTGATCCACCCACCTTGGCCTCCCAAAGTGCTGGGATTACAGGCACTTCTCTGAATATCTCATAGAATTATACACTTATTCACTCATTTATTTATTCAAAAACAAAGGTTTTTTTTTAACCTCACCTTTTAGTAGCTAAAGAAAGAAAAATAAATTATTGTGTTAAAACATTATAGAGGGTGTACTGAAGCAATAAATCATGGGCTTGGGCCATTCAGAGACAGAGAAAATAAATAAGTAAAGAGGTCTTTAAGGACGAAGAGGAGTTTACCAGTTGGTAAATACTAGAAAAAGGAAAAAGCACTGGCAGATTCATGGAGATCATACATGAAAGAGCAGAAATGGGATGAGCTCCTCTTCAAATTACCACTCCTCTCACTTTTTTCATAATTATCTCCACAAGGTCATACCAAAGGTCATCAATTCAGAACATAAATCAAAGTAGATTTCAGAAAGAATTCCTTGGAAGTCAGCTCTCCCGGGGGCCCGATTTCCTCCTGCTCCCTAATCCATCTAAACTCTTATGCCCAACACCTTCCTCCTTAGCCCCACTCATGGCAGGTGACTCATTCCAGAACCCAGAGAATCAGAGTTCTTTTCTTTCTGCCTCAAATCCTGGGCTCCTATCCAAACCAAAGAGTAGGGACATGTAACTATTTACACTTCAATCCACCCAACCTCCCCTAGTTCTGTGACTACTTTCCACCATCCATCACTCCCTCCCTAACCCCGACTGGGGACTCTTGGACCCTGACTCTTTCCCTACTTGGATCAGCACCTGTTTTTCTCCCATAGCATGAGCAACAGTAGCTCTGAAGTCAGAGATTTTAGCTTTGAATTCTCGTTGTGCTTTTTTTTTTTCCCCTCCCTAGATTCTCAATTTCTTTAGAATTGGGCTCAAAATGTGGTAATGGCCAACATTTAGTGAGCATTTGTTATGTTCTGGCCATGCAGCCAAAACTTTACATGCTTTCTTTGCAAAAACTCTGCAAAAGAGATTTTTAAAAAAATCTTCATATTATAGGTGGGAAAGCTAAGGTGCAATCAGGGTAGCTCCCTGTCCAGAATCCCCAGTTGGTAAGAGGTACAGCCAGGATTGTAACCCAGGCAGTCAGGCTCCAGAGACTTTCCTGTTAACCATTCATTTAAATGAGGTCATGATTAAGTTGAGCCTCCAGTCCAGATGGCACCCCGTAAACTTTCCAGGGAGCATTTCATGTTTGCTATGTTTTATTCAGTATTTTCAAATAGCAAGAAGATGTGTCAGATTATGAACTCCCCATATTGGCATAAATGCAAGTCTCATTATCCAGGGCAGCTCCTGTGAGAAACTGAATGGCAACCATGGGGCTAGGTGTAGCATAGTCATTGAAAGCGATGTTTATGGAGAATGTTTAATGATATGAGTAAAGCATATGGGAAAGTGATAAAAGCAGAATATAGAGCCATCTGTAGAGTATGAATGTAACTCTTAGAAAAGTGTGCTTGTGATTGTCAAGACTTATTAACAAGTATATATCTATCCCACTTATTTATTTATTTATGTATTTATTTATTTATTTATTGAGACAGAGCCTTGCTCTGTCACCCCAACTGGAGTGCAGTGGCACGATCTCAGCTCACTGAAACCTCAGCCTCCTTGGTTAGAGTGATTCTCCTGCATCAGGCTCCTGAGTAGCTGGGATTACAGGCACCCACCACCATGCCTGGCTAATTTTTATACTTTTAGTAGTGACAGGGTTTCATCATGTTGGCCAGGCTGTTCTCAAACTCCTGACCTCAGGCGATCCACCCACCTTGGCCTCCCAAAGTGCTGGGATTACAGGTGTGAGACACTAAGCCTGGCCTATCCCATTTATTTACTACTCAGATGCCTCCACAAAAACTCCTGAAAGGTGGTAACTCAGCTGCTGTGTCCTTTGCTTCCCATTGCATGAAGCAGATGACTGTGTCTGTTGATGATGCCCAAGAAATACCTACTGATTGAATCAATGAGGGACAGCTGGAATAAGCAAAACTTTGAACTGGTTATATCACCATCCTGAAGAGACTCAGTTCAGTTTTGAATGCCACATTGTAAAAATGAAACTGACATTTTTGTTGCTGAATATTTCCTGATTCAGTGTTTAGGCAAGCCAAGGCAGAGGAGGGAACACCAAGATGTCCCTTGGTGGCTTCTTTTTTTTTTTTTTTTGAGACGGAGTCTCGCTCTGTCGCCCAGGCTGGAGTGCAGTGGCGGGATCTCGGCTCACTGCAAGCTCCACCTCCCGGGTTCACGCCATTCTCCTGCCTCAGCCTCCCAAGTAGCTGGGACTACAGGTGCCCGCCACTACGCCCGGCTAATTTTTTGTATTTTTTAGTAGAGACGGGGTTTCACCGTTTTAGCCGAATGGTCTCGATCTCCTGACCTCGTGATCCGCCCGCCTCGGCCTCCCAAAGTGCTGGGATTACAGGCGTGAGCCACCGCGCCCGGCCCCTTGGTGGCTTCTTGAAGCAGTTACTCCTGTGGGTAGATCAGCCCAGGGACTTGATTTCTGGGTTTTGATAAAGGTGAGTTTGATGCTGATGTAACTTTACATTTCTTGTACAGAAATATGTTTAGTTTTAGCTGAGGACCTTCGGTATCATCACTTCCTTCCTGGAATGAGAGGCAGAGGTGATTCTGAGAAAGGGAGGTTTTCTTACCTCAGTACCTTGCACAGTGCCAGCATGCCATTAAGCCTCAAAATGTCTCTTCTGTATTTGCTGAGTGCTTAACCTTTGCTAAGCAAAATCACAGCTACTCCTTAATTTACTAGGTGTCATTAACATTAACCTTATTTTACAGACAGGTGAACCAAGGCCCAGAGATGTTAAGTGACTTTCAGATTACAAAGCATGTGAGTGTGAGTGTCAGGATCATCATTTCAAATTCCTAACTTCAGTTTTGCTAATATCTGAGTATCCTTAGGATAATACTTCCTAGGTGCTGGGCATGGAGCAAAGTGTTTTTAGCCATTATCCTTCTTCATTCTTATCATACCCTGATATAGGGCACATGTCACCCTCTGTGTGATCTCCTCAACCTCTTCTCAGGTGACTGTCTCACCATGGGGCAGCTCCTAAAATACATCATGATCTTTCCCACCCCAGAGCCTTTGTGCTTGCTGTCCCTCCCACATTGAATGTTCCTCCCTTGTGCTTCACACAGCCAGAGTCTCACCATCCTTCAAGTTTCACCTTAAGTCTTGTCTATAACAAGAGGCCTTCCAAGATCACCTGTTTAAGCATGTCCTTCCCTTTAGTGTCTCTCATAGCACTGTCTTTATTCTCAGCACTCATTGCTGTCTGTGATTATTTTACTAAATTGTCTGTCTATTATCTGTACTTCCCATAGAATGAAAGGGCAGAATGATTTCGGTCTCTGTTCTCTGAGATGTCTGGAAGAGAGCCCTGCACATGTAGGTCCTCAATGAAAATGTTTTAAACAGAATAAAGGCCATTTATGAAAAACCTGTGGCTAGCAAACTGATTGGGGGAAAAGCTGAAAGTGTGTCCTTTAAGAACCACAACAAGACAAGGATGCTGTATCTCACCATTCATATTCAACATAGTATTGGAAGCACTTGCTAGAGCAATTATGCAAAAGTAGAAATAAGGGACAGCTAAATTAGAAAGGAAGAAGTGAAATTGTCCTTGTTTACAGAGGACATAATATTATATACTGAAAAAACCTGGCAACCCCCTTTGGGTCCCCTCCCATTTTATGGGAGCTCTGTTTTCACTCTATTAAATCTTGCAACTGCACACTCTTCTGGTCTATGTTTGTTATGGCTTGAGCTGAGCTATCGCTTGCCATTCACCACGTCTGTTTTCCCGCAGACCTGCCACTGACTTCCATCCCTCCAGATCCAGCAGGGTGTCAGTGGCACTCCTGATCCAGCAAGGCACCCATTGCCACTCCCAAGTGGGCTAAAGGCTGGCCATTGTTCCTGCACAGTTAAGGGCCCAGGTTCATCCTAATCAAGCTGAATACTAGTCGCTGGGTTCCTCGGTTCTCTTCCATGTCCCATGGCTTCTGATAGAGCTATAACACTCACTACATGGCCCAATATTCCATTCCTTGGAATCTGTGAAGCCAAGAACCCCAGGTCAGAGAAAAAGAGGCTTGTCACCATCTTGGAAGTGGCCCACCATCATCTTGGGAGCTCTAAGAACAAGGACCACCCCCCAATAACATTTTGGCCACCACGAAGGCACGTCCAAAGTGGTGAGTAATATTGGACCACTTTCTCTTGCTACTCTGTCCTATCCTTCCTTAGAATTGGAGGAAAATACCAGGTGCCTGTCAGCTGGTTAAAAACGATTAGTGTGGCCACTGGACTTAAGACTCAGGTGTGAGGCTGTCTGGGAAAGGGCTTTCTAACAACCCCAGCCTTTTATGGGTTGGGAGTGTTGGTCTGCCTGGAACCAGCTTCTGCTTTCAATATTCCTGGGGAAGTCAAGGGTGGACTAGAGGCAGAAAGCTGACGTCCCAAACTGCTGGCATTAGCCAGTTGAGATCATGGCACAGCCAGAAGTCTCTACTCAGCATTCACTCATGCATACGCCCCTACCTTTCCTTCTGACCCATACCTCCTGGGTCCTGACCATGACTTTCTTGAAAGTGTAGCCCCAAAATTCTCCTTACTTCTGAATTGACTTCCTTTGATCCCTGCCTCCTAGATACTAATGCTTCAGGCTTTCACTTCCTCTCCCAAGTATTAGAACAGGTTGTATCTCCAAAGGGATCTAAGGAAGCTCTATGCTGCATCCTCAGGCCCCTAGGCTATGAACCCAGGGAGTCTTGTCCCCGGTGTCCCTCCCAATTTAGGCATACAGCTCTCCACATGGGCAGTTATGTGGGACCCGTTCCCCACCACCCTTGCCAGGGCCTTAGAACTGATAACCTAGTACTCTAACAACTGGAATTGGGTCTACAACAACATACTAGATCAAGATGAAAGCAAATTGAGTAAATAAAAGGGAGGCACATATTCCTATAGTGGCAAATGGGGGCAACCAGCGAACATCCTTCCATTCTGTTTCCAAAATGCATCTACAAAGACAGAAAGGAGAAAGAAAGAGAGAAAGAGAAAGATAGAAGTAGTAAAGAAAAAACAGTGTACCCTGTTTCTTTAAAAGCCAGGGTTAATTTAAAACCTATAATTGATGATTTAAGGTTTTCTCCATGACCCTATAACACTCCAATACCACTTTGTTGTCATTGTAAACAAGGGCATAGCCCAAAAGCACTGAGGCCACTGACAACCAGTGGCCTTCCTATCAAAAATCCTTAACCCAGGAACCTGCCAATGGCCCAGATGCATTCAATCTTTTGCGGCAACTACTTTCCTAACAGAAGAAAGTAGAAAATTAGCCTTTAGAGGAAACCTCATTGTGAGCCCACCTCACCAGTTCAGAACTATCCTAAGTTAAAAAAGCAAAAAGGGTAGGTTACTAACTCAAAAATCTGAAAGTATGGAGCTATTCTGTTAAAAAATGATAATTTAACATTAACCACTGAAAATTCCCTTCCCCCAGCAGATTTTCTGACAGGGGATTTAAATCTTAATTACCATACAAAGGTTCAACCACACCTAGGAGGAACTCCCTTCAGGACAGGACAACAGATGGTTCCTCCCAGGTGATTGAGAAAAAAACACAATGGGTATTCAATAATTGAAGGAAACTCCTGTAGATGCAGAGTTAAGAAAATTGCCTAATAACTGGTCTCCTCAAACGTGTGAGCTGTTTGCACTCAGCCAAGCCTTAAAGTACTTACAGAATCAAAAAGCTCTATCTCAATCCTGACTCAAAGTTTACCCGCATCCTCTCTGAAATGAATTTGCATAAGAGAGAACTGTTGCTTGTAGGAATGCATCTTGATGGGGCATCTGGGTTATTAGGAAATACTCAGGAACCCAGTGCAACTCTAGAACTCACCCCTGAGTGCAATGGCAATGTCAGGCATGCTGGTAAAGGACCACTAGAATCCAGCAGCCTGGACCCCTTTCTTTGTGGTCAAGAAAGGTGGGAAAACTGGTTCAGGACTGCCCCATTGGTGAACGTAACTAATCCAATAAGCAGAGGTCCACTGGTGGCTATGCACCCTAGAAAGGAACTCATCTCTGAGTGCAACAGCAGTGTTGGATATGCTGGTAAAGGACCTCTAGAACCCAGCAGCCCCATCCCCTTTCTTAGTGGTCAGGAAAGGCAGGAAAATAGGTGGAGGACTGCTACATCATTGAAAGTAACTAATCTGAAAAGCAGAGGTCCTTGAGTGGTTACGCACCTGAAAGGAATAAGCATTAGCTCCATAGAGGATGCTCTAGGTCTAATGCTCATCAGAAAATGACTAAGAGTGCTGGCATCCCTATGTTTTATTTTCAAATGGGAAACATTTCCCCCAAGGCAAAAATGCCCCTAAGATGTATTCTGGACAATTATGCCCAGTCAGAGTGTACATACCTTTTTCCCTGTCAGACTTGAAGCAAATTAAAATAGACCTAGGTAAATTCTCAGCTAAGACTGATAGATATTTTGATGTTTTACAAGTGTTAGGACGATCCTTTCATCTGACATGGAGAGATATAATGTTACTGCTAGATCAGACACTAACCCCAAATAAGAGAATTGCCGCCATAACTGCAGCCTGAGAGTTTGGTCATCTCTTGTATCTCAGTCAGGTCAATGATAGGATGACAACAGAGGAAAGAGAACAATTCCCCACAGGCCTGCATGCAGTTCCCCGTGTAGACACTCACTGGGACACAGAATCGGATCATGGAGATTGGTGCCACAGATATTTGCTAACTTGGGTGATACAAGGACTAAGGAAAAGTAGGAGATAGCCCATAAATTATTCAATTATGTCCACTGTAACACAGAGAAAGGAAGAAAATCCTACTGCCTTTCTGCAGAAACTAAGGGAGGCATTGAGGAAGCATACCTCTCTGTCACCTGACTCTATTGAAGGCTAACTAATCTTAAAGGATAAGTTTATCACTCAGTCAGCTGCAGACATTAGAAAAAAACTTCAAAAGTCCGCCTTAGGCCCAGAGCAAAACTTAGTTACTGGGTTCATAGCCCCATGACCCATGGCTTCTAATAGAGCTATTAGAACTATTGAACTTGGCAACCTTGTTTTTTTTATAATAGAGATCAGGAGGAGCAGGCACAATGGGAGAAACAAGAGAAGAAAAAGGCCACGGCTTTAGTCATGGCCCTCAGGCAAGCAGACTTTGGAGGCTCTGGAACACAGAAAGCTGGGCAAATTGAATGCCTAATAGGGCTTGCTTCCAGTGTGGTCTACAAGGACACTTTAAAAAAGATTGCCTGAATAGAAATAAGCCACCACCTCGTCCATGCCCCTTATGTCAAGGGAATCACTGGAAGGCCCACTGTCCCAGGAGATGAAGGTCCTCTGAGTCAGAAGCCACTAACCAGGTGATCCAGCAGAAGGACTGAGGATGCCCAGGGTAAGCACCAGCCCATGCCATCACCCTCACAGTGCCTCGGGTATGCTTGATCATTGAGGGCCAGGGGGTTAACTGTCTCCTGGACACTGGTGCAGCCTTCTCAGTCTTACTCTCCTGTCCTAGACAACTGTCCTCCAGATCTGTCACTATCCAAGGGGTCCTAGGACAGCCAATCACTAGATACTTCTCCCAGCCACTAAGTTGTGACTGGAGACATTTACTCTTTTGACATGCTTTTCTAGTTATGCCTGAAAGCCCCACTTCCTTGTTAGGAGGAGACATTCTAGCAAAAGCAGGGGCCATTATACACCTGAACATAGGAGAAGGAACACTCATTTGTTGTCCCCTGCTTGAGGAAGGAATTAATCCTGAAGTCTGGGCAACAGAAGGACAATATGGATGAGCAAAGAATGCCTGCCCTGTTCAAGTTAAACTAAAGGATTCCACCTCCTTTCCCTACCAAAGGCAGTACCCCCTTAGACCCGAGGCCTAGCAAGGGCTCCAAAGGATTGTTAAGGACCTAAAAGCCCAAGGCCTAGTAAAAACATGCAATAGCCACTGCAGTACTCCAATTTTAGGAGTACAGAAACCCAACGGGCAGTGGAGGCTAGTGCAAGATCTCAGGATTATCAATGAGGCCGTTGTCCCTCTACACCCAGCTGTACCTAACCCTTATACTCTGCTTTCCCAAATACCAGAGGAAGCAGAGTGGTTTACAGTCCTGGACCTTAAGGATGTCTTTTTCTGCATCCCTGTACATCCTGACTCTCAATTCTTGTTTGCCTTTGAAGATCCTTCAAACCCAACATCTCAACTCACCTGGATTGTTTTACCCCAAGGGTTCAGGGATAGCCCCCATCTATTTGGCCAGGCACTAGCTCAAGACTTGAGCCAGTTCTCATACCTGGACACTCCTCTCCTTCAGCACATGGATGATTTACTTTTAGCTGCCCTTTCAGAAACCTTGTGCCATCAAGCCACCCAAGCATTCTTTAATTTCCTCTCCACCTGTGCTATAAGGTTTCCAAACAAAAGGATCAGCTCTGCTCACAGTAGGTTAAATACTTAGTGCTAAAATTATCCAAAGGCACCAGGGCCCTCAGTGAGGAACATATCCAGCCTATCCTGGCTTTTCCTCATCCCAAAACCGTAAAGCAACTAAGAGCGTTCCTTGGCATAACAGGCTTCTGCTGAATATAGATTCCCTGGTACAGCAAAATAGCCAGATCATTATATACACTAATTAAGGAAACTCAGAAAGGCAATACCCATTTAGTAAGATGGACACCTGAAGCAGAAGTGACTTTCCAGGCCCTAAAGAAGGCCCTAACCTAAGCTCCAGTGTTAAGCTTGCCAACGTGGCAAGACTTTTCTTTATATGTCACAGAAAAAACAGGAATAGCTCTAGGAGTCCTTACACAGGTCTGACGGACCAGCTTGCAACCTGTGACATACCTGAGTAAGGAAATTGATGTAGTGGCAAAGGGTTGGCCTCATCGTTTATGGGTAGTGGCAGCAGTAGCAGTATTAGTATCTGAAGCAGTTAAAATGATACAGGGAAGAGATCTTACTGTGTGAACATCTCAAGATGTGAATGGCATACTCACTGCTAAAGGAGACTTGTGGATGTCAGACAACCATTTGCTTAAATATCAGCATCTATTACTTGAAGGGCCAGTGCTGCGACTGCGCCCTTGTGCAACTCTTAATCCAGCCACATTTCTTCCAGACAATGAAGAAAAAATAAAACATAACTGTCAACAAGTAACTGCTCAAACCTACACCACTCAAGGGGACCTTCTAGAGGTTCCCTTGACTGATCATGATCTCAACTTGTATGCTGATGGAAATTCCTTTGTAGAAAAAGGACTTTGAAAAGTGGGGTATGCAGTGGTCAGTGATAATGGAATACTTGAAAATAATCCCCTCACTCCAGGAAGAAGCGCTTAGCTGGAAGAACGAATAGCTCTCACTCAGGCAATAGAATTAGGAGAAGGAAAAAGGGTAAATATATATACAGACTCTAAGTATGCTTAGCTAGTCCTCCATGCCCACACAGCAATATGGAGAGAAAGGAAATTCCTGACTTCCAAAGGAACACCCATCAAACATCAGGAAGCCATCAGGAGATTATTATCGGCTGTACAGAAACCTAAAGAGGTGGCAATCTTATGCTGCCGGGGTCATCAGAAAGGAAAAGAAAGGGAAATAGAAGGGAACTGCCAAACGGATATCAAAGCCAAAATAGCTGCAAGGTAGGACCCTCCATTAGAAATACTTATAGAAGGACCCCTAGTATGGGGTAATCCCCTCTGGGAAACCAAGCCCCAGTACTCAGCAGGAGAAATAGAATGGGGAAACTCATGAGGACATAGTTTCCTCTCCTCAGGATGGCTAGGCACCAAAGAAGGAAAAATACTTTTGCCTGCAGCTAACCAATGGAAATGACTTAAAACCCTTCACCAAACCTTTCATTTAGGCATTGATAGTACCCATCAGCAGGCCAAATTATTATCTACTGGACCAGACCTTTTCAAAACTTTCGAGCAGATAGTCAGGGCCTGTAAAATGTGCCAAAGAAATAATCCCCTGCACTGCAGGCCATACATTTCAATCCCTGTATCTTTAACCTCCTTGTTAAGTTTATCTCTTCCAGAATCAAAGCTGTAAAACTACAAATCATTCTTCAAATGGAGCCCCAGATGCAGTCCATGACTAAGATCTACTGTGGACCCCTGGACTGGCCTGCTAGCTCATGCTAGCACCCCTACTGACATTGACAGCACCCCTCCTGAGGAAATCTCAACTGCATGACCCCTACTATGCCCCAGTTCAGCAGGAAGCAGTTAGAATGGTCATCGGCCAACCTCCCCAACAGCACTTGGGTTTTCCTGTTGAGAAAGGGGACTGAGAGACAGGACTAGCTGGATTTCCTAGGCTGACTAAGAATCCCTAAGCCTAGCTGGGAAGGTGACCACATCCACCTTTAAACACGGGGCTTGCAACTTAGCTCACACCCAACCAATTGGGCAGTAAAGAGAGCTCACTAAAATGCTAATTAGGCTAAAACAGGAGGCAAAGAAGTAGCCAATCATCTATTGCCTGAGAGCACAGCAGGAGGGACAATGATCAGGATATAAACCCAGTATTCGAGCTGGCAATGGCAATCCCCTTTGGGTCCCCTCCCATTTTATGGGAGCTCTGTTTTCACTCTATTAAATCTTGCAACTGCAAAAAGAAAAAAAAAAAGAGAGAAAAAGAAAAAAAAGAGAAAAAACCCAAATGCTCTACCAAAAAACAAAAAACCTGTTACAACCAATAAACAAATTCAGTGAAGTTGCACAATACAAATCAAAATACAAAACCTGTAGCATTTATATACACGAATCATAAACTAGTTGAAAATAAAACTAAGAAAGGAATCCCGTTTAAAATAGTTACAAAATATACCTAAAAATAAATTTAACCAAGGAGGTGAAAAATATGTATACTGAGAACTATAGAACATTGATAAAAGAAATTAAAGAAGACACATATAAAAATGGAAAGGCACCCCATGTTCATGAACTTGAACAATTAATATTGTTAAAATAAGCATACTGCACAAAGCAATATACAGGGTCAATACAATCCTTATCAAAATACCAGCGACATTCTTCACAGAAATAGAAAAAAATTCAAACATTCATAGAGAACCACAAAAGACCCCAATAGTCAAAGCAATGCTGAGAAAAAGAATAAAACTGGAGGCATCACGCTACCAGACTTCAAAATATATACAAAGCTATAATAACCAAAACAGAATAGTCCTGGGATAAAAAAGACGTAGAACAATGCAAGAGAATAGAGAACACAGAAATTAATTTACATATCCATTGTCAGCTGATTTTTGACAAAGGTGCCAAGAATAGTCATTGGGAAAGTACAGTCTCTTTAATAAACAGTGCTGGGAAAACTGGATATCCATAAGTAGCTGAATGAAACTAGACCCCTATTTCTCACCCCTATTTCTCATGCAAGAACCAACTCAAAATGGATTAATGACATAAATTTAAGACCCTGAAACCATAAAACTACTAGAATAAAATGGGGGGAAAATGCTTCAGGACATTGGTCTGGGAAAAAATTTTATGAATAACACCTCAAAAGCAATGGCAACCAAAGGAAAAATGAACAAATGAGATTATATCAAACTAAGAAGTTTCTGCATATCAAGGAAAATAATCAATAAAGTGAAAAGATAGCCAGGAGAAAAGATTTGCAAACTACTAATCAGACAGCAGATTAATATCCACAGTATACAAGAAACTCAAACATCTCAACTCAGAAAAAAATCTGATTAAAAATGAGCAAATGATCTGAACAGATATTTCTCAAAAGAGGACATACAAATGGTCAACAGGTGTATGAACATAATGCTCAACATCACTAATCATCAAGGAAATGTAAATCAAAAGCACAATGATATATCATATCCCAGTTAGGATGATTGTTATCAAAAAGACAAAATGGCAACAACAACAAAAACAACACTAGGAAGAATGCCAAAAAAGGAAACTCATATACACTGTTGGTGGGAATGTACAGTAGTACAACCACTGGAGAATGACATGGAGGTTTCTCAAAAACCTACAAAGAGAACTCACACGTGATCCAGCAATTTTCCTGCTGGGTATTTATCAAAAGGAAAGAAAAGGAAGGAACATCAGTGTACTGAAAGGATATCTGTACCTTCATGTTTATTGCAGCATGATTCACAAGAATCAACATGTGAAATCAACCCAGTGTTCAACAACAGATGACTGGATGAAGAAAATGTAATATATACACACAATGGACTACTGTTTAGCCATAAAAAAATAAAATGCTGTCATTGATGGCAACATGGAAAGAACTGGATGACATTATATTAATTGAAATAAGTCAGGAAAAGAAACTGCATGTTGTCACCCTTATGCAGAGGCTAAAAATAGTTGATGTCATAGTTGTAAAAGGTTAGTAGAGTCTGCAGAGGTTAGTAGAGTCTGGGAAGGGAGGTGTAGTGAGAGATTTTTTTAAAGGACACAAAATTATAGCTAGATAGGAGGAATAAGTTTTCATGGGTATAGCACTGTAGGATGACTATAGCTAACAACAATATATGTTTTCAAATAGAAGAGAGCATATTGAGTGTTCCTAACACAAAGAAATGACAAATGTTTGAGATGATGGCTATGCTAATTGCCAATGGTCGCTATACACTGTATGTATGAAAACATCAAAAAATACCTCTAAATATGTACAATGATTATGTGTCAATTTGAAAAATATTTTTTAAATGTGTTGAATGATACAAGGGTGGAATAGAGATAATTTCTCTATTGCACAACAAGCAACTATTACTTTTATAAAGAAAATGCTTTAATGTGGACAAGAAAGTGCTTTCTGGCTGCAGTGCAGTAGAGAGTTGGTGGCAGGTGTGAGGTGGAAGCAAGTTGGCTAGTTTGGAGGTTGTTGAGCTAACCCCAGTGTAAGAAGAGGGTGGCTTGGACTTAGAACAGTGGGTGTGAGGCTGGAGTGGGCACTGAAACCAGAGATGTTTAGGAGAGGGAGGTACAGGAGTGGGAGGGAAGCTCCCACAGACTGCCTGGGCAGTCTCCTCCCCTGCCCTCCCAGAGACTTCGGGCTTTAGTGGTGATACTGGATTCCTAAGTGGCCTTGGCCTTCTGTTATTTCAGATCCAGCAGATGGGGAGACTGAACAAAGTGGTATCCTGGGCCCACCAGTTTTTCTACACTCACCCACTCTGGTTTGAACCGTTCACTGGCTTCCAGAACATTTGAGCCCAACTATGTCAAAGCTGTGTGTAGCCACAGGGGTGAGGTGTTCTTGGGAGAGCTGCTCTTCCTGAGAACAAAGGGCTCAGGCTATGATGTGGGGAGGAGGCCTGGACCTGTGTCCTATGCCTGGGCAGCTGAAGTTCCCACCCTGCTTATCAAGGTGCCTCCTCTGGGAACCCCCTAGTCTCTATTTGACCCAACCAACTTCTTCACTTGCAGAACCTCAAGCCCTAATATGTATGACTTCTTCCTCCAGTGGATTGGTGAGTAAGCACCTGCCTTTCTTGCCTTGCCCACCCCAGACCCTTGGTGCTGGATGACCTCTGCCCTGCCCTACTTAGTTGGTTATCCCATCAAACAGACAACCTGGCCTCTTTGTGCCTGTCTTAGGTTCAGTTGCTTTTTGGGGAGTCAGAGAAGGGGAGAGGAGAGCTTCTGGCTGGCTGGCAGGGGACATGGACCCAGGCACTTTCTCTTGCCAGGTTGTCTTCTACCCTGGATAGGCATCTTTCCCACTGGTCATGTTTCTCTGCTAAATCCCTGATTAAGACACATTTTGGTCCAAAGACTGGTACTAAAGAGACTGAATCTGAAGTATGAGCTTTCTTTTTTCTGTCTTTCTTTCTTTCTTTTTTGTTTTTCAAGATGGAGTTTCACTCTTTTTTTCTCAGGCTGGAGTGCAATGGCCTGATAGCTCACTGCAGCCTCCGCCTCCCGGGTTCGAGTGATTCTCCTGCCTCAGCCTCCCAAGTAGCTGGGATTACAGGTGCACACTGCCACGCCTGGCTAATTTTTCATATTTTTAGTAGAGAAGGGGTTTCACCATGTTGGTCAGGCTGGTCTCAAACTCCTGACCTCAAGGGATCTGCCCACCTCGGTCTCCCAAAGTGTTGGGATTACAGGAGTGAGCCACCTTGCCTGGCCAAGTATGAGTTTTCTGAATTGATTCTGGGTTTCCTGGAATTTGTTCCCTAATCTGACTAGTTAAAAAGTAACCAATTACTGTTTTCAGTGGTAAAGAGAACACTGGTAGTCCATGGCAAAGAAGTTAAAAACGTTGAAAAAAGATTAGACGAATGGCTAACTAGAATAACCAATTTGATTGCACTGTGGTCTGAGAGATAGTTTGTTATAATTTCTGTTCTTCTACATTTGCTGAGGAGTGCTTTACTTCCAACTATGTGGTCAATTTTGGAATAAGTGCAGTGTCGTTCTGAGAAGAATGTATATTCTGTTGATTTGGGGTGGAGAGTTCTGTAGATATGTATTAGGTCTGCTTGGTGCAGAGATGAATTCAATTCTTGGATATCGGTTGTTAACTTTCTGTCTCATTGATCTGTCTAATGTTGACAGTGGGGTGTTAAAGTCTCCCATTATTATTGTGTGGGAGTCTAAGTCTCTTTGTAGGTCTCTAAGGACTTACTTTATGAATCTGGGTGCTCCTATATTGGGTGCATATATATTTAGGATAGTTAGCTCTTCTTGTTGAATTGATCCCTTTACCATTATATAATGGCCTTCTTTGTCTCTTTTGATCTTTGTTGGTTTAAAGTCTGTTTTATTAGAGACTAGAATTGCAACCCCTGCCTTTTTTTTGTTTTCCATTTGTTTGGTAGATCTTCCTCCATCCCTTTATTTTGAGCCTATGTGTGTCTCCACATGTGGGATGGGTTTCCTGAATACAGCACACTGATGGGTCTTGACTCTTTATCCAATTTGCCAGTCTGTGTCTTTTAGTTGGAGCATTTAGCCCATTTACATTTAAGGTTAATATTGTTATGTGTGAATTTGATCCTGTCATTATGATGTTAGCTGGTTATTTTGCTCATTAGTTGATGCAGTTTCTTCCTAGCATTGATGGTCTTTACAATCTGGCATGTTTTTGCGGTGGCTGGTACTGGTTGTTCCTTTCCATCTTTAGTGCTTCCTTCAGGAGCTCTTGTAAGGCAGGCCTGGTGGTGACAAAATCTCTCAGCATTTGCTTGTCTGTAAAGTATTTTATTTCTCCTTCACTTAGTTTGGCTGGATATGAAATTCTGGGTGGAAAATTCTTTTCTTTAAAAATGTTGAATATTGGCCTCCACTCTCTTCTGGCTTGTAGAGTTTGTGCCGAGAGATCAGCTGTTAGTCTGATGGGCTTCCCTTTGTGGGTGACCTGACCTTTCTCTCTGGCTGTCCTTAACATTTTTTCCTTCATTTCAACTTCAGTGAATCTGACAATTATGTGTCTTGGAGTTGCTCTTCTTGACGAGTATCTTTGTGGCATTCTTTTTATTTCCTGAATCTGAATGTTGGCCTGCCTTGCTAGATTGGGAAGTTCTCCTGGATAATATCCTGAAGAGTGTTTTCCAACTTGGTTCCATTCTCCCCGTCACTTTCAGGTACACCAATCAGACATAGATTTGGTCTCTTCACATAGTCCCATATTTCTTGGAGGCTTTGTTCATTTCTTTTTATTCTTTTTTCTCTAAACTTCTCTTCTCACTTCATTTCATTCATTTGATCTTCCATCACTGATACCCTTTCTTCCAGTTGATTGAATCGGCTACTGAGGCTTATGCATTCATCACGTAGTTCTCGTGCCATGGTTTTCAGCTCCATCAGGTCCTTTAAGGACTTCTCTACATTGGTTATTCTAGTTATCCATTCGTCTAATCTTTTTTCAAGGTTTTTTACTTCTTTGCCATGGGTTCAAACTTCCTCCTTTAGCTCAGATAAGTTTGATCGTCTGAAGCCTTCTCTCAATGCATCAAAGTCATTCTCCGTCCATCTTTGTTCTGTTGCTGGTGAGAAGCTGCGTTCCTTTGGAGGAAGAGAGGCGCTCGATTTTTAGAGTTTCCAGTTTTTCTGCTCTGTTTTATCCCCTTCTTTGTGGTTTTATCTACCTTTGGACTTTGATGATGGTGACGTACAGGTGGGGTTTTGGTGTGGATGTCCTTTCTGTTTGTTAGTTTTCCTTCTAACAGTCAGGACCCTCAGCTGCAGGTCTGCTGGTGTTTGCTGGAGGTCCACTCCAGACCCTGTTTGCCTGGGTATCAGCAGTGGAGGCTGCAGAACAGTGAATATTGGTGAACAGCAGATGTTGCTGCCTGATCATTCCTCTGGAAATTTTGTCTCAGAGGGGTACCTGACCATGTGAGGTGTCAGTCTGCCCCTACTGGGGGTGCCTCCCAGTTAGGCTACTTGGGGGTCAGGGACCCACTTGAGGTGGCAGTCTGTCTGTTCTCAGATCTCCAGCTGCATGCTGGGAGAACCACTACTCTCTTCAAAGATGCCAGACAGGGACATTTAAGTCTGCAGAGGTTTCTGCTGCCTTTTGTTTGGCTATGCCCTGCCCCCAGTGGTGGAGTCTACAGAGGTAGGCAGGACTCCTTGAGCTGCAGTGGGCTTCACCCAGTTCGAGCTTCCCGGCCGCTTTGTTTACCTACTCAAGCCTCGGCAATGGTGGGCGCTCCTCCCCTAGCCTCACTGCCGCCTTGCAGTTTGATCTCAGACTGCTGTGCTAGCAATGAGTGAGGCACCTTGGGTGTAGGACCCTCCAAGCCAGGCACAGGATATAGTCTCCTGGTGTGCCATTTGCTAAGACCATCAGAAAAGTGCAGTATTAGGGTGGGAGTGACCCAATTTTCCAGGTGCCATCTGTCACCCCTTTCCTTGGCTAGGAAAGGGAATTCCCTGACCCCTTGCACTTCCCGGGTGAGGCGATGCCTCGCCCTGAATTGGCTCATGCTCGGTGTGCTGCACCCACTGTGCTGCACCTACTTTCCTGCACCCACTGTCTGACAATACCCAGTGAGATGAACCCAGTACCTCAGTTGGAAATGCAGAAATTATCCATCTTCTGCATTGCTCACGCTGGGAGCTGTAGACTGGAGCTGATCCTATTCAGCCATCTTGGAACTGCCCCCACTCTTTTTTGTTGATGTTGTTGTTGTTTCCTGTTTTTTGTTTTTCTTTTAACTCTCAGGCCACTCTACTGTAGGGCTGCTGCAGTTTGCTGGCAGTGCACTGCAGACCTTTGTTGCTTCGGTGGGATACCTGGAGGTATCACATGTGAAGGCTGTGAAACAGCAAAGATGGAGGCCAGCTCCTTCCTCTGGAAGCTCTGTCCCAGCGGGGTACTGAGTTGTTGCTGGCCTGAATGCACCTGGAAACCCCTGTTGGGAGGTCTCACTCAGTCAGAAGAGCAGGATCAGGGACCAGCTTAAAGAAGCAGTCTGGCTTCTTTTTAGTACAGCAGGTGTGCTGCATTGCAGCAGGGGTCCTTCCTCATCTGGACCATTTGTATTCTCTATAGCTGGCAGGCTGGAATGTCTGAGTTGGCCAAACCATGGAGATGATGGCCACGCCTCCCCTCAGGAGCTCCATCCTGGGAGAGACCAGAGCCCTATCCATAGAACCCTGGCTGGAGTGATGGAAGCCCCCACAGGGAGATCTCACTCAGTGAGAAGGAATGGATCAGGGTCCTGCTTAAAGAAGCAGTCTGACCACAATCTGGCAAGGCAGCTGTGCTGCTTTGTGGGAGATCCTTCCTTGTCTGGACCATTTGTATTCTCCAAAGCCGGCAGACTGGAACAGCTGAGTCTACCAAACTGCAAAAATGGCTGCCACTCCTCCCACTAAAAACTCAACACTTTTCAGGCAGATTCCAGGCTGCTGCTGTTGGTTGGCTAGAATTCCAAACCAGTGGGTTTTAACCTGTGAGATGCCATGGAAATGGGGCCCACAGAATGACAGTGCTTGGCTCGCCGGATTCAGCCCTCTTCCTAGGGATATGTATGGTTGGATTTTCTGCCTTGCCAAGGATCCCAGGGCTGGATTATGTAAAACTCCTGGGTTGCTGTGTGGGCCTGAGTTGCTGCTCTGCTGAGACTCCACACAGCTCTGTGTATCTGACCCAAGGCCCTAGTGGCTTGGGCTCACTAGAGGATCTCCTGGTCCATGGGTTTTAAAGATCCATGGGAGAAGTGTGGTTTCCTGGGTGGGGTCGTACAATCAGTCACTGCTTCTCTTGGCTGGGGGTTGGGGTTTCTTTGGCTCTGTGCCACTTCTGGGTGGGCCATTGCCTTCCTCTTTCTTTTCTTCATTCTCCATGGGCTGAATTGTTTGCCTAGTCAGTCCCAAGGCAAGAACCTGGATATTTCAGTTGTAGGCACTGAATTCACTCGCCCCTTTTCATTTCTCTTCATGAGTGCCATGGACTGCAGCTGCTTATAATCAGCCATCTTGGACAAAATCCCATTCACAATTAACATTAGATATATTAATAATAGTTAACTTTAATATTCTCTTTAGAGAATCACTGTATTTAAGTTACAGAATATTAAAGAGAAGGGTGAATGTCATTCAATGACTTTGCATTGCCTTTGTGAGGGAAAGGTTAATGTACTTCCAATTGTGTATAGGAGAGTTAGCAAAAGTATGACTTTGTCATAGTTTTTACTGGCAGATTAAGTAGACCCTAAGGGGATGTGTATAGATGCCAAATTGACAAGGTATGAAATGTGTTGTTTAATTTTACATGTTAACTTGGACAGGCTGTAATACCCAGTTATTCAATTAAATGCTATTCCAGATGTTGTGAAGAGATTTTGTGGTTGTAGTTAACATCTACAATCAGTTGACTTCAAGAAAAAGAGATAACTCTTGATAATTTATGTAGACTTAATTCAATCACTAATAGGCCTGTAGAGCAAAGCTCTAGGAGCTGAAAAAGTGGAAGAAAAGAGATTCTCCCTAGAGCCCCTCAACACCTTGGATTTGGAGCAAGAAAATCCAATTCAAATGTGAGACCTCCAGACATTTAAGACTATAAATTTCTGCTGTTTTAAGGCACTGACGTTGTGGTAGTTAATTACAGCACCAATAGGAAACTCATACAAAAGCAGAAAAGCAGGCAGAAGGAATAAGAAAGAAATGGGGGCAGACAGGCTGGAGGGCAGGCAGGAGATTGGTTGCTGGATGGACAGTCTGTGATGCAGGTAGGCAGGAGAGAGGTAGAGCAGCAGATACAGAGCCTAGGGAAAGGTGAGAGAAAGAAGGGCAGACAACATGGAGTACAGAAGGGAGGATAGCAGGTAGATGGGAAGAAGGCAGGTGGGCCGATAGAAAGCAGGATGTGGGCAGACAGGCAGGAGACAGGAGCAGGGGTGAGGAAGACAGGGTGGCAGGTGGAGGCCCTCAGAGCTGGTCCTTGTCCCCACAATGGTTAGGGACCCTCCTGAGATGCAGGTGGATTCCACTTTTGAACTTCAGCAAAATTCATGGTATGCCGACCGGGATCCTGGTGGGATCAGGCAGCAGCTCAAAGCGGAGCAGGGTCAGGGCCATGGCCACCTTTAGCTCATTCATGGCAAATTTTTTCCCAATGCAGGTCCTGAGCCAGGCAGACAGTGAATTGATAAGAGGCCTCAGTCCCCATTATGAGCTGGAAATTCATGAATGGTTAAAGGGTTAATCAATGGTTTGTTCACTCTTCCACAGTGTGTGGTTCTGCAGTGTGGAAGCCAAGTTCAGGTCACTGTAGGGTGAGGGTGGGCCACACTCTCAGGTTTTCCCCATGTAGAGGGATGCCCAGGGACTAGGATCCTTAGGAAGGGGCCCAGATGGGTGGGCAGGGGAGTCAGAAGGGCACTAGAAATTTTTCTGAAGGGGCACTTTGTGGATGGATGGTCCTCAGCTGCTGCCTCACTTGCTTCCCAGTCTAGGGGCCAGGCTTCTGCCTCCCCTTACTCCTTCATTACCCATGCCTGTAGCCTTATAATTCTACTCCAGAAATGTCCCTCCTTGTTGTCCAACAATCTTCTTGCCTGGACTCTCTGGCGTCCCTGCTTCCCCTTTCTCCACACTGAAGCCACATCCCAGCTTAGACCCTCCCATGCTCTTCATCACAGCTGGGCAGCATCCTAATGCCCCAGCTGTCAGCCAGCCCTCCATGGACTGTTGCCTCGCCCACCTCTTACCTGTGCAGCCCATGTCCTTGTCCCATACATGTAGAGATGGCTGAGAACATTCTCCTTCCACCACTGCCTGTAACATCCTCAAGGCTATGGCCAGGGACCTGCCTCTCACCTTCTGCTGGCTGTGCCTCTCCCTCCCCAGTACCCCAAGGCAGCTTTTTCCCTTATCCATGAACAGTCACAGTCCAGTGCCTAGGATAGCACCATGAACACTCAACGAGGCACTCAGTGATTGAGTGAGTGAGTGAGTGAGTGAGTGAAAGGATGGATGAGGGAGCAATGTTTGTCTGAAGCACAGGATGTGTTTCTATATAACACGTTTTGTCCTTGACTGTACTTAGAGGCAAGAGCAGTGCCTTGTATCTTTGTTTTCCCATCATGGTGTATGGGACTTTACCCTCAGACACAGGCTTAATAGATACTGTTATATTTAAATGACATTACTTGGGTTTTGAAAATGAATGAAATAGAATGGAATACAGTGAGAGTCAGTATTAGTTCTGAGCTCGAATTTGTGCTGCTGAATACTCTTGGTATGGTTTCGCTGTTGGTCCCCTCCAAATCTCATGTTGAAATGTGATTCCATTTTGGAGATGGGTTGGGTGGGAGTTGATTGGATCATGGGGGCAGATCCCTCATTATGGTTTAGCACTATACCACTGGTGATCAGTGAGTGAGTGCTCAGTTTGTTCACAGGAGATCTGGTTCTTTAAAAGAGTCTGGGACTTCCCTGCACCCGCTCTCTTGCTCCTGTTCCCACCACGTGACATGCTGGCTCCCCTTCGCCTTTGCCGTGAGTGAAAACTTACTGAGGCCCTCACCAGAAGCAAATGCTGGCACTTCATGTCTTGTACATCCTGATGAACCATGAGTAAAATAAATATCTTTTCTTTATAAATTACCCTGTCTCAGATAATCCTTTATAGCAATGCAAGAGTGGTCTAATGGAACTCGTCCTGTCCTCTAGTGGCAGCAAACCAATTGGCAGCCAATATTTTGGAGGAAGTACTCATCCTGGGATAAACCAATGCTGAGAAAGGACTTTCTGGAAGAACAATTTGCTTAAAACCTGTTCTGGGAAAGTGAATTCATCATTGGAAGGATTCTCATAAATTACTTTTTCTAAAAAACTTATTTCTACTATTTACATTGTTTTTGGCATTCATATTTCTCAGGACGATTCCTGCAGTCTTTGAAGATTTCCACAGAAGCAATTATAGAGTGTACCTGTCCAGTTCAACAGCTATATTATGTGTCTTCTGTATTTCACATACGAGGAGCATTTAAAGGCTATGTAGCATATCCTAAAAAGGCCTTTCCCCACAGTCAGTTTATTGTCATTTTTATGTTTTTGCTAATGATGTGCTAAGTGAAATATAGGACTATGGTACAGAGATTCTACTGGGTGTACAGAACTTGCCAAATGGAAATGGAGATGTAATTATATGAACATTACTATGTAGTGAAAATTTTGTTGGGCAAGATAACCAAGTGTGTGAGACAACACACATCGGTTAAAACTTTTTGCAAAGGACTTTGTTAACCTTTCATTTGTATGACTCCAAAAGTAAGACTAGCAAGGTGTCTGAATTCTAAACATAGGCAAAGACTTCAATGATTCAACTCTATGTAGACTGGTGAATTAAGTCAAAAGGTGGTGTGCTGCATTGGGAGTATGTGAGGAGAGAGAGAAATCAACTCCTTAATATTTTTGAAAATTGAGAAAAACAAACACCTGAAGTTGAATTTATTATGTACTATCTAATTCTGACAAGTCATATTTCTAAAGTGAAGAAAACACTAGGATACAGTGAAATTTGGAAGACCCACTGACAGTAAATGCTGGCTGGCCATTGGGAAACAGGAGAAGGAGCAATGACTCCATGGTGTTCTCTGAAATGCCACCTTTCTTTAGTGCAAGAGACATTTACACAAGGTCGTTTTCTTACAAACACCAACATTCAAGGACAAAACTGAAGATGCCACGTATGAACATAGGGGCCCAGAGACTCTGCCTCCTTCCCTACTCCCATTACCATACAGGAAGACTCACCTTGATCCTATTGAGAATGTTACAATATTGAGTCTATGTTAAAGAAAAATTTTGCTTGCTTGAGGATAATTGCTGCTTTAAGTTTATAGACTAATCATTAAAAACAGCCTCAGAAAAGCCAGACCTGCAACAGTGGTAAAAGAGAAATGTGCTGTGCAGGAATTCTGGGAACAAGTTGACCAGCTGTTTTAACCACCAGATAATAGTCTTGTGGCACCTGCAGAAGGTCATAAGATGCTAACCAAGACAGCAACAATTAAGTGCCTCCCTGAGATTGCACACGCAGCTGCTGCACAAGAATGCTTTGACTATTACTTACAGTTTTCCTAATTTTCCTTAAAAACCCCTGGTGTGAAGGCACAACTCAGAGAGGTGGTTTTTTAATTCTTTCTTTTTTGAAATTTTGTTGTCCATTATATGTTTTTTAAAAATTCTTATTTTAGGTTCAGGGGTACATGTGCAGGTTTGTTAGATAGGTAAATTGCATGTCACAGGGGTTTGCTGTACAGATTATTTTGTCACCCAGATAAAAAGCATTGTATTCAATAGGTAATTTTTGATCCTTAACCCCCTCCCACTCTCCACCCTCAAGTAGGCCATGGTATCCATTCCCTTCTTTGTGTCCATGTGTACTCGATGTTTAGCTCCCACTTATAAGTGAGAACACGTGGTGTTTGGTTTTCTGTTCCTGTGTTCTCTTAGGATAACGGCCTCCTGCTCCATCCATGTTGCTGCAAGGGAAATGATCTCATTCTTTTTATGGCTGCACAGTATTCCATGGTGTATGTGTACCACATTTTCTTTATTGAGTCCACTGTTGATGGGCATTTAGTTTGATTGTATGCCTTTGCCATTGTTAACAGTGCTGTGATGAACATATGCGTGCATGTGTCTTTATGATAGAATGGTTTATATTTCTTTGGGTATATACCAGTAATGGGATAGCTGGGTCAAATGGCAGTTCTATTTTAAGTTCTTTGAGAAGTCTCCAGATTGCTTTCCACAGTGGTTTAACTAATGTACATTCCCACCAGCACCATATAAGCATTGCCTTTTCTCTGCAAACTTGCCACCATCTGTTGTTTTTTTGATATTTTTGAAAATAGCCATTCTGACTTGTGTGAGATGATCTCTCATTGAGGTTTTGATTTGCATTTCTCTAATAGTTAGTGATATTGAGTATTTTTTCATTTTCTTGGCCACATGTATATCTTCTTTTGAGAAGTGTCTGTTCAAATCCTTTGCTGATTTTTTAATGGGGTTGGTTTTTTTGTTTTGTTTTGTTTTTTGGCTTGTTAATTTAAGCTTGCTATAGATTCTGGATATTAGACCTCTGTCAAATGCATACCTTGCAAATATTTTCTCCTATTCTGTAGACTGTCCATGTACTCTGTTGATAATTTCTTTTGCTGTGCAGAAGCTTTTTAGTTTAATTAGATCCCATTTGTCAATTTTTGTTTTTGTTGCAATTGCTTTTAGAGTCTTCATCATAAATTATTTGCCAGGGCCTATGGCCAAAATGGTATTATATTCTAGGTTTTCTTCCAGAGTTTTTATAGTTTCATATCTTACATTTATATATTTAATCCACCTTGAGTTGAGTTTTGTATATGATGAAAAACAGGGGTCCAGTTTAAATCTTCTACACATGGCTAGCCAGTTGTCTCAGCACTATCTATTGAATAGAGGGTCCTTTTCCCCATTGCTTGTTTTGGTTGGCTTTGTCGAAGATCACATGGTTGTAGGTGTGAGGCTTTATTACTCACTTATCTATTCTGTTCCATTGGTCTATGTTTCTGCTTTTGTGTCAGTACAATGCTGTTTTAGTTACTGTAGCTTTGCAGTATATTTTAAAGTCAGGTAGTGTGATGCCTCCAGCTTGTTCTTTTTGCTTAGGATATCTTTGGCTACTGGGCTCTTTTGTGGTTCCAAATGAATTTTAGAGTGGTTGTTTCTAATTGTGAAAAAATGTTGTTAGTAGTTTGATAGGAATAGCATTGAATCTGTAAATTGCTTTGGGCAGTATGACCATTTTAACGATATTGATTCTCCATATCCATGAGCTTGGAATGTTTTCCTATTTGTTTGAGTCATCTGTGATTCTTTCAGTAGTGTTTTATAATTCTTCTTGTACAGACCTTTTACCTCCCTGATTAGCTGTATTCCTAGGTATTTTATTCTTTTTGTGGCTATTGTGAATGGGATTGCATTTCTGAGTTGGCTCTCAGCTTGGATGCTGCTGGTGTGTAGAAATGCTAGTGATTTTTATAGAATGATTTTGTATCCTGAAACTTTGCTGAAGTTTCTGAGATCTAGGAGCCTTTGGACAGAGAGTATGGAATTTTCTAGGTATAGAATCATATAATCTGTGAAGAGAGATAGCTTGACTTCTTTTCCAATTTGGATGCCTTTTTATTTTTATTATTTTGTCTGGTTGTTCTGGCTAGGATTTCCAGTATTATGTTGAATAGGTGTGTTGAGAGTGGGCATCCTTGTTTGGTTCTGATTCTCAAGGGAAATGCTTCCAGCTTTTCCCCATTTAGTATGATGCTGACTGTGGGTTTGTCCATATATAGCTCTTATTTTTTTAGGTATGTACCTTTGATATCTAGTCTGTTGAGGGTTTAACATGAAGGAATGTTGAGTTTTATTGACAACCTTTTCTACATCTATTGAGATGATCATGTGTTTTTAAAAATTTCTGTGTATGTGATGAATCACATTTAATGGTTTGTATGTATTGAACCACTCTTGCAGCCCAGGACCAAAGCCTACTCGATAGTGATATATTAGCTTTTGGATGTGCTGCTGGATTCAGTTTGCTAATATTTTTTTGAGAATTTTTGCTTCTGTGTTCCTCAGGGGTATTGGCCTGATGTTTTCTTTTTTCAAAGTTTCTCTTCCAGATTTTGGTATCAGAATGATGCTGGCCTCGTAGAATGAGTTAGGGAGGAGTCCCTCCCTTTTCTATTTTTTGGAATAGCTTCAATAGGATTGGTACCAGCTCTTCTTTATACCTCTGGTAGAATTCAGCTGTGAATATGTCTGGTCTAGAGCTTTTTCTGGTTGGTAGATATTTTATTACTGATTCAATTTAATACCTTGATATTATTTTGTTCAGTGTAAATTTGTTCATGGTTCAATCTTGGGAGGTGGTGTGTTTCCAGGAATTTATCCATTTATTCTAGGTTTTCTAGTTTGTGTGCATAGATGTGTTCATAGTAGTCTCAGGGTTTTTGTTATTTCTGTGGGGTTGGTGGTAACGTCCTCTGTCATTTCTGATTGTGTTTATTTGGATCATCTTCCTTTTTTCTATATTAATCTAGCTGGTGGTCAGTCAATCTTATAAATTCTTTCAGAGAACTAAATTTTGTTTTCATTGATCTTTTCTGTGTTTTTTTCTCACCTCCATTTCATTTGGCTCTCTGATTTTTGTTATTATTTTTTTCTGCTAGCTTTCAAATTGGTTTGCTTTTGTTTTTCAAGTTTCTCTAGGTGTTATGTTAGGTTGGTAATTTCAGATCTTTTAACTTTTTCATGTGAGTGATTAGTGCCATAAACTTTTCTCTCAACAGTGCTTTAGCTGTGTCCCAGAGATTCTCATATGTTGTATTTTTGTTTTCATTAGCTTCAAACAATTTTTTGATTTCTGTCTTAATTCATTGTTTACCCAAATGTTATTCAGAAGCAGAGTGTTTAATTTCCATGTAATTGTATGGTTTTGAGAGTTTTTTTGGTATTCACTTCTATTTTTCTTGCATTGTGGTCTGAGAATGTGCTTGGTATCACTTTGGTGTGTATGTTTTTTCTTTAATTTGTTGAGAATTGCTTTATGACCAAGCGTAGGGTCCATTTTAGAGTATGTGCTGTGTGCAGAGGAGAAGAATGTATGTTCTGTTTTTGTTAGGTGGAGTGTTCTGTAGATGTCTGTAAAGCTCATTTGGTCAAGTGTCAAGTTTAAGAGCTAAATACCTTTGTTAGTATTCTGCCTCAATGATCTGTCCAATATCGGCAGTGGGGTGTTGAAGTATCCCACCATTACTGTGTGTTTATTTAAGTCTCTTCATAAGTCTCTAAGGTCTTATTTTATTTATATATATAGGTGCTCTAGTGTTGGGTGCATGTATATTGAGGATAGTTAAATCTTCTTGTTGAATTGAACATTTTATCATTGTGTAATGCCTTTCTTTGTCTTTTTTAATCATTGTTGGTTTAATATCTGTTTCATTTGAAATAAGAATAGCAACTCCTGTTCTTTTTTGTTTTCTATTTTCTTGGTAGATCTTTCTCCATCCCTTTTCTTTGAGCCTATGGATGTCCTTGCATGTGAGATGGGTCTCTTGAAGATGACATACAGTTGAGTCTTGCTTTTTAAATTTTTTTAAATAAAAATTGCCACTCTGTGCTTTTTAAAATTTTTAATATTTATGGGTAGATAGTAAGGGTATATATATATGAGGTATACAAGATGTTTTGATCTAAGCATGTAGTGCATAATAAGTACATCATGGAGAATGAGGTATTTATCCCCTCAAGCATTTATCCTTTGTATCATAAAAATCCAGTTACATCATTTTAGGTATTTTTAAGTGTATGATTGAGTTATTATTGCCTGCAGTCATCCTCTTATGCTCTCACTTTTAAGTGGGGTATTTAGCCTGTTTACGTTCAAGGTTAATATTGATATGTGCCTTTGATCCTGTCATCATGTTGTTAGCTGGTTGTTATGTACACTTGTTATGTATTTTATAGTGTTGTGGTCTATGTATTGAAGTGTGTTTCTGTAGTGGCTGGCAATGGTCTTTCATTTCCATGTTTAGCACCCCCCTGGGACCTTTTGTAAGGCAGTTCTGGTGGTAATGAATTCCCTAAGTGCTTACTTTCCTGAGAAGGATTTTATTTCTCTTTTGCTTATGAAGCTTAGTTTGGCTGGATATGAAATTCTTGGTTGGGATTTCTTTTCTTTAAGGGTGCTAAATATACACCCCAATCTCCTCTGGTTTGTAGATTTTCTCCTGAAATGTCTACTCTTAGCCTGATTAGGTTCCCTTGGAGGATGACCTGCCCCTTCTTTCTAGCTGCATTTCATATGTTTTCTTTTGTGTTGACCGTGGACAACCTGATGACTTATGTGTCTTGGGGATGGCCATCTTATATAGTATCTTGCAGGGATTCTCTGAATTTCTTGTATTTGCATGGCAACCTCTCTAGTGAGGCTTGGGAAATTTTTGTGAACAATATTCTCAAATAAGTTTTCCAAGTTGCTGTTCTCTCTCCCTGTCTTTCATGCATGTTGGTGAGTCATGGACTTGGGCTCTTTACATAATCCTATATCTCTCTAATTTTGTTCATCAAAAAAATTTTTTTTCTTTATTTTTATTTGAGTTAATTCTAAGAACTGGTCTTTGAGCTCTGAGATTCTTTCCTCAGCTTGGTCTATTCTGCTGTTGATAATTCCAATTGTGGGATCCATTCCAAGATGGCTAAATAGTAACAGCTCTGGTCTGCAGCTTCTCGTGTGATCGATGCAGAAGATGGGTGATTTCTGCATTTCCAGCTGAGGTACCTGGTTCATCTCATTGGGACTGGTTGGACAGTGGATGCAGCCCATGGAGGGCAAGCCAAAGAAGGGTGGGGCATCACCTCACCTGGGAAGTGCAAGGGGTCTGGGGATTTCCTTTTCCTAGCCAAGGGAAGCCGTGACAGGCTGTACCAGGAAAATTGGGACACTGCCACCTAAATACTGCACTTTTCCAAAGATCTTAGCAAAAGGCATATCAGGAGATTATATCCCACGCCTGGATCCGTGGGTCCCATGCCCATGGAGCCTTGCTCACTGCTAGCACAGCAGTCCGAGATTGAAGTGCTAGGTGGCAGCCTGGCTGAGGGAGGGGCATCCACCATTGCTGAGGCTTGAGTAGGTAAACAAAGCAGCAGGGAATCTCGAACTAGGTGGAGCCCACCGCAGCTCAATGAGGCCTGCCTGCCTCTGTAGACTCCACCTCTGTAGGCATGGCATCGCTGAACAAAAGGTAGCAGAAACTTCTGCAGACTTAAACATCCCTGTCTGACAGCTCTGAAGAGAGCAATGGTTCTCCCAGCATGGTGTTTGAGCTCTGAGAATGAACAGACTGCCTCCTCAAGTGGGTCCCTGACCCCACTGTAGCCTAACTGGGAGACATCTCCCACTAGGGGCCAACACACACCTCATACAGCTGGGTGCCCCTCTGAGATGAAGCTTTCAGAGGAAGGATCAGGCAGCAATATTTGCTGTTCTGCAATATTTGCTGCTCTGCAGCCTCTGCTGGTGATACCCAGGCAAACAGTGTTGGGAGTGGACCTCCAGCAAACTCCAACAGACCAGCAGCTGAGGGACCTGACTGTTAGAAGGAAAACTGACAGACAGAAAAGAATTGCATCAACATCAACAAAAAGGACACCCACACCAAAACCCCATCTGTAGGTCACCATCATCAAAGGCCAAAGGTAGATAAAACCACAAAGATGGGGAGAAACCAGAGCAGGAAAGCTAAAAATTCTAAAAACCAGGGCACCTCTTCTCCTCCAAAGGATCACAGCTCCTCACTAGTAATGGAACAAAGCTGGACAGAGAATGACTTTGATGAGTTGGCAGAAGTAGGTTTCAGAAGGTCAGTAATAACAAACTTCTCTGAGCTAAAGGAGGATGTTCAAACCCATCACAAGGAAGCAAAAAGCCTTGAAAAGAGATTAGATGAATGGCTAACTAGAATAAACAGTGTAGAGCAGACTTTAAATCACCCAATGGAGCTGAAAACCATGGCACGAGAACTATGTGATACATGCACAAGCTTCAGTAGACAATTCGATCAAGTGGAGGAAAGGGTATCAGTGATTGAAGATCAAATTATTGAAATGAAGTAAGAAGAGAAGTTTAGAGAAAAAGGAGTAAAAAGAAATGAACAAAGCCTCCAAGAAATATGGGACTATGTGAAAAGATCAAATCTACATCAGATTGGTGTACTCGAAAGTGACCGAGAGAATGGAGCCAAGTTGGAAAACACTCTTCAGGATATTATGTAGGAGAACTTCCCCAACCTAGCAAGGTAGGCCAACATCCAAATTCAGGAAATACAGAGACCAACAAAAAGATACTCCACGACAAGAGCACCCCCAAGACACATAATTGTCAGATTCACCAAGGTTGAAATGAGGGAAAAAATGTTAAGACAGCCAGAGAGAACGGTCGGGTTACCAATAAAGGGAAGCCCATCAGACTAACAGCTGATCTCTCGGCACAAACTCTACAAGCCAGGAAAGAGTGGGGGTCAATATTCAACATTCTTAAAAAAAAGAATTTTCAACCCAGAATTTCATATCCAGCCAAACTAAGCTTCATAAGAGAAGGAGAAATAAAATACTTTACAGACAAGCAAATGCTGAGAGATTTTGTCACCACCAGGACTGCCTTACAAGAGCTCCTGAAGGAAGCACTAAAGATGGAAAGGAACAACCAGTACCAGCCACTGCAAAAACATGCCAGATTGTAAAGACCATCAATGCTAGGAAGAAACTGCATCAACTAATGAGCAAAATAACCAGCTAACATCATAATGACAGGATCAAATTCATGCATAACAATATTAACCTTAAATGTAAATGGGCTAAATGCTCCAATTAAAAGACACAGACTGGCAAATTGGATAAAGAGTCAAGACCCATCAGTGTGCTGTATTGAGGAGACCCATCTCATGTGCAGCAACACACAAAGGCTCAAAATAAAGGGATGGAGGAAGTTCTGCCAAGCAAATGGAAAGCAAAAAAAAGGCAGGGGTTGCAATCCTAGTCTCTGAAAAAACAGACTTCAAACCAACAAAGATCAAAAGATACAAAGAAGACCATTACAACAATGGTAAAGGGATCAATTCAACAAGAAGAGCTAACTATTCTAAACATATATGCACCCAATACAGGAGCACCCAGATTCATAAAGCAAGTCCTTAGAGACCTACAAAGAGACTTAGACTCCCACACAATAATGGGAGACTTTAACACCCCACTGTCAATATTAGATGTATCAATGAGACAGAAGGTTAACAAGGATATCCAGGACTTAAACTCAGCTCTGCACCACGCAGACCTAATAGACATCTACAGAACTCTCCACCCCAAATCAATAGAATATACATTCTTCTCAGGACCACATCATATTTATTCCAAAATTGACCACATAGTTGGAAGTGAAGCACCCCTTAGCAAATGTAAAAGAACAGAAATTACCACAAATTGTCTCTCAGACCACAGTGCAATCAAATTAGAGCTCAGGATTAAGAAACTCACTCAAAACTGCACAACTACATGGAAATTGAACAACCTGTTCCTGAATGACTACTGGGTACATAACGAAATGAAGGCAGAAATAAAGATGTTCTTTGAAACCAGTGAGAACAAAGACACAACATACCAGAATCTCTGGGACACATTTAAAGGAGGGTGTAGAGGGAAATTTATAGCACTAAATGCCCACAAGAGAAACCAGGAAAGATCTAAAATCAATCTCCTAACATCACAATTAAAAGAACTAGAGAAGCAAGAGCAAACACATTCAAAAGCTAGCAGAAGGCAAGAAATAACTAAGATCAGAGCAGAACTGAAGGAGATAGAGACACAAAAACCCCTTCAAAAAATCAAGGAATCCAGGAGCTGGTTTTTTGAAAAGATCAACAAAATTGATAGACCACTAGCAAGACTAATAAAGAAGAAAAGAGAGAAGAATCAAATAGACGCAATAAAAAATGATAAAGGGGATATCACCGCTGATCCCACAGAAATACAAACTACCGTCAGAGAATACTATACACATCTCTATGCAAATAAATTACAAAACCTAGAAGACATGGATAAATTCCTGGAGACATACACCCTCCCACGACTAAACCAGAAAGAAGTTGAATCACTGAATAGACCCATAACAGGTTCTGAAATTGAGGCAATAATTACTGGCCTACCAACCAAAAAGAGTCCACAACCAGACAGATTCACAGCCGAATTCTACCAGAGGTACAAAGAGGAGCTGGTACTGTTCCTTCTGAAACTATTCCAATCAATACAAAAAAGAGGGAATCCTCCCTAACTGATTTTATGAGGCCAGCATCATCCTGATACCAAAGCCTGGCAGAGACACAATAAAAAAAGAGAATTTTAGACCAACATCCCTGATGAACATCGATGCGAAAATCCTCAATAATATACTGGCAAACCGAATCCAGCAGCACATCAAAAAGCTTATCCACCAAGATGAAGTTGGCTTCATTCCTGGAATGCAAGGCTGGTTGAACATATGCAAATCAATAAACTTAATCCATCACATAAACAGAACCAATGACAAAAACCACATGATTATCTCAATAGATGCAGAAAAGGCCTTCAACAAAATTCAAGAACTCTTCATGCTAAAAACTCTCAATAAATTAGGTATTGATGGAACATATCTCAAAATAATAAGAGCTATTTATGACAAACCCACAGCCAATATCATACTGAATGGGCAAAACTGGAAGCATTCCCTTTGAAAACTGGCACAAGACAGGGGTGCCCTCTCTCACCACCCCTATTCAACATAGTGTTGGAAGTTCTGGCCAGGACCATCAGGCAAGAGAAAAAAAGAAAGTGTATTCAGTTAGGAAAAGATGAAGTCAAATTGTCCCTGTTTGCAGTTGACATGATTTTATATTTAGAAAACACCATCATCTCAGCCCAAAATTTCCTTAAGCTGATAAGTAACTTCAGCAAAGTCTCAGGATACAAAATCAATGTGCAAAAATCACAAGCATTCTTATACACCAATAACAGACAAACAGAGAGGCAAATCATGAATGAACTCCCATTCACAATTGCTACAAAGAGAATAAAATACCTAGGAATCCAACTTACAAGGGATGTGAAGGACCTCTTCAAGGAGAACTACAAACCACTGCTCAATGAAATAAAAGAGGACACAAACAAATGGAAGAGCATTCCATGCTCATGGATAGGAAAAATCAATATCGTGAAAATGGCCATACTGCCCAAGGTGTAATTTATAGATTCAATGCCATCCCCATCAAGCTACCAATGACTTTCTTCACAGAATTAGAAAAAGCTACTTTAAAGTTCATATGGAACCAAAAAAGAGCCCATATTGCCAAGACAATACTTAGCAAAAAGAACAAAGCTGGAGACATCATACTACCTGACTTCAAACTATACTACAAGGCTACAGTAAACAAAACAGCATGGTACTGGTACCAAAACAGAGATATAGATCAATGGAACAGAACAGAGGCCTCAGAAATAACACCACACATCTACACCATCTGATCTTTGCCAAACCTGACAAAAGCAAGAAATGGGGAAAGGATTCCCTATTTAAAAATAAATGGTGCTGGGAAAACTGCCTAGCCATATGTAGAAAGCTGAAACTGGATCCCTTCCTTGCACCTTATACAAAATTTAATTCAAGATGGATTAAAGACTTAAATATTAGACCTAAAACCATAAAAACCTTAGAAGAAAACCTAGGCAATACCATTCAGAACATAGGCACGGGTAAGGACTTCATGACTAAAACACCAAAAGCAATGGCAACAGAAGCCAAAATTGACAAATGGGATCTAATTAAACTAAAGAGCTTCTGCACAGCAAAAGAAACTACCATCAGAGTGAACAGGCCACCTACAGAATGGGAGAAAATTTTTGCAATCTACCCATCTAACAAGGGCTAATATCCAGAATCTACAAAGAACATAAACAAATTTACAAGAAAAAAATCAGACACTCCATCAAAAAGTGGGCAAAGGATATGAACAGACACTTCTCAAAAGAAGACATTTATGCAGCCAAAAGACACATGAAAAAAAGCTCATCATCACTGGTCATCAGAGAAATGCAAATCAAAACCACAATGAGATACCATCTCACACCAGTTAGAATGGCGATCATTAAAAAGTCAGGAAACAACAGGTGCTGGAGAGGATGTGGAGAAATAGGAACACTTTTACACTGTTGGTGGGAGTGTAAACTAGTTCAACCATTGTGAAAGACAGTGTGGTGATTCCTCAAGGATCTAGAACTAGAAATACCATTTGACCCAGCCATCTCATTACTGGGTATATACCCAAAGGATTATAAATCATGCTACTATAAAGACACATGCACATGTATGTTTATTGCGGCACTATTCACAGTAGCAAAGACTTGGAACCAACACAAATGTCCATCAGTGATAGACTGGATTAAGAAAATGTGGCATATATACACCATGGAATACTATGCAGCTTTAAACAAGGATAAGTTAATGTCCTTTGTATGGACATAGATGAAGCTGGCAACCATCATTCTGCGCAAACTATCACAAGGACAGAAAACCAAACACCACTTGTTCTCACTCATAGGTGGGAATTGAACTATGAGAACACTTGGACACAGGGTGGGGAACATCACACACCAGGGCCTGTCATAGATGGGGAGATGGGGGAGGGATAGCATTAGGAGAAATACCTAATGTAAATGACAAGTTACTGGGTGCAGCAAATCAACATGGCACATGTATACATATGTAACAAACCTGAACTTTGTGCACATGTACCCTAGAACTTAAAATATAATAAAAAAAGAAAAAAATCCATTTGTGTAATAATAAAATTATTGTACTATGTTTTTTCAGCTCTATTAGCTCAGTTTGGTTCTTTCTTAAAATGCCTATTTTATCTTTCATCTCTTGAATCATTTTACTGAATTCCTTTGATTCCTTGGAATGAGTTTCAACTTTCTCCTGAATCTCGATATTTGATAACATCCAGGTTTTGAATTCCGTGTCTGTCATCTCAGCCATTTCTTTCTGTCATCTCAGCCATTTCTTTCTAGTTAAGAACCATTGCTGGGGAGTTAGCATGGTCATTTGGATGTAGCGAGACACTCTGGCTTCTAGAATTGCCAGAGTTCTTGCGTTGGTTCTTTCTCATCTTGTGTGGGCTGATGTTCTTTTAACTGTGGAGTAGTGTAGTCAATTGGCTTTGTTTCTGGATGTTTTCAGAGGGCTGAGGCTTTGGGCAGGCTTTTTATTTGTGGCAGGATTCTTGTCCTTGATTTCACAGGGAGTTATATTAAGAAAGTATATTTGGTGTTGAAGTTAGGGCTGCGTTCCAGTAATGACACTTAAGCATAATGGCCAGTAGGTAGGCTCTTGCTCAGCCATGTGGCTCCTATATATTTCCTCACATCTGCAGCTGTGCTCCTTCTCAGTGCTCTGAGCATGTGGGCTTCTGTCCCACTCAGGTGCTGGCTGTAGATCTCAGCTTGGCACTCCTGGGCTGCACACTACAATCCTGGAGTGAGCTCAGGCTTTTTGTTACCTCCCCATCTTGGGGACAGCAGTGATGGGGACGTTGGCAGTGGCAATGGCAAAGGACTTTTAACTGGTCTCTGGGGCTTCATCCTACAGAATTGCATAGCTGCTGCCAATCAGAATGATCAGCCCAAGGTGGGGTGGTTGTGTTGCAGGTCCAAGCCTGGGGGCCCTGCCTGGGGACACGTGGTGGGGTGGGGAGCTTGTGGGAAAGGCCGTCTGGCCTTTTCTCTATAGGGTGGCTATGGTGTGCTGGAAGTGCAAGTAAAGCACTCAGGCTCTTTGTTCCTTCCCCAGCCTGGTGGCAGCAAGGGTGGGTATTGCTGCAGTGGCAGAGGGCATGTCTGTTGCCTCTGGCAACTCCACCACAGAGAGACATAGAGCCGGTGCCTATGGAAGCATTCAGCAGGGGATGGGGTGGCTGCATTGTGGATGCTAGCCAAGGCCATATCTGGTGAAGAGCAGGGAATTGGGAGCTCACAGGGAAGAGAGACTGGGCTCCTTTTCATCTAGCCATTGTGCCATGTTAGAGTTGCCAGCAAAATGATCAGGGTCTTTGTTTCTTTCCCAGCCAGAGGACAGCAAGGGCAGTTCCACTGCAGCTGCAATGGCAGAGAGCCTGTGGATTGTCTCTGGGATTTCCTCCCTACAGAAATGCAGAGCCGCCACTGACTGAAGTGCTCAGGTGGGGGCAGGGCGGCTGTGCTGGAGACCCAGGTCGGGAAAACCTGCCCAGTGATGAGTAGCAGAGGCAGGGACGTGCATGGAAAACAGTCTGGGCACATTTCTGTAAGGCAGTTGCAGTGTTCTCAAGGCCCGTGATAGTCCTTAGGCTTCTTGCTTCCTCCCAGCCTGAGGGCAGTAGAGGTGGGAGCTACAGCAGTGGCAAAAATGGTGGGCATGTCCATTACCTCTGGGAGCTCCAGCCCAGATAATACAGAGCTGCCACTGGTCCGAGTGCTGTGGTGGGGAGTGGGGTGGCTTCACTGGGGTCCCAGGTCAGTGGGCTTTATTTGGCAAGGTATAGTGGATGCTATGCCTGCAGTCTGTTCACCCCTCAGCATCATTGGTACAGCCCCTATCCTGAGGGCATGCAAGAGAGCCAGGCCTCCCTTGTTGGCAGAGCTACAG
The DNA here is from genome assembly GCF_000001405.40 of Homo sapiens. Taxonomy (NCBI): domain Eukaryota; kingdom Metazoa; phylum Chordata; class Mammalia; order Primates; family Hominidae; genus Homo; species Homo sapiens. Next base: position 46,984,001 of record NC_000001.11, read on the forward strand.
CAGCTGGTGCAGGAGTGCTCAGGAGTACAAGGCCCTTGGGGCTCCATGTGGGCCTGAGCAGCAGCTCTGCCGAGCAGCTCTGGTGTCAGTCTGGAGGCCCAGGGGAGAGAAAGTTGGTGGGGGAGGGCGGGGAGGGTGTGTGGAATTTCCTGAGCCCAGGTTTGCAAACGTCTAAGGCAGAAATGTGAGTCCTGGGGGCTCTTGCTCACTCACTGTTTCCCCAGTGGGGAGTCTCCCTTGCACCAATCCCCAGTGAGCAGTTGTCTTGTCTCACTCTTCTCTCTGTGGGTTGCATTTCTTCTTGATGAATCCCAATGTGTCCTCTGGGATGATCCCACTGAAGAACTAGTGTTTAACTCCTCCCTGCTCTGCCTTTAAAAAAAAAAAAAAAAAAAAAAAAACCAGGAGAGGCTGGCAAGATGACTGAATAGGAAGAGCTCTGTCCTGCAGCTCCCTGGGAGATCAATGCAGAATGTGGGTGGTTTCTGCATTTCCAACTGAGATACCTGGCTCATCTCACTGGGACTAGTTAGACAGTGGGTGCAGCCCACAGAAGGCAAGCTGAAGCAGGATGGGGTGTCATCTCACCTGGGAAGCGCAAGGGGTCAGGGAACTCCCTCCCCTAGCCAAGGGAAGCCATGGGGGGCTGTGCCTTGAGGAACAGTGCATTCCAGCCCAGATACTACGCTTTTCCCACGGTCTTCGCAACCTACAGACCAGGAGATTCCCTGGGGTGCCTATGCCACCAGGACCCTGGGTTTCAAGCACAAAAGTGGGTGGACATTTGGACAGACATGAAGATAGCTGCAGGAGTTTTTTTCATACCCCAGTGATGCCTGAAATGCCAGTGAGACAGAATTGTTCACTCCCCTGGAAAGGGGGCTAAAGCCAGAGAGCCAAGTGGTCTAGGTCAGTGGATCCCACCCCCACGGAGCCCAGCAAGCTGAGATCCACTGACTTGAAATTCTCGCTGCCAGCACAGGAGTCTGAGGTCAACCTGGGATGCTCAAGCTTGGTGGGGAGAGGCGTATCTGCCATTACTAAGGCTTGAGTAGGTGGTTTTCCCCTCACAGTGTAAACTAAGCAGCAGGGAAGTTCCAACTGGGCAGAGCCCTCCACAGCTCAGCAAAGCCACTGTAGCCAGACTGCCTCTCTAGATTCCTCCTCTTTGGCCAGGGCATCTCTGAAAAAAAGGCAGCAGCCTGTAGTCCCAGCTACTCGGGAAGCTGAGGCAGGAGAATGGCATAAACCTGGGAGGCAGAGCTTGCAGTGAGCCGAGATCATGCCACTGCACTCCAGCCTGGGTGACAGAGCAAGAGTCTATCTCAAAAAAAATAAATAGATAAAAAAGGCAGCAGCCCCAGTAAGGGGCTTATAGGTAAAACCCCCATCTCCCTGGGAGAAAGCACCTGGGGGAAGGGGTGGCTGTGGGCACAGCTTCAGCAGACATAAACGTCCCTGCCTCCTGGCTCTGAAGAGAGCAGTGGATCTCCCAGCACAGCGTTCGAGCTCTGCTAAGGGTTAGACTGCCTCCTCAACTGGGTCCCTGATCCCCATGTCTCCTGATTGGGAGACATCTCCCAGCAGAGGCTGACAGACACTTCATACAGGAGAGCTCCGGCTGGCATCTGGTGGGTGCCCCTCTGGGATGAAGCTTCCAGAGGAAGAAACAGGGCCATCAATCTTTGCTGTTCTGCAGCCCCCACTGGTGATACCCAGGCAAACAGGGTCTGGAGTGGACCCCCAGCAAACTCCAGCAGACCTGCAGCAGAGACGCTTTACTGTTAGAAGGAAAACAAATAAACAGAAAGGAAGAGCATCAACATCAAAAAGGATGTTGTCCACACAGAAACTCCATCCGAAGATCACCAACATCAAAGACTAAAGGTAGATAAGTCCATGAAGATAGGGAGAAACCAGCACAAAAAGGCTGGAAATTCCAAAAATCAGAATGCCTCTTCCCCTCCAAATGATCACAACTCCTCACCAGCAAGGGAACAAAACTGGATGGAGAATGAGCTTGATGAATTGAGAGAAGCAGGCTTCAGGAGGTGGGTAATAACAAACTCCTCCGAGCTAAAGGAGCTTGTTCTAACCCAATGCAAGAAAGTCAAGAACCTTGAAAAAAGGTTAGATGAATTGCTAACTAGAATAACCAGTTTAGAGAAGAATGTAAATGACCTGATGGAGCTGAAAAACAGCAAAAGAACTTCATGAAGCATATACAAGTATCAATAGTTGAATCAATCAAATGAAAGAAAAGATATCAGAGACTGAAGATCAATCTCTTAAAAATCTCTTAATGAAATAAAGCGTGAAGACAAGATTAGAGAAAAAAGAATGAAAAGAAATGAGCAAAGTGTCCAAGAGATATCAGACTATGTGAAAAGACCAAACCTATGTTTGATTGGTGTACCTGAAAGTGACAGAGAGAATGGAACCCAGCTGGAAAACACTCTTCAGGATATTATCCAGGAGAACTTCCCCAACCTAGCAAGACAGGCTAACATTAAAATTCAGAAAAAACAGAGAACACCACAAAGATACTCCTCGAGAAGAGCACCCCCAAGACATATAATTGTCAGACTCACCAAGGTTGAAATGAAGGAAAAAATGTTAAGGGCAGCTAGAGAGAAAGGTCGGGTTACCCACAAAGGGAAACCCAACAGACTAACAGTGGATCTCTCTGCAGAAATCCTACAAGCTAGAAGAAAGTGGGGGCCAATATTCAACATTCTTAAAGAAAAGAATTTCTTTTCTTTCATCTCCAACCAAGCTAAGCTTCATAAGTGAAGGAGAAATAAAATTATTTACAGACAAGCAAATGCTGAGAGATTTTGTCACCACCAGGCCTGCCTGACAAGAGCTCCTAAAGGAAGCACTAAACATGGAAAAAAAAACCAGTACCAGCCACTGCAAAAATATACCAAATTGTAAAGACAATTGATACTATGAAGAAACTGCATCAACTAATGAGCAAAATAACCAGCTAGCATCATAATGAAAAGATCAAATTCACACTAACAATATTAATCTTAAATGTAAATGGGCTAAATGCCCAATCAAAAGACACAGACTGGCAAATTGGATAAAGAGTCAAGATCCATTGGTGTGCTGTATTCAGGAGACCCATCATACATGCAAAGACACACGTAGGCTCAAAATAAATAAAGGGATGGAGGAATATTTACCAAGCAAATGGAAAGAAAAAATAAAAAGCAGGGGTCACAATCCTAGTCTCTGATAAAACAGACTTTAAACCAACAAAGATCAAAAGATACAAAGAAAGGCATTACATAATGGCAAAGGGATCAATGCATTAAGAAGAGTTAACTATCCTAAATATATATGCACCCAATACAGGAGCACCCAGATTCATAAAGCAAGTTCTTAGAGACCTATAAAGAGACTTAGACTCCCATACAATAATAGTGAGAGACTTTAACACCCCACCATCAATATTAGACAGATCAACTAGACAGAAAATTAGCAAGGATATTCAGGACTTGAACTCAGCTCTGCACCAAGCAGACCTAATAGACATCGACAGAACTCTCCACTCCAAATCAGCAGAATATACATTCTTCTCAGCACCACATTGCACTTATTCTAAAATTGACCACATAATTGGAAATAAAACACTCCTCAGCAAATGCAAAAGAACAGAAATCATAACAAACAGTCTCTCAGACCACAGTGCAATCAAATTAGACCTCAGGATTAAGAATCTCACTCAAAACCACATAACTACATGGAAATTGAAAAAACTGCTCCTGAATGACTACTGGGTACATAACAAAATTGAGGCAGAAACAAAAAAGCTCTTTCAAACCAAGGAGAACAAACACAAAACATACCAGAATCACTGGGACACAGCTAAAGCAATGTTCAGAGGGAAATTTATAGCACTAAATGCCCACAAGAGAAAGTAGAAAAGATCTAAAATTGACACTCTAACTTCACAATTAAAAGAACTAGAGAAGCAAGAGCAAACATACTCAAAAGCTAGCAGAAGGCAAGAAATAACTAAGATCAGAGCAGAACTGAAGGAGATAAGAGACATAAAAAACCCCTTCAAAAATTGATGAATCCAGGAGCTGGGTTTTTGAAAAGATCAACAAAATATGTAGACCACTAGCCAGACTAATAAAGAAGAAAAGAGAGAAGAATCAAATAGATGCAATAAAAAATGATAAAGGAGATATCACCACTGATCCCACAGAAATACAAACTACCATCAGAAAGTACTATAAACACCTCTACACAAATAAACTAGAAAATATAGAAAAAATAGATAAATTCCTGGACACATACCCCCTCCCAAGTCTAAACCAGGAAGAAGTCAAATACCTGAATGGACCAATAACAGGTTCTGAAATTGAGGCAGTAATTAATAGCCTACCAATAAAAAAAGTCCAGGACAAGATGGATTCACAGCCAAATTCTACCAGAGGTACAAACAGGAATGGTACCATTCCTTCTGAAACTATTGCAAGCAATAGAAAAAGAGAGACTCCTTGCTAAGTCTTTTTATGAGGCCAGTATCATCGTAATACCAAAACCTGGCAGAGACATAACAAAAAAAGAAAATTTCAGGCCAATATCCCTGAGGAACATCGATGGGAAAATCCTCAATAAAATACTGGCAAACCGAATCCAGCAGCACATCAAAAAGCTTATCCACCATGATCAATTTGGCTTCCTCCCTGAGATGCAAGGTTGGTTTAACATATGCAAATCAATAAATATAATGCATCACATAAACAGAACCAATGACAGAAACCGCATGATTATTTATCTCAATAGATTATCTCAACAGATGCAGAAAAAGGCCTTCAATAAAATTTGACACCCCTTCATGCTAAAAACTCTCAGTAAACTAGGTATTAATGGAACATATCTCAAAATAAGAGCTGTTTATGACAAATCCACGCCAATATCATACTAAACGGGCAAAAGCTGGAAGCATTCCCTTGGAAAACAGGCACAAGACAAGGATGCCCTCTCTCACCACTCCTATTCAACATAGTATTGGCAGTTCTGGCCAGAGCAATCATGCAAAAGAAAGAAATAAAAGGTATTCAAGCAGGAAGAGAGGAAGTCAAATTGTCTCTGTTTGCAGATGACATGATTGTATATTTAGAAAACCCCATCATCTCAGTCCAAAATCTCCTTAAGCTGATAAGAAACTTCAGCAAAGTCTCAGGATACAAAATCAAAGTGCAAAAATCACAAGCATTCCTACACAACAATAATCGACAAACAGAGAGCCAAATCATGAGTGAACACACATTCACAATTGCCACAGAGAGAATAAAATACCTAGGAATACCAATTTACAAGGGATGTGAAGGACCTCTTCAAGGAGAACTACAAACCACTGCTCAACAAAATAAGAGACAACACAAACAAATGGAAGAACATTCCATACTCATGGATAGGAAGAATCAATATCATGAAAATGGACATACTGCCCAAAGTAATTTATAGATTCAATACTATCCCCATCAAGCTACCATTGACTTTCTTCACAGAATTAGAAAAAGCTACTTTAAATTTCATATGGAACCAAAAAAGAGCCCACATAGACAAGACAATCATAAGCAAAAAGAGCAAAGCTGGAGGCATCACACTATTTGACTTCAAACTGTACTACAAGGCTACAGTAACCAAAACAGCATAGTACTGGTACCAAAACAGATATATAGACCAATGGAACAGAATAGAGACCTCAGAAATAACACCACATATCTACAACCCATCTGATCTTTGACAAACCTGACAAAAACAAGAAATGGGGAAAGGATTCCCTTAATAAATGGTGCTGGGAAAACTGGCTAGCCATATGCAGAAAGCTGAAACTGGATCCCTTCCTTACACTTTATACAAAAATTAATGCAAGATGGATTAAAGACTTAAATGTAAAACCCCAAACCATAAAAACTCTAGAAGAAAACCTAGGCAATAGCTTTCAGGATATAGGCATGGGCAAAGGCCTCATGACTAAAACACCAAAAGCAATGGCAACAAAAGCCAAAAGTGACAAATGGAATCTAGTTAAACTAAAGAGCTTCTGCACAGCAAAAGAAACTATCATCAGAGTGAACAAGCATCCTACAGAATGGGAGAAAATTTTTGCAATCTGTCCATCTGACAAAGGGCCAATATCCAGAATCTACAAAGAACATAAACAAATTTACAAGAAAAAAACAAACAACCCCACCAAAAAGTGGGTGAAGGATATGAACAGACATTTGTCAAAAGAAGACATTTATGCAGCCAACAAACATATGAAAAAAAGCTCATCATCAGTGGCCCTTAGAGAAATGCAAATCAAAACCACAATGAGATACCATCTCAAGCCAGTTAGAATGGCGATCATTAAAAAGGCAGGAAGCAACAGATACTGGAGACGATGCAGAGAAATAGGAACGCTTTTACATTGTTGATGGGACTGTAAATTAGTTCAACCATTGTGGAAGACAATGTGGTGATTCCTCAGGGATCTAGAACTAGAAATACCATTTGACCCAGCAATCCGATTACTGGGTATATACCCAAAGGATTATAAATCATTCTACTATAAAGACACATGCACATGTATGTTTATTGTGGCACTGTTCACAATAGCAAAGACTTAGGACCAACCCAAATGCCCATCAATGATAGACTGGATAAAGAAGATGTGGCACATATATACCATGGAATACTATGCAGCCATAAAAAAGGATGAGTTCATGTCCTTCCCAGGGACATGGATGAAGCTGGAAACCATCTTCCTCAGCAAACTAACACAAGAACAGAAAACCAAACATCGCATGTTCTCACTCATAAGTGGGAGTTGAACAATGAGAACACATGGACACAGGGAGGGGAACATCACACACTGGGGCCTGTTGGGGGCGGGGGGTTAGGAGAGGGATAGCATTAGGAGAAATACCTAATGTAGATGATGGGTTGATGGGTGCAGCAAACCACCACGGCACATGTATACCTATGTAACAAACCTGCACGTTCTGCACATGTATCCCAGAACTTAAAAAAAAAAAAAAAGAGTCAGGAGAGGCATCCCGTTAGTGGATCTGCTAATTGCACCTCAATCAGCACTGGATTCACAGAAATGTTCCCCCTCTTGCTCCCAGAAGCAACCTTCCAGACTGCTTTTAATGCGTTCTCTCAAGGTTCAAAGAAGCCCTACACTTCAAAGAAGGCCTCATTTCTGTTAACTTATTGCCACCTACTGGCCTACGTTAAATTTTATCAAGAAACGAGAGCCTGGATTTTAATGACCAGTTGACATCATGGATTTGTAGTTTTCCAGGGAGGCTTAGCAGGGCTGTCACAAGGGGCCTCATTAATTCTCCACAGTAAGCCCCAGACGGCTGAATATTTAGCTTGTTCTTACAGGCTTTTCAAAGGGAATTCCACGCTTACCTCCCCTAGCTCATTCCTACAACTTAGCATCTCTCACTGGGCAGAAGTCCTATCCCAGAGCTAATCCCAGTTCCTCCTGCTGCAGTTAAAGCACCCTTGTTTGATTATCATCCATGGAGCTGTATACACTTAGTGGCCATCATCTGACCTCTGTATTTTCTACCTCAGAAGCCTCCACTGGGAGGGGTAGGTGAAAATCCACTTAAGGCAGAGGACACAGATGCGTTCCAAGAGGCTTGGGCTTCCCCCATGTGAGGGCCAAAGCAAGCGCAGAGCAAACTTAAAGCAGCCTCGGGAGTGACAGGAGGACAAGCCTGTTGGAAAGGAATACGCTGGCCGGCGACTCGGAGGGCACACCTCTCAGCACATTAGAGGCATTGTGATGCGTGGGAAGGAGGAGGCTTTGGAGTCTTATAGATCTGATTCTCCTCTGCAAAATAGAGACAATAATCTTAATCTTAATAAAGAGTTGGGAAAATGAAATGAGCTGGCTTTACAAAGTGCCTGGTATGAAACAGATCCCACTCAACAGACGTTATCATCCGCTCCTCTCCCCACTCCCAGGACTGTCATTAAGAAAACTCAATTCAGGCCAGGCATGGTGGCTAACGCTTGTAGTCCCAGCACTTTGGGAAGCCATGGTGGGCAGATCACCTGAGATCAGAAGTTCAAGATCAGCCTGGTCAACATGGTGAAACCCTGTCTCTACTAAAAATTTTTTAAAAAATTAAATTAGCTGAGTGCGAAGGCACACGCCTGTAATCTCAGCTACTTGGGAGGCTGAGGCACGAGAATCACTTGAACCCGGGAGGCAGAGGTTGAAGAATATAAAAATAGACACTTTAACCAATTTAAATTGTACAGTTCAATGGCTTTAATGAAATTCATGATGATTTAGAAACCTCATTACTACCTATTTCCAAAACATTTTCTTCACTCCAACAGAAACTCTGTAACCATTAAGCAATACTTCCCCAGTCTGACTTCCCCCAGTCCCTGGTTATTTCTAATCAACTTTCTGGATCTATGAATTTGCCTATTCCTCTACCTATAAGCGGACTTATTACAGTATTTGTCTTTTTATGTCTGGCTATTTTCACTTAGCATACTGTTCTCAAGGTCATTCCTGCTGTTGTATGAATCAGAACTTCACTCCTGTTTGTGATGAAATAATATTGTATGTATATAGGACATTCTGTGTACCCATTTGTCTGTTAATGGACACTTGAGTTCTTTCAATCTTACATCTGTTGTGAATAATGGTGCCATGAACATTGGCTCACAAGTATCTGTTCAAATCCCTGTTTTCAATTCTTTTGGTTATATAGCCAGGTGTGAATTTCTGGATCCTATGGCACTTGTGATTTTCTTTTTCAGGAACCACAGATCTGTTTTCCAAATTGATATGCCAATTTATATTCACCAGCAATTTGTAAGAGTTCCAATTTTCCCACATTCTGTTAAATATTTGTGATTTTCCACTAAAAATAATTATAGACTTCCTTTTTTTATTACACTTTAAGTTTTAGGGTACATGTGCACAACGTGCAGGTTAGTTACATATGCATACATGTGCCATGTTGGTGTGCTGCACCCATTAACTCGTCATTTAACATTGGGTATATCTCCAAATGCTATCCCTCCCCCCTCCCCCCACCCCACAACAGGTCCCGGTGTGTGATGTTCCCCTTCCTGTGTCCATGTGTTCTCATTGTTCAATTCCCACCTATGAGTGAGAACATGCGGTGTTTGGTTTTTTGTCCTTGTGATAGTTTGCTGAGAATGATGGTTTCCAGCTTCATCCATGTCCCTACAAAGGACATGAACTCATCCTTTTTTATGGCTGCATAGTATTCCATGGTGTAGATGTGCCACATTTTCTTAATCCAGTCTATCATTGTTGGACATTTAGGTTGGTTCCAAGTCTTTGCTATTATGAATAGTGCCACAATAAACATACATATGCATGTGTCTTTATAGCAGCATGATTTATAATCCTTTGGGTATATACCCAGTAATGGGATGGCTGCGTCAAATGGTATTTCTAGTTCTAGATCCCTGAGGAATCACCACACTGACTTACACAATGGTTGAAATAGTTTACAGTCCCACCAACAGTGTAAAAGTGTTCCTAGTTCTCCACATCCTTTCCAGCACCTGTTGTTTCCTGACTTTTTAATGATTGCCATTCTAACTGGTGTGAGATGGTATCTCATTGCGGTTTTGATTTGCATTTCTCTGATGGCCAGTGATGAGCATTTTTTCGTGTGTCTTTTGGCTGCATAAATGTCTTCTTTTGAGAAGTGTCTGTTCATATCCTTTGCCCACTTTTTGATGGGGTTGTTTGTTTTTTTCTTGTAAATTTGTTTGAGTTCTTTGTAGATTCTGGATATTAGCCCTTTGTCAGATGAGTAGATTGCAAAAATTTTCTCCCATTCTCTAGGTGGCCTATTCACTCTGATGGTAGTTTCTTTTGCTGTGCAGAAGCTCTTTAGTTTAATTAGATCCCATTTGTCAATTTTGGCTTTTGTTGCCATTGCTTTTCGTGTTTTAGACATGAAGTCCTTGCCCATGCCTATGTCCTGAATGGTATTGCCTAGGTTTTCTTCTGGGGTTTTTATGGTTTCAGGTCTAACATTTAAGTCTTTAATCCACCTTGAATTAATTTTTGTATCAGGTGTAAGGAAGGGATCCAGTTTCAGCTTTCTACATATGGCTAGCCAGTTTTCCCAGCACCATTTATTAAATAGGGAATCCTTTCCCCATTTCTTGTTTTTGTCAGGTTTGTCAAAGATCAGATGGTTGTAGATGTATGGTATTATTTCTGAGGGCTCTATTCTGTTCCATTGGTCTATATATCTGTTTTGGTACCAGTACCATGCTGTTTTGATTACTGTAGCCTTGTAGTATACTTTATGCCCACCATTCCCTTAGTGCTGGCAGTGCCTGTGCAGTTAGGGCTGGGCTGCCTTCAATAGTAACAGAAGCAGGCTCAGCAGTGAGGCTCCTTGGAGGAGCCCTGAGACACCATCTGGGAGTCTGTTGGGGTTCAGCACAGAGACACTCATGCCGCAGCACCTGCTGGATCACTGAGTGCCCCTGTCAGTCCCTGACTGCCCCTGACTATCCCTGACCACCTCTGACAAGTCCTGTGAGATCCCCTGTCTACTTGTGGGGAAGGTAAAGTGGGAAGGAAGATCTTGGACCCCAGTGTCCAGAATTGATTGATTGTGCAGGATCCACCTGGGGAAATAGCAAGAGGAAAGCTTCGTGAGCTGTCCATAGTAATGGCCATGCACACACCCACATTCCCCTGTCCATATCACTCAAAAATATTCAACAAACACCTACTATGTGCCAGGCAGTATGCCAGATGGGGGGCACAGCTGTATAGAAACAGAAATGAACTGTGACTTTAGGAATTTATAGTCTAATTTACTGAATGTTCAAAACATGTGGCTGCTTTTATTATTACCTGGATTTCAGTAATGAGAAAATGATTACAGAGGAGTAGAAACTTCTGTTAAAAATAAAACACCCACTGAGAGTCAAAGATGGATTAGACTCTTTCTCTACTCCAATACTCCCTGTCCCAGGTGCCTCTGAAATATTACCTGGGGCTGGCCCTGTCCACCCTTCAGTCATCGCCCAAGGTGATGGTGCTGGTGGATGGAGCACTGGACTTGGACTCAGGAGCCTCAAGCCTCAGGCTCACTATATATGTTGATAGAAACTTAAAGTCTCTGAGCCTCAATTTTTTCTGTTGTAAGGTGGGAGCATAATCTTTATGCTACGTACCTAATAGATTTAAGTCATTCTTTCATTCAGCAAATGTTTCTTGAGCTCATAATTTAGAGGCTAAAGGCAGAAAACTAAAACTGTTCAATAAAATATCATAAGGCTTTACTAGGGAAGTGAAATATCCATCCAGGAAAGGAAAAATCTAAAAAGGAAGAATGAGGTCTTGAAGAGTAATAGGAGTTAACCGGGTAGAGAGTCCTAGGTAGAGGGACAAGCACCGAGAAAATCATGGAGATCACAGATAGAGGAGCAAGGGATGGGACATTTTATCTTCAAGTTCTGCACTCTCACTTTTTTCATGATTTATTTTCTCTAAGATCAAATTCAATGTCCAGAGTTCAGAGAGTAAGACACAACAGATATTTCTTGAAAAATTCCTCGGAAGTTTTAGAAGCCAGCTCTCACTGGGATCACAAGTTTCCTCCTGACCTGCTCTTTCACCCACCTTAAGTCTTACTCCCATCACTTTCCCCTTTGTGCCCCTGCCTTGTGACAAGAAATTCATTATAAAACTCATAGGGCCAGAGTTCTTTTCATTCTCCTCTAAGTCCTGGATGCCATCCAAAACCAACGGCAGAAGGCCATGCAACAACGTACACCCCATTTCAGCTGCCTTTCGTTTAGTTCTGTTGCTCCTTTTCCTCACTACATCATCCGGACACTGACACTTTTCATGCTGGGCTCAGCACCTGGTTTTTATTCACCCCCTGAGATACAGCAGCAGAAAGAGGTGTAGAGTCATAGTGCCTGTCTGTGAAACCTGGTTTTGGCTGTTTCTGTCTTTGGGTACTCATTTCTTAAAACAGTTGAGTTCATAATGTGGTAATATACAACATGTAGCGGGCACTGGCTATGTTCTAGGCATTGAACAAACAACTTTACATACTTTCTATCACAACAACTCTACGAAACTGTTTCTTAAAAAGAAATCTGATATTGTACATATAGAAACTAAGGCATGAAGAGGGTAGCTGCAACACTAGTGTCCCCCTGTTGGTAAGAGGTACAGCCAGGATTCTAACCCAGGCAGTCTGGCTCAGGAGACTTTGCTGTTCACCATCCATGTAAAGGAGATAATGATTAGGTTGAGCATCCAGGCCAGGTGGCAGCTCCTAAACATTCCAGGTGACATTTCATGTTTGCCATGTTTCTTCCAGTGTTTCCAAGTAGCAGGATGAGGTGTCAGGTTATCAACTACACATATTGACATAAATGCAAGCAAGCCTCTCTATTCGGGGTGGTTTCTGTGTGAAAGTGAATGGCAAAACTTGGGGCTAGGAGTAACATAGTCATTGAAAATGATGTTTATGGAGAATGTTTAATGATATGAATAAGAGTATAACAAAGTAATAAAAGCAGAATATAGAACTGTATGTAGAGTATGAGCTTCCATCTTAGAAAATTGTCCTTGTGATTGTCAAGGTTTATCAACAACTAAATATCTTTCCAATTCATTTGTTACCCAGACACTTCCACCAGAAACTCTTGGAAGGTGGTAACTCAGCATCTATGTCTTTTGCTTCCCATGGTATGAAGCAGAGGCCTGTGCCTGTTTATGATGCCCAAGGAATACCTGCTGATTGGACAAACGAGGGAGAGTAGGAATGAGTCAGATTTTGGATGGGTTACATCACCATCCTGAAGAGACTCAGATCAGTTTTGGGTGCCACACTGTAAAAAGGAACTTGGTATTTTTGTTGCTGAAAGCTTCCTTGTTCAGCGTTTAGGCAAAACAAAGGCTGAGGGAGGCAGTTGATCCCCGTGGTGGCACTTTGAAGCAGTTTCTCCTGTGGGTAGATGAGCCCAGGCACTTGTTTTCTGGGGTTTGATAAAGTTGAGTTTGATGCTGATGCAATCTTACATATCTTGTTTATGTCTACTCCTTTACAAAAACTGAATAGCCCATGCAGAAGTATTTTTTTTGTAAATGTTAAAGTGATTTATTTACTAAGGAATTCATCTTTTTCCTGTGGAGTTTATTCAAAAGATATTTTAAAATTATAGATTCAGGAGGTACATGTACATGTTTGTTACATGGATATATTGTGTAACACCGGGGTTTGGACTTCTACTGAACCTATCACCAAGATAGTGAACATAGTACCCAATAGGTAGCTTTTCAACCCTTGCCCTCCTTGCTTTATCCCACTTTTGGAGCCTCCAGTGTCTATTGTTTCCATCTTTATGTTCATGTGTATCCACTGTTTAGCTCCCACTTACAAGTAATAACATGCATGCAGTATTTGATTTTCTGTCTGGGGAATTATTTCATTTAGGATAATGGCCTCCAGCTGCATCCATTTTGCTGTGAAGAACATGATTTCATTCTTTTTATGGCGTATATATACTGCATTTTCTTTATCCAGTCCACTGTTGATGGACTCTTAGGTTGATTCAATGCCTTTACTATTGTGAAGAGTGCTGCCGTAAACATACATGTGTCTTTTCGAGAAAATGATTTCTTTTCCTTTGGATAGATACCTAGCAGCGGGATTGTTGCGTTTAATGGTAGTTCTATTTCTAGTTCTTTGAGAAATTTCTATAATGTTTCCCATAGGGTTGGACTAATTTACATTACCTCTAACAGTGGATAAGTGTTCCCTTTTCTACGTATCTTTGCCAACATTTGATATTTTTAGACTCTGTGATATGGCCATTCTGACCAGCTTGAGATAGTATCTCTGTGGTTTTAATTTGCATTCCTCTGGTGATTATTGATGTTGAGCATTTTTTCATATTTTTGCTGGCCACTTTTATGTCCTTTTGAGAAGGGTCTGTTCATGTTCTTTGTCCATTTATCATTTTTTTTATTTTTGAAAGGAGGTGTTTTTTATTAAAAATAAGGAGCTAATACAGTTTTGATTTAGTATTATGCATAAAGTGAAGATTAGTGGTTTATTAGGTTTTTTTGTTTGTTTTTTGTAGGTTTTTCTGTTTGTTTGTTTTTTAGAAACCTAGTCTTGTTCTGTCATCCAGGTCACCCAGACTGGAGTGCAATGGTGTGATCATAGCTCACTGCAGCCTCGACATCCTGGACTCGAGTGATCCTCCTGCTCTAGCTTCCCAAGTAGCTGGAACTACAGGCGTGCACCATCACACCTGCTTAATTTTTTACTTTTTGTAGAGACAGGGTCTCCCTGTGTTGCCTAGGCTGGTCTCAAATTCCTGATTTGCCCATTTGTAAATAGAGTTATTAGTTTTTTCTTTTTGAGCTTTTTAAGTTTCCTATAGATTCTAAAAATTAGTCCTTTTTCACATGCATAGTTTGCAAATATTTTCTCCCCTCCTGTAGGTTGTCTGTTTACTCTGTTGATTTTTTCTTTTGCTGTGGAGAAGATCTTTAGTTTTATTAAGTCCAGTTTGTTTATTTCTGTTTTGGTTGCATTTGCTTATGAGATCTTAGTCATAAATTCTTTGTATTGGCCAGAAGAGTATTTCCTAAGTTTTCTTCTAGGATTTTTATACTTTCATGTCTCATATTTAAATCTTTAATCCATCTTGAGTGAATTTTTGTATATGGTGAGAAGTAGGAGTCCAGTTTTATTTTGTATATAGCTAGCCAGTTTTCCCAGTATCATTTATTGAATTGGGTATTCTTTCCCCATTATTTATTTTTGGTGCCTTTCTTGAAGATCTGGTTTGTATAGGTATGTGGCTTTATTTCTAGGCTCTCTATTCTGTCCCATTGATCTATGTGTCTATTTTTGTACAAGTACCATGTTGATTTGGTTACTATAGCCTTGTAGTAGAATTTTAAATTAGGTAATTTGATGCCTTGGGCTTGCTTTCTTTGTGTGTGTGTGTGTGTGTGTGTGTGTGTGTGTGTGTGTGTTTTGGTGCTGAGAACACTTTAGCTATTTGGCTTCTTTTTTCAGCTCCATATGAATTTTGGAGATTGTTTCAGTAAATTCAATACCAGCTCTTCTCTGTTCACCTGGTAGTATTTGGCTGTAACCCATCTGGCCCCAGACTTTTCTTGATAGGTAGACTTTTTATTACTGATTCAATTTTGTAACTTATAATTGACATATTCAAAATTTCAATGTCTTCCTGGTTCAATCTTGGGATTTTGTGTTTCCAGGAGTTTTCCCACTTCCACTAGGCTTTCTAGTTTGTGTGTATTGAGATGTTTATAGTAGTCGCTGAGGATCTTTTTTATTTCTGTGTTATCAGTTGTAATGTTACCTTTGTTATTTCTGATTGTTCTTATTTCAATCTCCTCTCTTTTTTTCTTTGTTCATCTACCTAGTGGTCTATCAACTTTGTTTATGGTTTCAAATAACCAACTTTTCACATTGGTCCTTTGTATGATTTTTTGGTCTCGATTTTATTTAGTTCTGCTCTGATCTTTGTTATTTCTTTTCTTCTAGTTGCTTTGGGTTTGTTATTGTTTTTATAGTTCCTTAGGTGTGGCATTAGGTTGTTAATTTGAGATCTTTTTATATTTTTGATGTAGGCATTTAGAGCTGAATACTATGAATACATTCTGCAATTTGTGGGCTGTCTTTTAACTCTTTTTCTTTTTTTTTTTTAACTTGTACATGGTATAGGAAAGGGTCCATCTTCAATCACATATGGATATCCAGTTTTACCCCCTCCTTGTCCACCATCCCTATCTCTTTGGTGACAAGGGACTTGCCTTGTCTCAGATGAGAATTTGGAGCTGGACTTTTGAGTTAATGCTAGAATGAGTTAAGACTTTGTGGGATGATTGGGAAGGCATGATTGGTTTTGAAATGTGAGAAGGACATGAGATTTGAGAGGGGCCGGGGTGGAATGATGTGGTTTGGCTCTGTACCCCTACTCAAATCTCATCTTGAATTGTAATCCCCATGTGTCAAGGAGGGACCTGGTGGGAGGTGATCGGATCATGGAGGTGGTTTCCTCCATGCTGTTCTCATGATAATGAGGGGAGTTCTCACAAGATCTGATGATTTTAGAGGTGTTTGGCAATTCCCTTTCATGCTCTGTCCCTCACCTACTACCATGTAAGGTGCGCTTTGACTCTCCTTTGCCTTCCACCATGATTTTATGTTTCCTGAGGCCTCCCTAGTCATGCAGAACTGTGAGTCAATGAAACCTTCTTTTGTTATAAACAACTCAGTGTCAGGTAGTATCTTTTTAGCAGTGTGAAAACAGATAAATACAAGCGGCCAGTAATGCAAGAAAGGCAGCTCTAGAGGTGAAAGGCCTATGGGATGGACTCTCCTCTATGCTTTCTGGGGGGTTTGGCCCGGCCCACAACTTGTTTTCACTCATAGAAACCCATTTCCAACTTTGACCTCCAGAACTATAAGAGAATAAAAAGATATTATTTTAAATCACTGAGGTTGTGGTAGTTTATTATAGTGGCAATAAGAAACCTCTACGGATACAGACAAGCAGGCAGAAGAAAGAAGACAGATATAGGGGCAGACAAGCTGGAGGGCAGGCAGAAATTGGGAGTTGGGTGGGGATTCAGGGATGCAGTTGGGTAGGAGACAGGTAGAGAAGCAGGTAGGGAGCCTGGAGAAAGGTGAGGGAGAGAATTGCAGACAGACTGGGGTACAGAAGGCAGGACAACATACAGGTGGGAAGAAGGCAGGTGGGTGGATAGAAAGAAGGATATAGGCAAACAAGCAGGGAACAGAAAGAAAGGATGGCATGTAGAGGACTTCAGATCTGGTTCTTGTCCTCACAAGTATTAGGGAGCCTCTTAACATGCAGGTGTATCCCATTGTTGAATTTCAACACCATTTGTGGTAAGAGGATAGGGATACTGGCAGGATCAGAAAACAGCTTAAAGTTGAGTAGGGTCAGGGCCACCTTAAGCTCGTTCATGGCAAATTGTTTCCCGATGCAGTTCCTGAGCCAGGCAGAGACAATGAATTGAGATGTGGTTTCAGGCCCCATTTTGTACTGGACAGGCTCTGGCCTGTAAGCTCCAGTCTGAAGCTGAGTATTCAGGGTCCACCTTCATTTATCCAAGCCTTGGTTCACACTTTCCCCTGACCTTGGACAGAACCTACCAGTCTTGCTCTTAATTCCTACCTCTGCTCTCAGCAGGCCTGAACCACTCTGTCAGGACAGGGCCTGGGCTCTAAGGCACAGAGTCTAATCACATGGATGGATAAAGAGTTAATCAATGGTTTGTTCACTCTTCCACAAACATTTCTGGTTCCCTAGTGTGGAGGCCAGTTCAGGTCACTGTAGGGTGAGGATGGGCCATAATCAGGCGTTCCCTTTATAGGGAGACCGACAGGCACCCAGATCCTCAGAGCTGGGCCAAGGCGGGTATGGGCAGCGGAGTCAGAAGGGCTTTGGGGAGGCTTCCTAGAGGGGCAGTGGGTGGGTGGTCCTCAGCTGTTGCCCCACCTGCCTCCCACTCCAGGGTCTAAGCTCCTGCCTTGCCCTTACGCCTCGGTCCAATAGCACCTGTAGCTTTCTAATTCTACTTCAGAAGTTTTTCTTCTTTGTCATCCCTCAGTCTTCTTGCCTGGACTTTCTGGATCCCTGCTTCTCCTTCCTCCACACTGAAGCCACAGTCCAGCTCAGACCCTCCCACGCTCTTCATCACAGCGGGGACAGCGTCCCAATACCTCATCTGGCAGCCAAACCCTCCATGGCCTGTTGCCTCACCCACTTCTTACCTGTCCAACCCATGTCCTAACCCTCTTCATGTGGAGATGGCTGAGAACATCCTCCCTCCACCTCTGCCTTCTGCATCGTCAAGGCTAAGGCCAGGGCCCAGCTTCCTCTCGCCCTCTATTGGCTGTGCCTCTCCCTCTCTAAACATCCAGGCAGCGTTCGTGATTTATCCACTGACAGTTATAATTGAGTGCCTAGGACAGTGCCAGGGACAGGGACACTCAATGAGCCATTCATTTAGTGACCGAGTGAGTGAAAGAACGGATAAGGGAGCAATGTGTCTGGAGCATAGGATGTATTTCTGTACAACACATTTTTGTCCTTGACTATGAACTCTTCAAGGCAGGGTCAGTACCTGTTATCTCTCTTTTCCCATCACACTGCACAGGACTTGACCCACAGAGGTAGGCTTAATAAACACTTTTATATTTGAATGAAGTTGCTTAGGTTTTGAAAAATGAATAAAATCGAATGGAATACAGTGAGAATAATTCTTAGTTCTGAGCTAGAAATTGAGCTTAGGGATGCTCTCCTGTCCTCTAGTGGCAGTGACATGATTGGCAGCCAATGCTTAGGAGGAAGTTCTCATCCTGGGATAAACCAATGCCTAAAAATTACTGTCTGTAAGAACAATTTGCTTGAAGCCTGTCCTGTGAAATTGGAGTCATCATTAGGGAATTTACAGAATTACTTATTTAGAAAAACCTTGTTTCTACTGTTTACATCCTTTTTTGCATTTGTACTTCAAAGGACCATTCCTGCAGCCTTTGAGAATTTCTAAAGCATCCATTTTGGAGTGTATGTGTCCAGCTGAATAGCTCATTCAAATGTGTTTTATGTTTTACACAACAGGATCCTTCAAATGCTATGTGTTATATGCTAAAAAGGGAGTTTTCCTCAAACACGGTTTATTGTCCTCATTTTGGTGTTTCTGCCAATATTGTGATATGTGGACTATTGGACTATGCTATAGAGATCCCACTGCATCTAAACAATTTTGTCAAATTAAAAAGTAGTTATAAATATGTGAATATTATAATGCAGTGGACATTTGTTTGGCAAGACAGATCCAGAGGCATGTACACAAGAGGGAAGAGCTGCTACAGCTGGAGTGTGGTTTCTCTCTCACTTGATCTCCCTAGAATCACCTCCATCTTGTCAGGGTCATATAATAGGAAGTGAACTTTGCGCCCCCCACAGCAAGTGAGAACAGGATCACAGAAATCTCTCTTTGGGTAGATTCAGAAATCTACCCATTTCTGAAATTGTTTTAGCTCCTGGTCTGTTGGTTTCTCTGTCACCAAGAGAAACACAGATCAATGAAAACTTTCATTTAGTTCTCATCATTGGATTGGAGTAAAGGGCAATTGATCACAGGGAGATCATTCTGAATCAATCAGCAGAAGTTAGAAATTTGGAACTGTTTCTGTGGACCTGGAAAGTGATCCAGGCTCCTGCTGTCTCCCGGCACTTAACTTGAGCCAGAAATTGTCCCCATATTGGGTGAACTGTATGGCTCAGAGGAGCTACCGGTGTCAGAAACCACAGGTCCCTGCAATTTCCATCTCCTCTTAATTGTTGGATTAGGCCATTCTTGAATTACCATAAATACCTGAGGCTAAGAGTAATTTATTTTTAAAAAATATTTAATTGGCTCATGATTCTGCAGGCTGTACAAGCATGATGCCGGCAACTGCTCAGCTTCTGGAAAGACCTAAGGGGGTTTTTACTCATGTCATAAGGCAAAGTGGGAGCAGGCACATCACAGGGCAAAGCCAGGAGCAAGAGAGAGAGTAGGGTGGGGAGGTGCCACACTTTACAACAACCAGGTCTCACAAGAACTTACTCACTATTGTGAGGACAGCACCAAGCCGTGAAGGATCTGCCCCCATAACCCAAACACCTCCCGCCAGGACCCACCTCCAACAATAGGATATTTCAACATGAGATTTGAGCAGAGATAAATATCCAAACTATATCATTCTACCCTTCCCTCTCCACCGTCCCCGCCAAAAAATCTCAGATCCTTCTCACGTTACAAAATACAATCATGCCTTCACAACAGGTAGCTAACAGTCTCAACTTGAGCCAAGAAAATGGGGTCTGGAGACAGAGAACATAAGGCTAATTCATGCTGGCTTCCTAGAACTAAATCAAATGGAAACACTTCAGCTATGCTAGGAAATATCTTCTCCATTTACATAGGGTGTACACCTAGTAAATGTCTTTGTAACTTTATCCTCTTCATTTACATAGGGTGTATACCAAGCAACCAATGGAAACCTGTAAAGGGTATTTAAACCCCAGAAAATTCTGTAACGGGGCTCTTGAGCCCCTGTGCTCGGGGCCGCTCCCATCTTGTGGAGCGTACTTTCATTTTCAATAGAGCTTTGCTTTTGTTGCTTCATTCTTTCCTTGCTTTGTGTGTTTTGTCCAATTCTTTGTTCAAGACACCAAGAACCTAGACACCCTCCACCAGTAACATATTCTAGTGAGCCAGCCAGGAGGTAAGCCCAAAGTTTGGGATTTATTTTTCACCTTTTCCTTTCTGCTTCATACAAAGGAATCTCTCCCTCTCTCTCTCTTTTCCTTTCCAACTCAGGACCCTTGGTGGGCAGCACCTAAACCCAGAGGCAACTGCAGATGTCTGGCCATGGCCAGTGAAATTAAGAGGTTTCCATGTGGAGGTGCCTAGCTGCAACTGCCTGTTAGCTTAAAGGACCTGAGTCTTTTTGCCTTTTTTTTTTAATTTATTTATTTCTTTTTCTGTCTTTCAGCTGCTGTTTCTAGTAGCTCCTTGGAAATTGAGGCCACCTGGCTGCAGCCACTCTTTTGTGTTGCCTGAAAGCCAAGGAGTAAAGGCAGATAATTGCCCTGGCTGGAAGGAGGAAGGACTCTTTTCTATCTTTTCCAGTTGTGGTCCCTTATCCCTACATGTGGTGCAGCTCAGCGCAAATGTGCACATGTTTCAGATTATTTAAACTTTGTTTTCTTATGCTAAATTCTTCCCTTACCCTACTTGACTGGCTAAGGACAAAAGAAACCCACCCAGCCTCCAGTTCCTATATCACTAGTGGAATGGGAAGCCACAAATTATAAGGTGGCTAGAAGTTGAGGCCTTCATCCAGGGACAAAAGGAAAGCTCATGGTAGGCCATCACCTCTGGAGGGAAAACATGTAATTGGCACCAGTGTCCACCTAAGGTCAGAGACATCTGATACTCTAAGATTGGACCTCAAAGGGGGATGCCCTGAGGAATCCTCTGGACCTCAACCTCTCCAAAGGGGATGCACTCAGAAGAGGTTCTGAGGTCTAGTACTAAGCAGTCCTTAGAATTTTCTCTTGGAGTTGCAATACTGTTTGGCCTCAATATTGCTTGGAATCTAGAGTTTACCATTGAATGGGAAAGTGGGATGGTGTTGCATGTATCCAGACTTAGGTGCTGCTGTCCCAAGCAGGGGGCTTGGTTAATGTGTGATGCTCTCCTTTGGTGATGTTTGGCCCCAGTGCTCTTTGGAGTCTGGGGGTTTGGCCTTTAAAAATCAAACTGCCATGGAGACTGCTTTACCCAAAATTTTGGATCACAGTCTTTATTGGATTATCTATTGGGGCAAAGTAAAGCCGGTGAGCTTTATTGCTATCTCATGGCTAGCATTCCAAGCTATTGGATCTTCATTTATATGTGTGTATACAAGTCTAGATGTGTTTATTTGTATGTACACTTATTGTTATATGTTGTGACTAGCAAATTGGCTTATAAGTAAAAGAGTGGTCATATATTAAATGATTAAGTGTAAGCAATTTTCAAGTTCAGGTAACTTAAGTATAACTTTACTAAAAAAGCTGGCTTTAAAATTATCGGTGGAACAAAACCAGAAATGCCTTCAGAATTGTCAGCATACATTTTGTCTGAATTTTATATTTGTCTTTGCTAGACATTTTGAGATGTCAGTGTTTGGCATAGAAAGTTATAAAACTATAAGCCCAGTCAAAACAAAATGATTTGACTTGTGTGCCTTTTTTGACAAATGAGAGTAATTTAATGTTAGCTAAATCTCCTGAGTTATTGGCAAAAATACCTATGTATTTAACTTTGAGACATGTACTTAGGTTTAGGTGAGCACCTGATGTTCACTGGCTATTAGAAACATGGTTAACAAGGGAATCACTAACTTTAAAATGATAGTGTCTAATATCTCAGTTTACAGAAGTAATCTAGATAAACTGTTAAAAGTGAAAGAATCGAGTCCAGTGAATGGGGTAAATGTTTTACATAAACTTTTTGTGTAAATTAAAATCTTAAAATTATTTTTGATCCTCATTTAATATCTGGGTCATTTCCAATGAAGAAAGGTTTGTGATATAAGGAAATATGGTTCTAAAAACTGTGGAATTGTTCTTATCTATAAGTGCCCACATCTGATAGTTCAGGATTTCTTGCTTTTTGGGATTTCACTAAAGTTTTAGGTTACCAAGCATAAGAATTCTAGTAGACACATAATTCTGTATACAAAATGTCCCAGAAAGCGTTATGTTATTAGTGAGAAAAAGAATAACTTTGTCTGATTCAGAAGTTATCTAAGAGAGGTGGAGCCAAGATGGCCGAATAGGAACAGCTCCAGTCTACAGCTCCCAGTGTGAGTGATGCAGAAGATGGGTGATTTCTGCATTTTCAACTGAGGTACCGGGTTCATCTCACTGGGGAGTGTCAGAGAGTGGGTTCAGGACAGTGGATGCAACACACTGAGCATGAGCCAAAGCAGGGTGAGTCATCGCGTCACCCAGGAAGTGCAAGGGGTCAGGGAATTCCCTTTCATAGTCAAAGAAAGGGGTGACAGACGGCACCTGGAAAATTGGGTCACACACACCCTAATACTGTGCTTTTCCAATGGTCTTAGCAAACGGCACACCAGGAGATTATATCCTGCGACTGGCTTGGAGGGTCCTATGCTCACGGAGCCTCGCTCATTGCTAGCACAGCAGTCAGATCAAACTGCAAGGCGGCAGCGAGGCTGGGGGAGGGCACCCAAAACTGCCGAGGCTTGAGTAGGTAAACAAAGCGGCTGGGAAGCTCAAACTGGGTGGAGCCCACCACAGCTCAAGGAGACCTGCCTGCCTCTGTAGACTCCACCACTGGGGCAGGGCATAGCCAAACAAAAGGCAGCAGAAACCTCTGCAGACTTAAATGTCCCTGTCTGACAGCTTTGAAGAGAGTAGTAGTTCTCCCAGCACGCAGCTGGAGATCTGAGAACAGACAGACTGCCTCCTCAGGTGGGTCCCTAAACCCCGAGTAGCCTAACTGGGAGGCACCCTCCAGTAGGGGCAGACTGACACCTCACACGGCCAGGTACTCCTCTGAGACAAAATTTCCAGGCAAACGATCCGGCAGCAACATTTGCTGTTCACCAACATCCGCTGTTCTGCAGCCACCGCTGCTGATACCCAGGCAAACAGGGTCTGGAGTGGACCTCCAGCAAACACCAACAGACCTGCAGCTGAGGGTCCTGACTGTTAGAAGGAAAACCAACAAACAGAAAGGACATCCACATCAAAACCCCATCTGTACGTCACCATGATCAAAGACCAAAGGTAGATAAAACCACAAAGATGGGGAAAAAACAAAGCAGCAAAACTGGAAACTCTAAAAATCAGAGTGCCTCTCCTCTTCCAAAGGAACACAGCTCCTCACCAGCAATGGAACAAAGCTGGACGGAGAATGACTTTGACGAGTTGAGAGAAGAAGGCTTCAGATGATCAAACTACTCCAAGCTAAAGGAGGAAGTTCAAACCCATGGCAAAGAAGTTAAAAACCTTGAAAAAAAATTAGACGAATGGCTAACTAGAATAACCCAATGCAGGGAAGTCCTTAAAGGACCTGACGGAGCCGAAAACCATGGCACGAGAACTACGTGATGAATGCACAAGCCTCAGTAGCCAATTCGATCAACTGGAAGAAAGGGTATCAGTGATGGAACATCAAATGAATGAAATGAAGTGAGAAGTTTAGAGAAAAAAGAATAAAAAGAAATGAACAAAGCCTCCAAGAAATATGGGACTATGTGAAAAGACTGAATCTATGTATGATTGGTGTACCTGAAAGTGATGGGGAGAAGGGAACCAAGTTGGAAAACACTCTTCAGGATATTATCCAGGAGAACTTCCCCAATCTAGCAAGGCAGGCCAACATTCAGATTCAGGAAATACAGAGAATGCCACAAAGATACTCCTCGAGAAGAGCAACTCCAAGACACATAATTGTCAGATTCACCAAAGTTGCAATGAAGGAAAAAAGGTTAAGGGCAGCCAGAGAGAAAGGTCGGGTTACCCACAAAGGGAAGCCCATCAGACTAACAGCTGATCTCTCGGCACAAACTCTACAAGCCAGAAGAGAGTGGGGGCCAATATTCAACATTCTTAAAGAAAAGAATTTTCAACCCAGAATTTCATATCCAGCCAAACTAAACTTCATAAGTGAAGGAGAAATAAAATACTTTACAGACAAGCAAATGCTGAGAGATTTTGTCACCAGCAGGCCTGCCTTACAAGAGCTCCTGAAGGAAGCACTAAACATGGAAAGGAACAACCAGTACCAGCCACTGCAAAAACATGCCACATTGTAAAGACCATCAAGGGCAGGAAAAAACTGCATCAACTAATGAGCAAAATAAACAGCTAACATCATAATGACAGGATCAAATTCACACATAACAATATTAACCTTAAATGTAAATGGGCTAAATGCTCCAATTAAAAGACACAGACTGGCAAATTGGATAAAGAGTCAAGACCCATCAGTGTGCTGTATTCAGGAAACCCATCTCATGTGCAGAGACACACATAGGCTCAAAATAAAGGGATGGAGGAAGATCTACCAAACAAATGGAAACAAAAAGGCAGGGGTTGCAATCCTAGTCTCTGATAAAACAGACTTTAAACCAACAAAAATCAAAAGACACAAAGAAGGCCATTACATAATGGTAAAGGGATCAATACAACAAGAAGAGCTAACTATCCTAAATATATATGCACTCAATACAGGAGCACCCAGATTCATAAAGCAAGTCCTTAGAGACCTACAAAGAGACTTAGACTCCCACACAATAATGGGAGACTTTAACACCCCACTGTGAACATTAGACAGATCAACGAAACAGAAAGTTAACAAGGATATCCAGGAATTGAACTCAGCTCTGCACCAAGTGGATCTAATAGACATCTACAGAACTCTCCACCCAAGATCAACAGAATATACATTCTTTTCAGCACCACACCACACCTATTCCAAAATTGACCACATAGTTGGCAGTAAAGCACTCCTCAAAAAGAACAGAAATTATAACAAACTGTCTCTCAGACCACAGTGCAATCAAACTAGAACTCAGGATTAAGAAACTCACTCAAAACCGCTCAACTACATGGAAACTGAACAACCTGCTCCTGAATGACTACCTGGTACATAAAGAAATGAAGGCAGAAATAAAGATGTTCTTTGAAACCAACGAGACCAAAGACACAACATACCAGAATTTATGGGACACATTCAAAGCAGTGTGTAGAGGGAAATTTATAGCAATAAATGCTCACAAAAGAAAGCAGGAAAGATCTAAAATTGACACCCTAACATCACAATTAAAAGAACTAGAGAAGCAAGAACAAACACGTTCAAAAGCTAGCAGAAGGCAAGAAATAACTAAGATCAGAGCAGAACTGAAGGAAATAGAGACACAAAAAACCCTTCAAAAAATCAATGAATCCCAGAGCTGGTTTTTTGAAAAGATCAACAAAATTGATAGACCACTAGCAAGACTAATAAAGAAGAAAAGAGAGAAGAATCAAATAGATGCAATAAAAAGTGATAAAGGGGATATCACCACCTATCCCACAGAAATACAAACTACCATCAGGGAATACTATAAACACTTCTATGCAAATAAACTAGAAGATCTAGAAGCAATGGATAAATTCCTCGACACATACACCTTCCCAAGAATAAACCAGGAAGAAGGTGAATGTCTGAATAGACCAATAACAGGCTCTGAAATTGAGGCAATAATTAATAACTTACCAAACAAAAAAAGTCCAGCACCAGATGGATTCACAGCCGAATTCTAGCAGAGGTACAAGGAGGAGCTGGTACCATTCCTTCTGAAACTCTTCCAATCAATAGAGAAAGAGGGAATCCTCCCTAACTCATTTTATGAGGCCAGCATCATCCTGATACCAAAGCCTGGCAGAGACACAACAAAAAAAGAGAATTTTAGACCAATATCCCTGATGAACATCGATGCAAAAATCCTCAATAAAATACTAGCAAACCGAATCCAGCAGCACATCAAAAAGCTTATCCACAGTGATCAAGTGGGCTTCAACCCTGGTATGCAAGGCTGGTTCAACATACGCAAATCAATAAATGTAATCCAGCATATAAACAGAACCAACAACAAAAACCACATAATTATCTCAATAAATGCAGAAAAGGCCTTTGACAAAATTCAACAACCTTCATGCTAAAAACTCTCAATAAATTAGGTATGGATAAGACATATCTCAAAATAATAAGAGCTATCTATGACAAACCCACAGCCAATATCATACTGAATGGGCAAAAACTGGAAGCACTCCCTTTGAAAACTGGCACAAGACAGGGATGCCCTCTCTCACCACTCCTATTCAACATAGTGTTGGAAGTTCTGGCCAGGGCAATCAGGCAGGAGAAGGAAATAAAGGGCATTCAATTAGGAAAAGAGAAAGTCAAATTGTCCCTGTTTGCAGATGACATGATTGTATATCTAGAAAACCCCATCGTCTCAGCCCAAAATCTCCTTAAGCTGATAGGCAACTTCAGCAAAGTCTCAGGATACAAAATCAATGTGCAAAAATCACAAGCATTCTTATACACCAATAACAGACAGAGAGCCAAATCATCAGTGATCTCCCATTCACAATTGCTTCAAAGAGAATGAAATACCTAGGAATCCAACTTACAAGGGACGTGAAGGACCTCTTCAAGGAGAACTACAAACCACTGTTCAATGAAATAAAAGAGGATACAAACAAATGGACTAACATTCCATGCTCACGGGTAGGAAGAATCAATATCGTGAAAATGGCTATACTGCCCATGGTAATTTATAGATTCAATGCCATCCCCATCAAGCTACCAATGACTTTCTTCACAGAATTAGAAAATACTACTTTAAAGTTCATAGAGAACCAAAAAACAGCCCGCATTGCCAAGACAACCCTAAGCCAAAAGAACAAAGCTGGAGGCATAATGCTATCTGACTTCAAGCTATACTACAAGGCTACAGTAACCAAAACAGCATGGTACTGGTACCAAAACAGAGATATAGACCAATGGAACAGAACAGAGCCCTCAGAAATAATACCACACATCTACATCCATCTGATCTTTGACAAACCTGACAAAAACAAGAAATGGGGAAAGGATTCCCTATTTAATAAATGGTGCTGGGAAAACTGGCTAGCCATATGTAGAAAGCTGAAACTGGATCTCTTCCTTACACTTTATACAAAAATTAATTCAAGATGGATTAAAGACTTAAATGTTAGACCTAAAACCATAAAAACCCTAGAAGAAAACCTAGGCAATACCATTCAGAACATAGGTATGGGCAAGGACTTTATGACTAAAACACCAAAAGCAATGGCAACAAAAGCCAAAATTGACAAATGTGATCTAATTAAACTAAAGAGTTTCTGCACAGCAAAAGAAACTACCATCAGACTGAACAGGCAACCTACAGAATGGGAAAAAATTTTTACAATCTACCCATCTGGCAAATGGCTAATATCCAGAATCTACAAAGAACTTAAATAAATTTACAAGAAAAAATCAAACAACCCCATCAAAAAGTGGACAAAGGATACGAACAGACACTTCTCAAAAGAAGACATTTATGCAGCCAAAAGACACATGAAAAGATGCTCATCATCACTGGCCATCGGAGAAATGCAAATCAAAACCACAATGAGATACCATCTCACACCAGTTAGAATGGCGATCATTAAAAAGTCAGGAAACAACAGGTGCTGGAGAGGAGGTGGAGAAATAGGAACACTTTTACACTGTTGGTGGGACTGTAAACTAGTTCAATCATTGTGGAAGACAGTGTGGCGATTCCTCAAGGATCTAGAACTAGAAATACCATTTGACCCTGCTATCCCATTACTGGGTATATACCCAAAGGATTATAAATCACGCTGCTATAAAGACACATGCACATGTATGCTTATTGTGGCACTATTCACAATAGCAAAGACTTGGAACCAACACAAATGTCCAACAATGATAGACTGGATTAAGAAAATGTGGCACATATACACCATTGAATACTAAGCAGCCATAAAAAAGATGAGTTCATGTCCTTTGTAGGGACACGGATGAAGCTGGAAACCAGTATTCTCAGCAAACTATCACAAGGACAGAAAACCAAACACTGTATGTTCTCGCTTATAGGTGGGAATTGAACAATGAGAACACTTGGACACAGGGTGGGGAACATCGCACACCAGGGCCTGTCATGGGGTGAGGGGAGTGGGGAGGGATAGTATTAGGAGAAATACCTAAGGTAAATGACGAGTTAATGGGTGCAGCACACCAACATGGCACATGTATACGTACGTAACAAACCTGCACGTTGTGCACATGTACACTAGAACTTAAAGTATAATAATAAAAAAAACTATCGATATTCAAAGAAAGAAAAAACCAGACTGAAAAAAAAAAGGTCTGGCATAGATGTGAAGTAATACACATGCCAGTCCCTTTGCAACAGCTCCCAAGAGCCCACTGATCCAGGGACCAAGGTTTTTTAGCTTATTTGTCCTTATTTGTGAAATGAGGCTTATACTGCCCTGTATTTCACAGAGTGGTCTGGAGGACTGAAAGATAAAAGATATGTAAAAGTGACATATTAGGTAAGCTCTTATAGTTTCCACTTCCTGGTACTTGGGAGTGAGTTTTTAAAAAATTACAAGTCTAAGAGTCAGTTTGCCCAAAGTTGCATTGTCTCTAACAAAAAATAAAGTCCTTTACTTAGTCTTCCTACTTATTTCTATACATTTAAACATTTTTTTTCCTACGTTTTGTTGTTGTTGTTTTTCTGTATCAGCACATAAATAAGTAGTTACCAGCTTTCAGCTTCACTCTAGGGGAAAGGTCACCATACCGTTTTCTCGATGGTAGGCTGTTGTGGCTGGTTCATTCCGAGTTTGTTGGTGGTGGTGTTTGCTTTTAAAGTGAAAGCAAGTTTATTGGGAAGGTAAAGGAATAAAGAATGGCTACTCAATAGGCAAAGCAGCCCCAAGAGCTGCTGGTTGCCATAAATTTTGGCAAATTTATGACTCACTATATATGTCTGCGTAATGTCAAAAAGTGGTAGGGGAGAGGTCTTAGGATGCATTGGAGGCACAGTGTGATACAGAAGACAGACTTTGGGAGCCACATATGACCAAGGTCAAGTTATTTCGTTTCTCAGGCTTCAACTTGCTCATTTGTAAAGCGGAAATAGTGAGGCCTACTTGGGACAACAGAGATAGCACATGTAAGATTCCTGGCACATAGTAAGAGTTCAGTGTTATTTGATATTATTATTATTCCAGATAAGAGTCTAACTTGGCAGAAGCTGATGTGTCAGTTACACCATAAGTTACATTACTTATGTGATGTTCAAACAATATTATTATTTTTGAAATACACCCAAGTTGGACAAATATGAGAATTGCTTAAGGCATTTGACTTACTATTGAGTAAGTTAATTGTTTAACTTATTATCCAAAATAGCAATTTATTTAATTTGATGTTAAGCAAATAAACTCTTTCATCAGATGGGGAAGGTGAAGTTTAAATGACTTTAGTTGACCTCAATATACTCTTTTTTTTTTTTTTTTTTTTTGAGATGGAGTCTTGCTCTGTCACCCAGGCTGGAATGCAGTGGCATGATCTCAGTTCACTGCAATCTATGCCTCCTGGGTTCAAGCAATTCTCCTGCCTCAGCCTCCCAAGTAGCTGGGATTACAGCTGGGATTACAGGTATCCACCACCATGTCTGGCTAATTTTTTTATTTTTAGTAGAGATAGTGTTTCGCCAAGTTGGCCAGGCTGGTCTCAAACTCCTGACCT
Organism: Homo sapiens; assembly: GCF_000001405.40. Lineage (NCBI taxonomy): Eukaryota > Metazoa > Chordata > Mammalia > Primates > Hominidae > Homo > Homo sapiens. Next base: position 47,014,008 of record NC_000001.11, read on the forward strand.
CAGGTGATCTGCCCACCTCGGCCTCCGAAAGTGCTGGGATTACAGGTGTGAGCCACCCCACCTGGCCCTCAATGTACTTTTAAATTTAATAATTTTGAGTTGGCCCATTTATATTTAATAAGGAAAACAGATACTGGATATTGACATTGTAAAATTAAATAATAGTAGTATTCAAAACTGTCTATGACTGGAAATATTTAATGGGATTTTATACAATTTGCATTTTGTGTTATACTGTGTTGTGGTTTAAAGTACTATAAAATGTGAAACTCTACATCTGCCCCAACCTTTTCTTCCTCCTACCTTCAAGGCCAGTGACTGCACTAGGAATCCCAACCTCACTTACTAGGAATTGGGGGTGAGGTTGGGGTAGGAAATAGAGAGAGGAGGAGAAACCTTAACCTTCTTTCACTCTCAAATCCCTGAGATCCCCATCCAGAAACATTCCAACTCTCCTTTCACAGTCAAACTCTTCAAAGTGGTTGACACTTCTCCATACCTCCTTACTGCCCTCCTAATTTCTTCTCAACCCACTTTATTTTGATTTCTGTTTCTATCATTTCAACATCTCTTCCCAAGTTTACAACTGACTTCCATGATATGAATTCCAATAAACACATTTTAAACTTTGTTTTGTAACTCATCATTCATCTTTCATTTCAAGTGTCTCAGCCTCTTTCTTTGTATCTCACACTGGATGATCCTGGTTTCCTTCACACTTCTCTGCTTGCCTCTTTTCCATCTCCTCTGGAGGTTCTCACATCTCCACCAAACATTTTAAAAACTGGGTGGAGAAGTATGAGCCTTCACAGGAGATGAAACAGAGTAACACTGTTGGATACATTTAAGATTTCACTGCCCTGTCCTTCAAAGGAACTGGAAACATCAGCACAGGTCGTATAGCCCACAGGTCACATGGAGAAAGGAAAAGTGACCTTGGAATTCTCAGTCTGGAGAGAAGGAGGTTAGGGGTAGTCTTTTTTGTTTTTTGGTTTTTCTTTTGGACTTCATTTCCCTATCTGTAAGATAGGACTAGATCCAGATAACCCATATGGGTCTGTGCAGTTGTAGCATGAATCCGTTTTACCATAACACTGCTTTCCATATCTATCTGTCTTCTCCACCAGATTGTGTGTTGGCCTACCTTTGATACAGTTTTGTATCCTGGTATTTCCCAGCATTGGCAGAGGGACAGTGCAGAACAGTGAGAGTAGGAACTGGTTCTATGCTTCCTTACTGAAACTTTCCATTGTCTTACCTCCAGGATGTTGACTGGAGAAAATGATGGAACCATGTGCTAGTGGCCTTTTGCATGGAACTTACTATGTAAATTCTACTGGTTCCTAAGTCTTTTAACAGCTTGCTCGTCAATGCCCCCAGCAATAACCATAGCAGCTGCTCCGAATCCCTGCCCCTGCCGTGGCAGAAGATGCCTCAGGATTCTCTAAAAAAAACTCAGGTTATCCAGCATTAGAGATACAATCTGCCTGTTTCCTCCTCCCATTCTTTCTCTTATGCTTATGTGCTTGTCTTCCCAGTTTAACCCCTTCAAAACCAAAACTACTGTGTTAATTAGGGACAGAATGAAGTGATCACTTCCCAACCTTGATGCATCCATAAAAATATCTAGGACTACTCAGGAGGCTGAGGTGGGAGGATCACTTGAGCCCAAGAGGTTGAGGCTTCAATAAACTGTGGTAGCACCACTGTACTCCAGCCTGGGTGACACAACAAGACTGTCTAAAAAAATGGCTAGGACTGGCTATCTATGAAGTTTCTGTACCTCGCCCCTTCTGGCTCATCCATTCTATTCAATGCCCCATTCATCCCCTTCAGCCTCCCCGGCCACGTGTTTTCTCTCTTACTGCCCCTCTCTTAGAATCTTCTATCCTTCCTATTAGTGCCACCTCCGTGAGGAAAAACCAACAGACTCCCTGTCTTGAGAATAATCATCATTTTATTTTACTCATCTTCTATTTATCTACCTTCCCACCCTCTAGCTTCTACTTATTCTCTTAATAGAAAAAATTCTTGACCTGGGATATCTCCATTTCTTCATTGTCCACTTGCTTTGTAGGTCATTGCTCTAAATTTCTCACCCTGCTGTTTCTTAAAACTCCCTGACCCCTGGTATGTCTCCTTAGTTCAAGTGAAATAAATGTTTATAAAACATTTATTGTGTGCCCAGCTCAAAGACGGGCTCCAGGCAGAATTCAAGAAATTAAAAAAAAAAAGTTTAAACCATCATGGTGTTTTAAAGCCTAATTAGGAAGATAAGCTGAACATGCAAAGAGATACAGAAGGAAGCTGTACAGGATTTTTTTTAATTCTTTTTTTTTTAATTTTTTTTTTGAGATGGAGTCTTGCTCTGTTGCCCAGGCTGCAGTGCAGTGGCGCTATCTTGGCTCCCCACAAGCTCCACCTCCCAGGTTCACGCCATTCTCCTGTCTCAGCCTCCCAAGTAGCTGGGACTACAGGGGCCCACCACCACGCCCAGTTGATTTTTTGTATTTTTAGTAGAGACGGGGTTTCACCATGTTAGCCAGGATGGTCTCGATCTCCTGACCTCGTGATCCACCTGCCTCAGCCTCCCAAAGTGCTGGGATTACAGGTGTGAACCTCTGGCCACATAGTATGTGTATATATCTATGGGGTACATGAGATGTTTTGACACAAGGCATGCAATGCATAATAATCACATTGGATAAATTGGATTTATTATTTGTGTTACAAATAATCCAATTATACCCTTTTGTTATTTTTTAAAGTACAATTAAATTGTTATTGACTACAATCACCCTGTTATGCTATTAAATACTAGGTCTTATTCGTTCTTCCTATTTTTTTGTTCCTCCACACCCCCAACTGGTAATTATCCTTCTATTCTCTATCTCCATGAGTTCCATTGTTTTGATTGTTGGATCCCACAAGTGAGAACATGTGATGTTTGTCTTTCTGTGCCTGATTTATTTCACTTAACATAATGACCTCCAGTTCTATCCATATTGTTGCAAATGACAGGATCTCATTCTTTTTTATGGCTGAATAGTACTCCATTGTGTATTTACACCACATTTTCTTTATCCATTCATCTGTTGATGGACACTTAGGTTGCTTCCAAATTCTGGCTATTGCAAACAGTGCTGCAACAAACATGGGAGTGCAGATATCTCTTTGATATACTGATTTCCTTTCTTTGTGGTATATATCCTGCAGTGGGATTGCTGGATCATATGGTAGCTCTATTTTTAGTTTTTTGAGGAATCTCCAAACCATTCTCCTAGAATTTCTGATTGTGGAATGAATGACAAATGAAAACAGGGATGAAATATCAAATGAGAGGCATAAAAACCAAGGCTTTAATTGTTCATGAAATAGATTCCTGTAGGCTGGTGGTTAAAGAAATATTTGAGAAACAAATTTTTTTTGAGGAACACTTTGACAAGAGCAAAAGACACATAGGGCAGGGGGTGGAGATGGGGGTGGGATTGGGGAAGATAGATTCTTCTTGCCTTTTCTATCTCAGTGAAGAGAAACTATGAAAGGAAAATATGCTGGGCCCCCAAATCACTAAGCTAAAGGGAAAATTCAAGCTGTGAACTGTTTAGGGCAAACCTGCCTCCCATTCTATTCAATGTCGTCCCTCTGCTCAGTGAGATAAATGCATATCTAATTGCCCCCTTTGGAGAGGCTAATCAGAAACTCAAAAGAATGCAACCATTTGTTTCTCACCTACCTGTGACCTAGAAGCCCCCTCCCTCTGGCAAGTTGTCCCACCTTTCCAGAGTGAACCAATGTTCATTTTTAGATACGTTGATTGATGTCTCTCTCATGTCTCACTAAAATGTATAAAACCAAGCTGTGCTCTGACAACCTTGGGCACATGTCATCAGTGCCTCCTGAGGCTGTGTCATGGGTGCGCATCCTCAACCTTGGCAAAATAAACTTTCTAAATTAACTGAGAGCTGTCTCAAATTTTGGGGGTTCACATAACATAGGGATTGTCCTAGACTTTCCCACTATGCCTACATCCAGTCACCAACTCCCATCAAAAACACACCCCAATATCTCCCCCATTCATTCTTGCTTGCCTGTACCACTGTTCCTGGACCAAACTGAGGGTCAGGCTGCTTATTCTTGTGACCCAATAATGAGATGAAGATGAACTGGGGAGGAAGAGAGTTTTTATTTCTGTAACTGGTTACAGGGAGAAGGCCTAGGAAATATCACCAGACAAACTCAGAATTACAAAGATTTTTCAGAGCTTATGGACCTTCTATAAAACTCTTGGTGGGCTTTTGTTACGTTCCAGCCTTTGTTTAAGAGTACTGGCTCTATCAGTTTTTAATATGTAACTTAACCATTCAGTCAGTGCTGAAACAGTTGTTACAGAAGCCTATGTTAGTGAGACCTGACCTGCCACAATCTCCACTGTCAATTTCTGCATGATTTCTGTCATGCTTGTATATTTAGTCATCATGAGAATTTTAGTGAGATGGGGTGTAGTGATCTTTCTGGCTACATCCTGATGAGAGGGAGTCACCATTATGGGGCACCGAATGCAGCGCTGGAGTGGAAGAGGTTGACCTGTTCCCAGTAGTACTCTCTGTTTCAGGGGCTTAGAGGCAACACCTGCTGAAACATAACAATATGTAACAGCAGCACATATAAATAGGTTGCTGCTGTTTTCTTCTGAAGTTTAAGTTGTCTAGTCTTCAGTTTGCAGGGCTTTAATAAAGCATGGTTTAGGTTTCAGTGAGTTCCAATTAGGAAAAACGGGGAAAAAAGAAAAAAATTGAAAACATTATCTTGGAGACTTGTAGCCAGAAAAATCAGAATTCAATCCAAACTGTAGAAAATACAAGCCGCTGACCATTGAAAACAGCTCCATCCCAGTGGCTCCTGGCTGCCTCACCAAATTTGTTCAGACCAAACCGAGGGTCAGGCTGCTTATTCTTGCAGCCCAATAATGAGATGCAGATGAACTGGGGAGGAAGAGAGCTTTTATTTCTGTAACTGGTTACAGGAAGAAAGCCTGGAGAATATCACCAAACTCAAAATTACAAAGTTTTTTCAGAGATTATATACCTTCTAAGCTATATGTCTATGTGTAAGTGTGCACTCATCTAAAGACATATGTGATTAACTTCTTTTAATCTATAACTAAGAGCTGAGTCCTGAAGACCTTCCTCTGGAGCCTCAGTAAATTTACTTAATCTAAATGGGCCCAGGTGCTGCGGTGATTACCCTTATCTTGTCTCCTGCTAAATCATGGAGGTTTGTGGAGTTCCTTCAGACCCCCAATAAACTTGTTTGTGGAGGTCTGGGGAGTTTCTTCAGATTCCCAATAAAACTTGTTTAATCCTAAACGGGTCCTGATAAGAATTCCTTCATTATCTTGTCATGCTTCAAAGCCCAGGAAAGGCCTAGGCAAAACTCTTGCTGGACTTTTGTTACATTCCAGCCTTTGTATAAGGGCACTGGCTCTATCAATTTCTAATATTTAACTTAACCATTCAGCCAATGCTGAAACAGTTGTTATGGAGGCCTGTATTAGTGAGACCTGGCCTGCCACACCACTGCAACACCCCAGTCTGGGCCACCATCATATCTTATCTGAATATTGCAATAGCATCAGAACTGATCTCCCTAGTTCTAGTCTTACCACTACCTTCCCCATCCCAATTTATTCTCATAAATGTTAAGGTCTCAGGACCTAGAGTTAGACTGTCTGACACCATTTTTTACTCTCTGATGTCCTTGGACAAATTGCATAATCTGTGCCTCAGTTTTCATACAGGTATGAAATAATGGTAACATCTACCTTGATTATTATGAGGAAGAAATAACTGAGTACATATAAATCACTTTAGAATTGTACTTGGCACTTAGTGAGGATACAAAAACTATTTAGCTGTCCTTATTATATTTCAAGTAGCTTTCAGAATAATCTACTACTTAACTATGTCATTTTCCACCTTAAATCTTTTCAGTGGATTCCCATGGCCTTAAGTAAAGCCTGAATTTCTTAACTGGGCCTACCAAGCTCTCATGGTCTGACTTTCACCCTATAGGTGGTCTTAGCACCCATCCTTCTCTCTGAGACTTGAAGCTCTAGCCATGCTAAAGAGCTCCCACAGTCCAGTTAGCTCAGGCCATTTTATGCTCTGTTCATGCACTTTTCCACCATGTAGAATGCCCTTTCCTACTTCGTCCACATAGAAGACACATTCTGACATTTTAAGACACAGCTCCACTACACCCTAAGCCACATGAAGGCAGGGCCATGTTGATTTTGTTCAAGGCCACATCTCCAGTGCTCAGGGCAATACATGGCACATGATCACTTCTCAATAAATATTCACTCAGTAAGTGAATGAATGGATAAAAGCATCTCCTCAGCTACAAAACTTTTTTCACATTTTCTTCTCACCTGCATCCCCACTAGCCTGGACGGATTTCATTACTGGCTCCTTTGTCTGGCAAGGATATCAGCATCACTTTCTGTGATAGCTACCTTAAAAGTACTTAAGCGACCCTTGTCTCCCCAGTGCATTGAGCTCCCAGCATGTGCCCAGCACAGGGGCCTGGGACACAGTAAATGTTCAACCCATGTTTACTAACTGAGCACATGAGCAAATCAGAGAGCAGTGAATCTCTGGAATCCCACATTGGTGGGCTGCAATGCTATCCTGGGATACAGCTCCACAAAATTCTAGACTTTTATCCCCATGGTTCCATGTTCTTAAAATTCATTTATTATTAAGTAATAATAGACTTCCACATCTTAATGGATCAAAAATATAGATTGCCATACTGAATTATTATAATTTCGGTCAAAGGTTAGTTACCTTGCACTGCCCTGTTTGTAGACAAATGTATGCTTTTCTTTGGGCTGTGTGTAGGATTGAAGCAGCTACTCATTGGCCTTCATTTCTTGTCTCTTGTGTCTGAGATGGAAGGAGCCATCAGATGAGCATTGGGAGAGGCACAGGCCTCCTTCTGGGAGTCTCATGGGGCTTATTTCCATCTAGAGGCACCACTATCCAGGTTGATGGGATTTTTTTTGGTATCTCCAATTCCCTGTACTGTAGCCAAGAAAATTCAATTCAGTAGATATTTGTGCAGGAATGCCAAAAAAAAAAAAAAAAAAAAAAAAAAGGAAGGAGGCGCTGCTCTGTTTTTGGCCTCCAGAATCATATTTTTGAGTTGTAGCAAGTATCAAAAGCCAGTCTTTGGCCAGAATAAATAATTTTCTAAATTCCTTTCTCTCCCATTAGCCTGCCCTGTTGGAGTAGATTACAGAACTTTATTCTCCACCAGGGATAGCAAAAACACAAGCAATAACATAAGGATATTTTCTACCACATGAAATGGAGGTTGTGGGGAAAACCCACCTCTTGCAGCCTGGTGGACTGAGGCAAAAAGTGGCAGAGGTCGGGTGGTCAAGAGAGTATCTAATTATCCCCCTCTAGGCTAAAATCCTGGGATTGGGGTTTAGATAGAGTGAAAGGAAAGTTGAGAGCACAGGGGATTTTACCTTGCATCTTTTTTTGGAGAAACCAGAGTGAAAATGGCAGTGAAGCAGAGAAGGCCTGAACTTCAAGCCTCTTCAACACCTTCCAGCCTCTCTTAGGCTCCTAAATATAGTGCAAAAAGTTCCAGAGTTCCTTTGTTACCCATGAAAGCACATGGAACGGTGCTGGACAGGGGCAACTGGCCCTGGAGCAGAGGAGTAACTGCATAGAACTGTCCAAGCCTCAGAGGGAGTCACACCACCAGCAAGAACCTGGGTGGGAGTAGGTGAGCCAAGGGGTTCCCAGGCTCTGACCCTGCCAAGAGAACTCATTAGAAGGTCACCAACCACACATACTATTCCTCGGTCTCATGAAGAACCCAGGGACCGGACCAGGCAAGATATCACAAAGCTGAAGTTTCAGCTCTGGGGCAGAGCATGGATCTGAGGTCTTTGGCCCTACCACCATGCGATCATATGAGGGCCATCATACAACCATCATGATTTGGGGGAGGAATAGGGCATAGAGGAATCATATGAAAAGCTGAAATGCCATGAGTTACCCAGAAGAAGCTGTGTAAGCCAGAGGATTCTGAGACCCTGTCAAATAACAACATCTAGTTGAAGGTTGGAGTTAGGTAGGAGGTAGGGAAGTCTGGGAAAGAAGGAGCTGAAACACTTGCTGTGTGTGGCTTAATGGAACATGCAAGGGGCCAGGACGAACTTGGTCCAGATGAAGTCACCACCCCTGGGGCCTGTCTTTTTTTTTTTTTTTTTTTTTTTTTTGAGACGGAGTCTCACTCTGTCACCAGGCTGGAGTGCAGTGGCGCGATCTCGGCTCACTGCAATCTTTGCCTCTCGGGTTCAAGCGATTCTCCTGCCTCAGCCTCCTGAGTAGCTGGGATTACAGGCGCGCGCCACCACGCCCAGCTAATTTTAGTACTGTTAGTAGAGATGGGGTTTCACCATCTTGGCCAGGATGGTCTTGATCCCTTGACCTCGTGATCCGCCCGCCTCGGCCTCCCAAATTGCTGGGATTACAGGCGTGAGCCACCGCGCCCGGCCCCCTGGAGCCTGTCTTAATCACTTACCCGCCAAATAAAATCTGGCTCCAGAGAGTGGAGCGTAGGCTTAAGGAATTGGGGGCGGAAGGGCGGGGAAGGTGGGGGAGGGACAGTGATAGGGAGAACAGGGAATTGTAGCAGAAATTGGGTTTATTGTTCAGAGCTGTCAATGAACACTTAACATATGCCTGTCTTAGCCTAAATCAATGAATAAATGAATGAATAAATAAATGAATGAAATGTGGGCAATGCCTATAAAGATTGCTGGGACAGGGAGGTGGGGGGAGACACCAGCTTGGGAAGTCAGGCTTGTTAGATCCTAGTTCACCACCTGATACGTTACAAATACTAAAACCATCACTTTCAAATTATTTTTACTACATTTTCCTGTTATCTGTACTCGAGTTTATTTATGTTTCTGGCATCTAGAGTCAGCCCTTCATGGGCATGAGACCCAAGCAGCCACACGAGGCTCTGAACCCAGAAGAGCATATGCTCGGTTTAATGGTCTGTCATCTTAGAATTGTTAATAAAGTTTTTATCCCGCATTTTCATTTTGCACTGAGATTCATAAATTATATAGCAGGCCCTGACTGTACCTGTATAGTGGAATTACTATATGATGGTACGCTACTGTGCATATCTTCCCCGTTCAGTGTTCAGTGCCCTCGTATCGGCAGCTTGAACTAGCTCATGGTACACGCTGGGAATCAGGGTGGGAATCAGTTGTAAACCATTTACCGGAACACCACTAGGCAGGCCACAGGATAAAGGAATAATGATGGTACACCTCCCCCTACCTCTACCACCTGGGAATTTTGGTAGAATGCCAGAATGGAAAAGAAAATCTCTTGCATAGCCATTTATAATTTGTGATAAGGAAGAAAAACAATGACCTCAGCTTTAGCATTATTTTACAATATAAATTCAGATCCCGTGACTGAAAACTGTTGGACTTAAAAGAGGACGCTCCAGGAGCGCAAAAGCAGTTGGGCCGAACGAAGCGTGCGCGCTTTGGTAACCGGCTAGAAATCCCGCACGCGCGCCTGCCTCCTCTCCCCAGGCCTGAGCTGCCCCTCCCACTGCCTTTCCTTCTTCCCGCGAGTCAGAAGCTTCGCGAGGGCCCAGAGAGGCGGTGGGGTGGGCGACCCTACGCCAGCTCCGGGCGGGAGAAAGCCCACCCTCTCCCGCGCCCCAGGAAACCGCCGGCGTTCGGCGCTGCGCAGAGCCATGGAATTCTCCTGGCTGGAGACGCGCTGGGCGCGGCCCTTTTACCTGGCGTTCGTGTTCTGCCTGGCCCTGGGGCTGCTGCAGGCCATTAAGCTGTACCTGCGGAGGCAGCGGCTGCTGCGGGACCTGCGCCCCTTCCCAGCGCCCCCCACCCACTGGTTCCTTGGGCACCAGAAGGTAGATGGGAGGGAGGAGGGAGGAAGGAGGAGGGAGGGGCGGAGGAGGATGCGGCAGAGGAGCCCAGCCGGCAGAGAGACGCAGCTTTCTTCCATCCCTGGGGACCCTCCGGCTTGCACTGGCCTTTCCAGCCCGGCCTGTGGCTCTTAGCATCATTTTTCCTTGCTCTGGAGAATTGCTTTCCCGCAGCCCCACAGGGAAAGGTCACAAAAGAGGAAGCTTTGGGGGCTGGGAGAGAGCTATTTAAAGAACCTGAATATGGAAAAAGAAAGCGAGCTGTAACTCAAGTCTGTCTCTCATTGCTTCACCAAGCCTTCCACATGTGTTGCTTTAAAAATAGCATGTTATTCTAAATAACTTATTAGTTGCAGAAAATATGCAAAATCTATCCCAATCGTTGGCACCCTTAGTCCATTTTAACAAGAGAAAATTTTCTTTTCCTAAGATTCTTGTGAAGTAAGGAGCAGCCCCAGCCAGCCACTCGAGAAATACTGATTGATGGAAATTTGTAAAGGGAGACTGTTAGCTTTTGGTCTCTCCCGTTTTTTAAATCCACTCCCACCCCTAATTAAGGTTTTTATTCATTCAACCGACTCTGAGTGGCAATTGTGTGATAGGTACTAAGATTACAAAGAGAAGCTAAGTCCCTCCCCTGCACCACCCAAGTCAGGTGCAGACTTAGGCCACAGAGAGAAAATGAAAATTTAAGGCAATGGGTGCTTTACTAGAGGCCTAGAGACAAGGGAATATCTGTCGGAGGAAAGTATACATCTCCGCCTAGAGAAGGAAGGAAAGTCTGTGAAGGGCTGAGCAGAGTCTTAAAGGATGGTTGGGTGGTGTGGGGAAGGCATTCCAGCAGAGCTACTACACGATCCTTTGGTTTCCCCACTTTCTAGTCTTTCTTATATAAAGCAACCACTTTCAACTCTTTTATCGGTTTCTTCTGGTATTTAAATACTTATTTGTAAAATAGTATTACCATATTGCATCTATTAATTTAATAAGTTTAGACATCTGCTGTGGTTTAGATATGGTTTGTTCGTCCCCACCAAGCCTCATGTTGAAATTTGATTCCCAATGTTGGAGGTGGGATCTGATGGGAGATCTTTGGGTCATTGGGATGGATCCCTCATGAATGTCTTGGTGCAGCTGTCTCCTTCATAAGTTCTCACTCTCTTAGTCCCTCTTCAACCCCCAGAACTGATTGTTGAAAAGAGCCTGCCACCTCCTCCCCTCTCTCTTCCTGTCTCTCACCATGTGGTCTCTGCACACAACTGCTCCTGTTCACTTCCACTATGAGTGGAAGCCGTCTGAGATCCTCCGCAGATGCAGATGCCAATGCCATGCTTCTTGTACAGCCTGCAGAATTGTAACCCAAATAATCCTCTTTGTGAATGACCCAGCCTCAGGTATTCCTTTACAGCAACACAAATGTACTAAGACAACATCCACCTATGAACTTCTTTATGACAGGCAATCACTTACACTTCATATTCCACTGTCCCAGTAACTATATAGTATTGTATTTTTTAAATAGAAAAACTTCTATTTGTATTATTTTTATTATGCAAATGTTATTTACTGCTGATCTAAATGGTCCTCTTTCATTTTATTTCTTTTCTCATAGAACTTTTCCCCACCCCCACAGTATTGTTAACTTCTTCCTTTTCTAATCTGCTTCATTTTTCAATATTTGTCACTATTTTTTTCCAAATCCTCTAATAGATCTGTCAAACACATCTAAATAATATTTCCAAATATGCAAACATGCCAAATCTGTTCGTTTTTTTGGAGATATTTTTGCCACAGACCTCTCCTCCTGTTCCAGTCTGGACTGGTTGTTCTTTAAGCTTGGTATGCAGATATTGTTCTAGGACTCCCCATTGATGCTATCCTGTGTTATGTATCTCTACTGTCTCATGAATACTATGTCGTCTGTTGTTTTAATTGAATTGTTTTGGCATCCTTGTCAAAAATCAATTGACCATAAATGTCAAGGTCTATTTCTGAGTCTTCAATTCTAATCCATTGATCTATATGTCTATCCTAACTCATGGACACAGAGAGTAGAAGGATGGTTACCAAAGGCTGGGAAGGATAGAGGGGAGCTGGGGGAGGAGGTAGGGAAGGTTAATGGGTACAAAAAAAATAGAAAGAATGAATAACACCTACTATTTGATAGCATAGCAGGGTGGCTATAGTCAATAATAACTGTACACTTTTAAATAAAGAGTGTAATAGGATTGTTTGCAACTCAATGGATAAATGCTTGAGGGGATGGGTACCCCATTCTTCATGATGTGCCTATTTCACATTGCATGCCTGTATCAAAAACATCTCATTTACTCCATAAATATATACACCTACTATGTATCCACAAATATTAAAAATTATAAATAAATAAATTATATAGCTATCCTTATGCTAGTACCACACTGCCTTACTGTTGCTTTGTAGTAAGCTTTGAAATCAGGAAGTATGAGTCCCCCGCACTTTGGTATTTTCCAAGATTATTTTGGCTGTTTGGAATCCTTGAGTTTCTATACAAATTTTAGACTCAGCCTATCAATTTCTACAAGGAAACCAGCTAGGGTTCTGCTTGGGATTGCACTGAATCTGTAGATCAGTTTGGGGATTATTGCCATCTTAAGAATATTAGGTCTTCTGATCCATGAACACAGAAAGCCTTTCCGTTTAGTTAGGTCATCTTTAATTTTTTTTGTTGTTTTTTTTTGTTTTTTGAGACAGAGTCCTGCTCTGTCGCCCAGGCTGGAGTGCAGTGACGCAATCTCGGCTCACTGCAACCTCCGCCTCTCGGATTCAAGCGATTCTCCTGCCTCAGCCTCCCAAGCAGCTGGGACTACAGGCACATGCCACCACACCAACTAATTTTTGTATTTTCAGTAGAGACGGGGTTTCACCATATTGGCCAGGCTAGTCTCGAACTCCTGACCTCGTGATCCACCCGCCTCACCCTCCCAAAGTGCTGGGATTACAGGCGTGAGCCACCACTCCCGGCTTTCTTTAATTTTTTTTAACGATGTTTTTGTATTTTTCAAAGTATACATCTTGCATTTCTTTTGTTAAATTTATTTGTTTTGTTCTTTTTAATTTCATTTCAGACTATTTATTGCATTCATAGTGTTTTAGAGTCCACATTCCCTCTTGACTGTCACTAAGTTTTTTTTTTTCTGTTTTTGAGAGGTTTCTATCAGAATTTTGCAGATCAGAGATGACGGACATGTCAAACTGTCTAATATTACCAACCCTCCCCATTTATCAGATCAGGATCCTTTTGGTGATTCACCATGCAGGGAAATCTAGTATCTAAGGCTCAAAAGGTGATACTGTTTTACATAGGCAGTAACATTTTATTGCTACATAATAACTACATATTTATGGAGTACCTGTGATATTTTGATACGTGCATACAATGTGCAGTGATCAAATCAGGGTGTTTAGGGTATTCATCACTTCTAACATTTATTATTTATTTGTGTTTGGAACATTTCAAGTCTCTTCAAGCTCTTCAGAAATATTCAATACATTATTGTTAACAGTGCTATTGAACACTGGAACTTATTCCTTCTATCTAAAGACAGTAACATTTTAAGTATAGTCATAAGGTTACAGAAGGATAAAGTGTGTATAGGGAAAATTCCCTACAAGATAAGAATTTCATTCCTTACTCTTAGTAATACAGGTCTTCAAACATGCCAAGGATATTCCTCCCTTGGAGCTTTGAACATGCACGTCTGTGGTTATATTGCTCTCCCTGCAAATTATTCCTAAAAGAGGCTTGCCCTGACCATTCAGACTAAAATAGCACCTCTAGTACTCTCTATCTCCAACCCTATTATTATTATCTTGGCCCTTATCACTCTCTGACACTATACTGTATACTCTTTTGCTTGTTCATTTATTATCCACCACTAACTACAATATAAAATCTGTGAGAGGTAGGATCTTTGTTTGCCACTATAAACCTAGTGCATGGTACAGTTCCTGGTGCATAATAGGTGCTCAATAAATCCTTTGTTGAATGCATAAATATATTAGGTGCTGAGAAAATTTATTTATTCAAAGATCAATTTACTGCATAGAATAGGCCAGGTGGTTTGACATTTATTCAATAGCCAACATATGGGACCTAGGATGTACATATGCAAGTGTGTGTGTGTATGTGTGTGTGCATCTGCATGTGTACTTGGATGTACTGCAGAGAACATCTATGTAGCTAAGTAGTATAAAGCACTTGGGCTCCAGAGTTAAACTGGAGTTTGAATCCTCATTAGTGGTTGCCAGCTGTACACACTTGGGCAGATCATTTAACCTAGTCTGTAGGGCTCAATTTCCTCATCTCTAAAGTAGGGATTGTAATCATATCTACTTCATAGGGTTCTTGATGTAAATATTAAATAACATAGAACATGGAAAGCATTTAGCAGCACCTAGTTCATAGCAGTGCTTGATAAATGTTCGCTGTTGCTATTTGGGGGCACTATGCATTTTCTGAACATTTCTGAACAATGTTTACTAAATATATGTAGTACCCGTTTTCAAGTGTATTTAGATGCTTCTCTGGGGATGAAGAAATATAAATTAAATATAGTACAGTATTCACAACAGTTTTCTGTCCTTTTTGTCTAGTCAGGAGTTACAAAAAGTATAATGAAATACTTTCATATGGCTGGGGTGTTTATGAAAATTTTTTACCTAAACAAACAATTGTCATATTAGTTTACAATATTCATGAGGGCAAAGGCCTTGTCTTCCTTATATTTCTCTGTATCTCTACCACCTGGTACGTGTGATAGACAATAAATACTTGTGTGTTTATTGTTTGTAAATGAATAAATGAAAAAATATTCACATTGTTGAAAACCACTACTCTGGATAGTCAGTGGGTGCTTATCACTGGCTTGATTATGGCAACATTAACAAAAAAGTGCAGTATTTTAGAAACTAGGTTTCAAGACTCTCAACCTTTCAGTGGCCTTGAACTATCCAGAGAACACTTTATGGGTTAAAATTGCTAAATGATAACAGAGAAAAATGGGAGCCAGAGTTGTCCACCTCTCCAGAGGATGAGAGCAAACAATCCTGCAGCAGATACCGTGTGATTGGTCACACGAGGAAAAATCTGGCAGCCTTAAGATTACTTTGCAGCGGGGGACTCCCACCATCATGCTCAAGTGTGTAGATGGGCACACCAAAACACACACATGCAGGTGCCCTCCACTTTACACAAGAAGCAAATGTAAATGAATCTTGTTTTCAGTGATTTAGAGAAACAATTTAAGTGAGCCATTACTCATCTGCTTCTAAAAGCAAAAACTCCTTCTCTGGTGGTAGTATTTGCACTCTCATTTGTAAATGTTGGAAGCTGAAAGTTTTGTATTTGAGTTTGCTTTAAGATTCACACATCTGTGTAAATGGACCTTCTGTTGTTGGGGGGAGAATTTGGATTTTCTTTATAGATAGAGTTGGCAATTTTTTAGAGAGAAGCATTTACTGCTAAGTCATGAGAAATAATCACTGGTGCATAATTAGAGAGAGGAACAGGAAGAAGAAATGGTGAGCTGGATGTAGGGTCATGCCCCATTTAGTAACTGTTAGTTTCCCACATAGGAAATACTTCTTTTTAGCTTCCAGATCCCACTCCAATCTGAGTGTGTGATGTTGGCAAGTGAGGCAGAGAGTGTGACTCGGCTCACCCTCTATTGGGACAAGAGTTCACAGTAAATGTCATTCAACAGTGACTTGGTCTGGGGGTACAGGATATATTAATATTGAGAAGATAAATACACTAACTTTGTTTAGAGAATTATCCCCCAAGCTTAGAAGTCCCAAAGAAAGCATGTTATGTCACTTCCAGAAAAGTCTCAGGCTCCTCTGCTTGTGTGACCTTATCAGGTCCTGAACTCAGCTTGTGTCTATAAGAGGGGACAGGTCCAGCTTGGCTGGCTAATTACTTTTACTTTTTTCACTGCAGTTTATTCAGGATGATAACATGGAGAAGCTTGAGGAAATTATTGAAAAATACCCTCGTGCCTTCCCTTTCTGGATTGGGCCCTTTCAGGCATTTTTCTGTATCTATGACCCAGACTATGCAAAGACACTTCTGAGCAGAACAGGTAAGAAGAGGGGGAAAGCTCTGGGACCTATTCCTCCTAGAAGTGAAATGCATAAAACCCATAGGCAAGATTCCAAAGCAAAGATTGGTTTGGGGCCTTTAAGAGACACAGCAGCAAGTATGGGGAGGTGACAGGTTTCCTACCAATACTGAAGGGGATTCCCATATCCTCCCCAGTCCCTTGTCTTGTTCAGGTATGCATGGGCACGTTGAAGTCGGTATAACTTAAAGCCTAGCTGGCATTACCAGACTTGCCAGGCAAGGCTTCCCTTGGCCTCTGTGGGTTTTATGACTTCAGTGTCAGCAACACTTCCCACTCCTACCCCTGGTCTCGAGCATAAGTCTCAAGAGGGTGGGAAATCAGCAGTAACTCTACCTCTGCTGGTTCAGTATGAAAGCCTGAATGCTAGATCATTAATTTACCCATCAGACCTCTTGATAGTGATCCAAATTTTAGCTTTCCTCTCCACATATTTCTCAACTATGTCCCCTTTTCAGGTATGAGTCATCTACTTCCCCACCCAATCCTTTTTTAAGGCTTTCATTGTGGATTATTTCATAGCATAATACTAAAATGTCCAGTTTTTGCCCTGTCAACTTTGTAAAAGGAAGGTTTTTATATTCCAGTCTTCCCTGTGCATTGTATCCACCACTCCTAATAAAACCTAATGAAAGAAAGAGCCTTGCCCTGACTATCTCCATGTTTCCAGTCCCCCTGCTCTGATTTGTGTCATGAGACTTATGCTCGAGACCAGGGGTAGGAGTGGGAAGTGTTGCTGACACTGAAGTCATAAAACCCACAGAGGCCAAGGGAAGCCTTGCCTGGCAAGTCTGGTAATGCCAGCTAGTCATGTTCACCTGTTAAGGACAAGAACAGTAGAACACCTCCACTTTGGGGTTCACAAAAACACCAAGAGGCATTGACACCTCAATACATGGTGTCTACTGACCTCTGCTCTGATCGTTAATTTTCCTTCTGTAAAGGATATATGTTGTCCCAACTACGGTTATGGAAACTTTGCAACCCTCAGGCAAACTCTGTTCTTGTTGGAGGAAGTGTAAACAAGGGAATAATCAGGGTTTCTGTACTTGTCTGCCTCATAGGGCTTGCTGTTCTCTGAAACTGAGCCAAGACTAACACAAGTCTTTCCCCAGGCTGCCAAAGGCAGCAGGAAGTAAGCCCTGGGCTCTCTTTTTCTCACTTTTTGTGGTTGGTGCAGAAATGCAGAAAACCGTCACCAACTTGAACTGATAATGAATGCTCCCTCTAATGATGTCTTTTGTTTCCTCTGCTTGACTCTGCAGATCCCAAGTCCCAGTACCTGCAGAAATTCTCACCTCCACTTCTTGGTATGTATGTGCAAATGAGAGGTATAACCCACTCTCATTCAAAGTCCCCTTTCCATAGTAGAGCATGCCAAAGAAACTGAAATCTGAATTCAAAAGCACAAAGAGTGCAAGGTAGAGCTATACTGAACGTTATCTAGGGGAAAGATTGAAGGGGAGCTCTAAGGTCAACACACCACCACTTCCCAGAAAGCTTCTTCATCCGTTTCTCTCCCACAAAGTCTTATTCTCAAGGCAGCAGATACATGAATCTGTCCCCTCTCTCTTTAAAACTACAGCCTTGGCCAGGCACAGTGACTCATGCATGTAATCCCAGCACTTTGGGAGGCCAAGGTGGGAGGATCACTTGAGGTCAAGATTTCAAGACCAGCTGGGCCAACATGGTGAAATCCCATCTCTACTAAAAATACAAAAATTAGCCAGGCATGGTAGCATGTAGGCCTGTAGTCCCACTACTTGGGAGGCTGAGACATGAGAATCGCTTGAACCTAGGAGGTGGAGGTTGCCGTGAGCTCAGATTGTGCCACTGCACTCCAGACTAGGTGACAGAGCAAAACTCTGTCCGCAGCCCCCAACAACAAAAAAAAAACTACCCAAACTGCAGTCTCACCATCCCTATTCTTGTTTTCTTTATCCTTCTCTCGTTTTCTTGGATGTTTTCCTTTCTTTTTGGAGTTCCTTTATTTCCACATGCGAGTCAGTAAAATTTTGCTCTAGAGTTTGGCAATATTCTGTCAGCAGATAAACTAAGCTCTTTAATTACATAATTGGTATTTATGTTAAACAAGACATGAATGAAAGAAAAGAATATAGGCTTGTATTAGGAACCACTTAAATTTGAATCTTGCCCCCTCCTGCATTGACTAGTTAAATATGATCTTGGGGAAGTCATTTAATCTCTCCCTATCTCAGTTTCCTCATCTTTGACAATAAGGATGAGACTCACATTGCTGGGCTGTTATGAGGATTAAATGAAATACATATTTTTAGCACTACATGTAATGGCCACCATTGTATGAGTGACAGATCATGCATCATGAGCCTGGAATGTTGTAAGCATTCAATGAATGGTATCAATTATGTATTAATAAACTTTAAAGTCCTTTTAAAGCCAAATCCTAATGACCAGTCTGGCAATAGAAGATTGTGAAGCATTAGCCTTGGTAAGTATTTCCACATAGTATCATTCATAGACCTGGGCTCAAGGAGGAAATATCAGGGGACAGAGTGGACACTCTTGTCTCTTTCCTTGTGAATTTATGTTCATCATATAGTTTATGGATTGGTTTGGAGTGGAAAGGAATTCACTTGCTCTGTTACTAGTGTGAGCTAGGGAGTAGGTTGGCTACCTTATGTATTCACTTTCAGTTAACCTCCACAGCAACACAGGGAAAAAGGTATTTAGTATCATAGTTCATTATTGAGAAAAGTAAACCTCAGGAAGATTGAGTCACTTATTCAGTTACTACATAGGTAGTAACTGGTGATTTCAGGATTAGCGTGCTAATCTTATAAGGCTTTGAAATTTATTAGACTTTGAAACTGTTTCTCACAATATTAAATACATCCATCCCAGAGGTAAGCTTCTAAATTCACCTTCATCTATTAAATTGCATTGCACATTAATACGAGTACTACTTTGATACTCCACTGTTGCATGACTGCCTGTGGGTCATGGTTACTCCACGCTGCCTGTGTTCCTCATCTATCCTTCATCTCATCTAATTAAATGGCATAAGGTTTTCTGCCTTTTATTTCTCAAGGAAAAGGACTAGCGGCTCTAGACGGACCCAAGTGGTTCCAGCATCGTCGCCTACTAACTCCTGGATTCCATTTTAACATCCTGAAAGCATACATTGAGGTGATGGCTCATTCTGTGAAAATGATGCTGGTAAGTAAAGGGGGAAAGTGCTCTGTGCATTGCGAAATGCTCCCAGCAATGGACAGTATTAGGTATGTGTTTTGTGGGCCATGAAAATAAAAAATCAGTTTCTAAAAATTTAACCAATGTACACGTACTTATTGAACAATAGGTGTCTGTAAAAAATTTGTTATGTTCTTTGAGTGATAATATTAATAAAAAGATCTGGTCCTCTGTCTTAGATATATTTTGAGATTTTATGGCAGCAAACCAAGTACCAAATGGTGATAGTTAGATAGTAAGTGCTGTAGATGTGTTTCATGGAGGGCGGGTCTGTACAAACCTACCCCAAAGTCTGAGGAAACTGAGAGGCTGAAGAAAAAGGCTGACAGTTTCTTAAAAAGAAACATTCAATAGAGGCTTTCAAACAAAAACCATGGCTGTTTCACACAGTTGTGAGACAAGATGGTGGATCCCTGTGCCATTACCCTCCAGACCCAGGAATTATAGACCATGGGGAGGGGCATACATGCTTCAGAGGAAATTATTAATAGTAAGAACTTGCCCTAAGGGCAAGATTTATGGTAAGTACATGCTCTTACACAAGGAACAATAGATAAACTGGAAATCTCAGAGCATTCCTGGAACTAGAGTTAATTGGAAGTCAAGATGGCAGATTAGCTTCCAGTATGGAGTTGCGTTAACTTCACAAGGTGACAGGTAAGGATGGCAGGAGCAGCTATAACAGCTTCAGATTCAGAGGAAACTCAAATTTGCCATGAAACATAAGCTGGACTTGAATATGTAGGTAATATGGATGAGAGTATTCGAGGCAGAGTGAGGGAGCATGAACAAAGGTTTGGAGATTGGCATGGACTTGCCCAGTGGCTATAAAGGACCAAGCAAAAGAGAATGTGTGTATTAAAGTTGCAGATGTGAATTTCCTCTTGTAGATAGTGGAGGATCATTAGGCCCTGACCTACACCTTTCAAAGGGGCTGAAGAACATTCCTGTGAGTGGTCTCTGATTTATAAACGAGTTCTATTCCAAAACTCTATTTGTACAATGGCTTCAATTTTTAAATCATATTTATTTTGAAATAAGACAAGTAATTCACTAATACACTTTCATCATAGACACCTCAAACACCACAAACAAAGACAAAGTTTTCCTCTCACTTCATGTGCAAACCCATCCCTGTTCCCATACAAACCTCTGTTACCAGCTCAATGATTGGGTTCTCAGCCAAACTCACAGAAGCAGTTTGAACCCGAAGTCAGCCAGGACTGTGGTAAAAACATCAGTGTGAGTTCTCAAGGCAGAGACCCAGAGACTGTGCAGTGCAAGCTAGTGAGAGAGAAGAGCATCCTTTTGTGACTCTAGTGCTGTTCAGGTGCAGCACAGTTTCAGATCCTCCAGTGACTGCACTGGAGTTGCATTAGAGTTTTCTCTCTATTTCTCGGAGCGCTTCCTCCCCTCCTCATTTCTCAGCCACATATTTCTCCGGGATTTTTCTCACACTTCCTTCCTCTGCTGCATCATTCCAGAGTTTTTCAAGCTTGGAAGCCTCCCTCCTGTTCTCATTTCTTCTACATTCACCATTTGTTCTTAGTAAAACTTACGTAATTGAGAAAAAGGCTCTTTGACTAAACAATTTGCACTTAGGAAAAAGTTTTTAAAATTCTCTTTGCCTTTGTGGTTGCCAAGTCTCTGAAATTTTAAAAGTTCAGGTTGACCGATAGGTCTTAAGCTAGGGGCTAGGTGCTTAAGACCTATCGGTCGACCTGAACTTTTAAAATTTCAATTTATTTTAATTTTTACACAAAGTATGCTTATTATACAAATACATTTTCAACCAGGGACCTTGTGACAGTTTAAAAATGTCAGGCAAAGCATTTCAAGCAGTATAAGTAGGTCTCTTTGTGGGGAAGTTAAGCCAGGTCAGGCTTTGCTGGGGGCAGCTCCCTGCAGCAGCTCCTCTCCACACTTGCTCTGTTTCTCACTTTTGAATCCAAACGTTTTTGAAAATGTTCTGAGTTTATTTTAAATGTGGCTATGGTGGTTGAGAGCAGTGGCAGGGTACCTAGCAAGTTTGGAATTGAAGTTGGAGGAAGCCCTGGGGTAAACCCCTTGTAATTATGGGTCTTGTGTCAATGATTGCTTTAATGGAACTCTGGTCTGTTTGAAAGCAGAGTTATGGTAATAATTGAAAAGCCGCAGATCTTTAACTCAGCCATTTACCATATATGCAGTTTTCTCCATGCTCCTTCTCACTCCGCTGGGTGTATTTTTCCCTTCCTCGTGCCCTGTGTAAGCACATGGCTTATTTACTCATGTGATCTTTGGTTCCTGCTGGGTCAGGGTTGTCTCCATTAGATCATAAAAACAGGGCCAGGCAGGAGCCTTCAAATGAAGGCAATTTGGTCATGGTGGTGGTGATGATGTTGGTCTTGACCTCCTGTGCCAGGATAAGTGGGAGAAGATTTGCAGCACTCAGGACACAAGCGTGGAGGTCTATGAGCACATCAACTCGATGTCTCTGGATATAATCATGAAATGCGCTTTCAGCAAGGAGACCAACTGCCAGACAAACAGGTCAGTGGTGGGAGAGCAAAAAAGATATTTCTTCACATTTTCTAAGTTGTTTATTAACACATTATCCCAACTTTCTCTTCTAGCACCCATGATCCTTATGCAAAAGCCATATTTGAACTCAGCAAAATCATATTTCACCGCTTGTACAGTTTGTTGTATCACAGTGACATAATTTTCAAACTCAGCCCTCAGGGCTACCGCTTCCAGAAGTTAAGCCGAGTGTTGAATCAGTACACAGGTATTTGTTGGGTTTGGGTTGCCCACGTCCATACGCTGCCATGATTGTACTGTGTCTGTCTAGAGGGATAAACCTTAATATGACAAGAGAAAGAATCTTTGTTATTAATGGAGCTTTTATATAGACACTGCTCCAAAGAAATTTGACTTGAGTCCTTTATAAGACTTTGCTTCAACCATAGCAGTATTATCAGAATTTTTATATATATATATATACACTATTTTTATTATGGACAATTATTATTAATACAAATATAAGTAGGCACTTAAGAGTTCCAGACATACATGGAATATGGCTTTTTGCACAGCGATTGCAGTAATAATAATGACAAGCTAAAAACATTCATGCAACATAGGAATGGAGAGTGGAACAGAGTAAACATGGACATGCACCCGAAAGAATATTGATTCAAAAACAGTTTTAGCAAGCATAAACACAAAAGTTGAAATAGATTAAGCTTTTTAAGCAATTCAACATTACTTGTCATGAATGCCATAATGGAGAATACTTATCAAGCAGTGAATTAATCCTTCATCAGCTTCACCACTTACTAGCAGTTACTAGTAAGTTACTTACTGCTTTGTTTCAGTGTCATCTATAAAATGGAGATTAAAAAAGAACCTATCTCATACATTTGTTGTTACGATGAGTGGGTTAATATATATAAAGCATTTAGGACAGTGCCTGGCACTGAATAGATGTTAAATGTAAAGTATAGTTATGTCAAATGTCTTTGCTTCCAGGAATTTTGCAAGACACACCAACATATGCACACTTACACATACATATATGCATACATGCACATAGATATTATAAAGAGGACACTCAGAGAAGCAGGTTATAAACAATTTAAGGCATAAATGGGCATTATAAATAGCAGCAGTTCCCAAGTCTTTCTGCATCATTGCACACACAGAAAATGTTAATGTTTTTGTGCTTCATTGGAGTAAACAGGAATGGATTTGGGGGAAGCTATACAGAACTTTGTAAAAAAAAATCTTTACTTTTTAAATATTATACAATTATGATGAAAAAGCAAAATGCAAAGTGTTAGGGAAAATATTAAATGTTAAATTTATTCAAAACTTAAAACCTTTTCAATTTTTTTTTTTTTTTTTTTTTGAGATGGAGTCTCTATCACTCAGGCTGGAGCGCAGTGGTGTGATCTCAGCTCACTACAACCTCCACCTCCCAGGTTCAGGCAATTCTCCTACCTCAGCCTTCTGAGTAGCTGGGATTACAGGCACTGCCACCACACCTGGCTAATTTTTTTAAATTGTTTATTTTTATTTAGTCAAATATATCAATATTTTATTTTATTGCATCTGGATTTTTAGTAATCACAAAAAGCCATTCTCTATTCCAGGGTTTCTCAACCCTCAGCACTAATGGCTTCTTAGATTAGATAAGTCCTTGTTGTCAAGATGTGTGCATTGTAGGATGTTTAGCTACATCCCTGACATCTACCCACTCGATGTAGTAGAGCTCTGATAGTTATAGCAACCATAAATAACTCCAGACATTATTGAATGTTCCCAGGGCCCCCAGTTGAGAACCACTGCCCTGTACCCAGGTTGTAGAGAAAATTATTTATGTTTTCTTGTAGTACTTGTATAATTTCATTATTTTCATATTTAAATCAGAGATCTAAACTCCATTTAGAATTTATTCCTATATATGGTGTGAGGTATTGATCTAATTTTTCCAAATGTTTATCCAGTTGTCCCATCACCATTATTTAAAAGTTTATCTTTTCAAGTGATTTGAGATAACCATCACATTCTAAACGGATACATGTACTGGTATCTGTTTTGGATAAGAGTATATTTGGATGTTCTCGTGTATTCCATTGATCTATCTACCAATGTACCAGAATCACACTGTTTTAATTAAGGAGATTTTGTGGCTTTTTTCAACATTAATAGACCTTATTTTTAGAAAAGTTTTAGGTTTGCAGAAAAATTCAGCAGAAAGTACAGAGAGTTCTCATATTACCCATGTAACAAACCTGTACATGTACCCCTGTATCTAAAATAAAAGTTGAAATTTTTTAAATAGTAAATAAATATTACCTCTGTTCCATATTTTTGTTTTGTTTTTTTTCTCTCAGCTCCTTCAATTATAAATATATTGGCATTTCTTTGCCTGTCTTCTATTTCATTCCATTTTATTTAATAACTTTTCCGTGAAGATAAAATATTAGACTGAGGAAGAAAAGAATAATTGGTCACTTGCATCTAAACTTGAAATCATCTTAATTTTATTGCCCACATACTGATGGAAACTATGTTTTTTATTTGTGTTGTTTATCTTTGGAGCTTTAATCAAAAGTCCCTTTGATGAGAAAATAAACCATCTGTGAAAATTAGATCTATTTAAACGTCTGGAAATCAGGCAAGATTTGAAGCTATTCACTAACCATGGCTTGCTTTATAATTTATTTGACTTTGCCATCACTTTGGTAATTGGAAACTATTTTTCTACCCAGATACAATAATCCAGGAAAGAAAGAAATCCCTCCAGGCTGGGGTAAAGCAGGATAACACTCCGAAGAGGAAGTACCAGGATTTTCTGGATATTGTCCTTTCTGCCAAGGTAAATCTTCTAAATTTCTAAGCCTGCTCAAGTGACCAGTTAATTATGTAAGTAGGTGGGTAAGTGGGAATGGGATGGGGAGACAAGAATAAAACCGATTGACTAAATTTAACTGTACTTTGAATTGATGAGCAGCTTCATGCAATTTGAGACAAAGAGAGAATTCTGCAACTGTGTCGCTAGAGGAGGGTTAGTAAAGACTAAACGAACGATTTGACAAGATTTGAGGATTGTCATATGGATACATGGATTTTAGGGCATCATGAAAAAATGGTCACATGGATAAACGTAAAAATTATGATGATAAGGTCCTGGGAAATCTGGGAGTTTGAAGAGAATTTCTAGGGCCTGTTGATTGAGGGCCCTTTGTGCAAGGCCTGCTTTTCTTATCTAACCTTGGTTCTCCTTTATGCTTTGGGCAGAATATGGTTTATACCACATATTTGTTGAACTGAATTAAAATTTAAACCCCTATTTAAAGCTCTGATTTTTCCCCTCAAATCATTATTGTGGTTGTATCTCCAAACATTTATAAACTGGCATTTTATTTAAAATATTTGTATTGTACTTTCTAGGATGAAAGTGGTAGCAGCTTCTCAGATATTGATGTACACTCTGAAGTGAGCACATTCCTGTTGGCAGGACATGACACCTTGGCAGCAAGCATCTCCTGGATCCTTTACTGCCTGGCTCTGAACCCTGAGCATCAAGAGAGATGCCGGGAGGAGGTCAGGGGCATCCTGGGGGATGGGTCTTCTATCACTTGGTAAGATCTGCACCCCTAAATTTTCCTGCTAGTTTTCCCCCTGAGATTTTGCTTTATTTTTTGCGCTGGTACCTTAGTGACCCTAGTGCCTCAGGATATGTGTAGGTGAAACAGAAGAAGTAGGCTACTTTTCTGTTCTTTCTAAAGAGAGCTCCAAATTATTCTCTTGTCTTTCAGGAAAAAAAAAAAAAGTTTATTTATCCATAAATTGTCTGTCATTGGTTTTCTAATCAATGGTGTGTGAAATGTCTTATTTCTTTATTTCACCTTGGCTCTGATGCATTGGAAATGAGGACTTGATCCCTGGGCTGGCACTTAGAACTTAAACAATAGGGTCCAAGTGGAGCTCCTCTTCTGAGAGAGCTGAATGATTAGCTGCATTATTTAAGGCTCATTTTAGACATCTCCCAGCCGCTTGTCACCAATTTTATTCCTCAGGATTGATTTTAGACTTCAGACATAATATTCGATGATATATACTATAGTTAAGTTTAGCAAATATGGACTGAGGACATTTTAAATACTGAGACTTTTTTTATGACTACAATTTATTGTGGGCCCTGTCTTCGGTGAGCTAATGGTCTAATACAGGAGACAGGAGACAGACCTCCAAATTGCAGTGTAGCATAATGAGGGCAATGATAGAGATATGTGCTGGCTAACACAAAGACATAGAAGACAGGTACCTACCCTGGCATGGGAGCTCAAGGAGACTTCCTTGACATTTACGCTGACTGCAGGATAAGTAGGAGTTAGCCAGGTGGAAACTGTCATCTCTATCTTGCTAGACTTTAAGCATATACTGCTGTTAATAAAGCCCAGGTTATGCTGTTTGCAAAGATAAAATGTGTTCCTGACATAATCTGGTCAAAGGGACAGAAAGACAGAAATGCTAAGGACAATTCAGCAGCATGACCAGATAAAAAACACCATATTTCATATGCAAAAGTCAACTCAATTGAAACATTTGTAAAACCAAATTTGACATTATAAAAGTATATCAGAGATCTCATTTTATAAGGAAATAGAAGCCCTTTCCTACCATAAACTAAAGATTTAATCTATATAGCACAAAATACAATGTTGAGTAATCATTTTTAATTTATTTTTTAACTGACAAAAATTGTGCATATACATGTTATATATATATGTATGTGTGTATATATATATGATGTACAACATGATATTTTGATA
Source organism: Homo sapiens (assembly GCF_000001405.40). Taxonomy (NCBI): domain Eukaryota; kingdom Metazoa; phylum Chordata; class Mammalia; order Primates; family Hominidae; genus Homo; species Homo sapiens. The sequence continues at coordinate 47,040,727 of NC_000001.11, forward strand.
TATGTATACACTGTGGAATGACTAAATCTATCAATGGACATGTTCATTAACTCATACTTATCATTTTTTTGTGGTAAGGACATTTAAAATCTACCCTCTTAGCAATTTTCAAGTATACAAATTGTTAGTAACTCCAATCACATATTGTACAATGCATCTCCTAAACTTATGCCTCCTGTCTGACTGAAATTTTGTATCCTTTGACTAACATCCCTGTAATCCCCCATTCTCCCACAGCCCCTGGTAACCACTGTTCTACTCTCTGCTTCTTTGAGTTTAATGTTTTAGATTTCCACATGTGAGATCATGTGGAATTTGTCTTTCTGTGCCTGGCTTATTTCACTTAGCATAATGTCATCCAAATTCATCTCTGTTGTCATAAATGACAAGATATTTGTCTTTTCTATGGCTAATTGTTAGTCCATTGTTTATATATATACCATGTTTTCTTTATCCATTTATCCAGTGATGGACACTTAAGTTGATTTCTATATCTGGGCTATTGTGAATAATGCTGCAATGAACATGGGAATGTAGATGTCTCTTCAATGCACTGATTTCATTTCGTTTGGTTGTATATCCAGAAGTGGAATTGCTGCATCATATGGTAGTTCTATTTTTAATTTTTTGAGGAAACTCCGTACAATTTTCCATATGGCTGTACTAATTTACATTCCAACCAAAAGTGTATAAGGGTTCTGTTTTCTCCACATCCTCACCAACATTTGTCTTTTTGGTAATAACCATTCTAATGAGCATGAGGTGATGTCTCATTATGGTTTTAATTTACGTTTCCCTGATGATTAGTGATGTTGAGCATTGTTTTAAATACCTGCTGGCCATTCATGTCTTCTTTGTAGGAATGTTATTTTAGGTTTTTCTCATTTTTAAATCTAGTTATTTGTTTTCTTGCTTTTGAATTGTGTGAGTTCCTCATATATTTTGAATATTAACCCCTTATCAGATGTATCATTTGCAGACATGTTCTCCCATCCTTTAAGTTGTCTCTTCACTATGTTGATTGTTTCCTTTGTTGTGCAGAAGCTTTTTAGTTTGCTGCAAAACCATTTATCTATTTTTTCTTCTGTTGACTATACTTCCAGAGTTGTATCCAAAAAATCATTGCCAAGAATAATATCAAGAAGCTTTTCTCTATGTTTTTTTCTAGTAGTTTTATAGTTTCAGGTCATATGTTTAAATCTTTAATCCATTTTTAGTTGATTTTTGTATATGGAGTGAGATAAAGGTCCACTTTTATTCTTCTACTAGTGCATATCCAGTTTTCTCAACACCATTTATTGAAGATACTGCCCTTTCACCACTGTATGTTACTGGAACCTTTGTAGATCAGTTGACAATAAATGTGTGGGTGTATTTCTGGACTCTTTATCCTGTTTTATTAGTTTATATGTCTCTTTTTTTAGAAGCTCTATGCTGTTTTGGTGACTAGAGCTCTGTAGTCAATTTCAGATCAGGTAGTATGATGCCTCCAGCTTTGCTCTTTTTGCTCAAAATTGCTTTGGCTATTTGAGTTTTTTTATTCCATACGAATTTTAGGGCTTTTTTTTTTTTTCGATTACTGTGAATAATGCCATTGGAATTTTGATGGAGATTGCATTGAATCTTTGGGTAGTATGGATATTTTAACAGTATTAATGCTTCCAATTAATGAACACAGGGTATTTTGCAATTTGTGTTTTCTTCAATTTCTTTCACCAGTGTTTTTTTCTTAATTTAATTGTTTTATTTCCATAGGGTTTGGGTAACAGGTGGTGTTTGGTTATGAGTAAGTTCTTTAGTGGTGATTTGTGAGATTTTGATGCACCCATCACCTAAGCAGTATACACTGTACCCAATTTGTAGTCTTGTATCCCTCACCTCCCTCCCACCATTTCCCCCAAGTCCCCAAAGTCCATTGTATCATTCTTATGCCTTTGCATCCTCATAGCTTAGCTCCCACTTATGAGTGAGAACATATAATGTTTGGTTCTCCATTTCTGAGTTACTTCATTTAGAATATTGGTCTCCAATTCCATCCAGATTGCTGCGAATGCCTTTATTTTGTTCCTTTTCATGGCTGAGTAGTATTCCATAGTATATACATCCCACAATTTCTTTATCCATTCTTGATTGATGGGCATTTGGACTGGTTCCATGTCTTTACAATTGCGAATTGTGCTGCTACAAACATGCAGGTGCAAGTGTCTTTTTCATATAATGACTTCTCTTCCTCTGGGTAGATACCCTGTAGTGGGATTGCTGGATCAAATGGTAGTTCTACTTTTAGTTCTTTAAGGAATCTCCACACTGTTTTCCATAGTGGTTGTACTAGTTTACATTCCCACCAACAGTGTAGAAGTGTTCCCTGTTCACTGTATCCACACCATCATCTATTATTATTTGATTTTTTGATTATGGCCATTCTTGCAGGAGTAAGGTGGTATTGCACTGTGGTTTTGATTTGCATTTCCCTGATCATTAGTGATGTTGAGCATTTTTTCATATATTTGTTGGCCATTTGTACATCTTCTTTTGAGAATTGTCTATTCATGTCCTTTGTCCATTTTTTGATGGGATTATTTGTTTTTTTCTTGCTAATTTGAGTTCCCTGTAGATTCTGGATATTAGACCTTTGTTGGATGTGTAGGTTGTGAAGATTTTCTCCCACTCTTTGGGTTGTCTGTTTACTCTGCTGATTATTTCTTTTGCTGTGCAGAAACTTTTTAGTTTAATTAAGTCCCACCTATTTATCTTTTCGTTGTTGTTGTTTTTTGGGGTTGTTTTGTTTTGGCTTGGTTTTGCATCTGCTTTTGGGTTCTTGGTCATGAAGTCTTTGCCTAAGCCAATATCTAGAAGGGTTTTTCTGATGTTCTAGAATTTTTATGGTTCAGGTCTTAGATTTAAGTCCTTGATCCATCTTGAGTTGATTTTTGTATAAGGTGAGAGATGAGGATCCAGTTTCATGCTTCTACATGTGGCTTGCCAATTATCCCAGTACAATTTGTTGAATAGGGTTAATATTTAAAGCTTTATATATTTAGGTGTTCCTATTTTGGGTACATATTTATTTACAACTATCATATCCTCCTGATGGATTGACCCCTTTCTCATTATATAATGGTCTTCTTGTCTCTTTTTACAGTTTTTGTCTTAAAGCCTAATTTGTCTGATAAAAGTTCAGCTACCTTTGCTCTCTTTTGGTTTCTATTTGCATGGAATATTTTTTTCCAACCCTTCGCATTCACTCTATGTGTGTTCTTAAAGATGAAATGAGATGCTGTAGGGGCATATGCTTGGGTCTTGTTTTATTCATTCATTCAGCCACCCTTTTGATTAGAGAATTTAATTCATTTGTATTCAAGGTAATTATTGACAGACAAGGACTTACTACTGCCATTTTGTTAATTGTTTTCTTGATGTTTTATAGATCTTTTGTTCCTTTCATCCTCTCTTACTCTTTTCCTTTGTGATTAGGTGCTTTTCTCTAGTGGTGTACTTTGATTTTTACTTTTTATCTTTTGTTGCTCTACTATAGGTTTTTGCTTTGTGGTTACCATGAGGGTTACATAAAGCATAGTTATAAAAGGCTATTTTAAACTGATAACAGCTTAACTTTCAACACTTAAAAAAACTATACACTTTTACTCTACCAACTGCCCTCCATTTTATGTCTTTGATGTCATAATTTACCTAGTTTTGGAGATGTGTCCCCTTATTGTGTATCCCTTAACAAATTATTGTAGCAACAGTCATTTTTAATAGTTTTGGCTTTTAACTTTATACTAGAGATAGAATTAATTAACATACCACCACTACATTATTAGGGTATTCTAAATTGACTATGTATTTACCTTTATCAGTGAGATTTTTGTTTTCAATTTTCATGTTGTTAATTAGTATTCTTTCATTTCAACTTGGAGAATTCACATTAGCATTTTTTGTAAGATGGGTCTAGTAGTGGTGAACACCCTCAACTTTTGTTTATCTGGAGATGTCTTTACCTCTGCTTCATTTTGAAATATAACTTTTGTTCCATGATTGAAATGGACAAAATTGTTTTTTTAATTATGCAAAGTGCCAGGGTAAGCAGAATTACTCTTTTTTTTTTTTTCTGAGACCGAGTTTCACTCTTGTTGCCCAGGCTGGAGTGCAGTGGCGCAATCTCTCAGCTTACCGCAACCTCTGCCTCCCAGGTTCAAGCGATTCTTCTGCCTCAGCCTTCCTGAGTAGCTGGGATTACAGGCATGCACCACCATGCTCGGCTAATTTTGCATTTTTAGTAGAGACGGGGTTTCTCCATGTTGGTCAGGCTGGTCTTGAACACCCGACCTCAGATGATCCGCCCACCTAGGCCTCCCAAAGTGCTGGGATTGCAGGTGTGAGCCACTGCGCCTGGCCAGAATTACTCTTATTTATCCTGAGCTTGAGGAAGAAAGAATTCAAAATTAAAATTTCACATTACCTAATGGCCAAAGCCTGCATTCAAAATAAGTAATCAGAAAAACATATAAAAACACAATAAGATAAACAGACTAAATATATGCAGTCATTTTATGGAACCAATCTGACTAGATTGGATGCAGACTAGGTAGGATGCAAATTTAAAAAAAACTTTATTCTTCTTCCACTTATAAACTTTAAACCTGCTTTGTGGAGCAAGTTCTTTTTATCTCTGGGGAAAGATCCTGAGTAAGTCTCATAGAGTTCTCATTCATTTAAATCACAAGAACAATCTTAGGTCAGTAATTAAACTATCTGGCCCAGTGTAATACTGAAACTTTCAAATACTTATCCACTTGAGCTCTTCTTTCCATCCCAGCTTGGTACTTCTTTGGTCCTAGAAGCCAGCAGTGGTTTATCATCGACTTATTCTTACTGACTAGCTCCCCAATACCCAGTAGCTGCTGTTTCTGGGCCCTCCAGGAATGGTTTTAGGAGGAAAGGGGATAAGGAGTAAAGGGCTGGTACTATTGTGATCATGCCAAAGGGCTTGGTGGATATTCCATGCTTCCCTTTCTCTCAAGAGGAAACTCCCTTTCTTGGAGACTCTCTCACTAGAACTTTCCAGAGGTGATTCAGGGGACAAGAGAATAATTGTCCTTAGGCAGACTCTTTTTCAAGCTGGTCCCAGAGCTTTCCCTCTTGCCAGTTAATTGGTTTAAGGACACAGTTGCACATCCTTGCCTTGCCTCTGCTGCTGTCCTCTGCCTTTCTGTCTGTTCTGAGTTATAGCCTTTCACATCAGTCCTGTACTCCCCAAACTCCAAGGAGCACAAGTCAGATCATCTAAGTGATCCTCTTGAAGCCTCTTGTTTAAGATGGGGGAAGCACCCTTCCTTTTCCATGGCACTCTGGCATTCCAACAACACTTTAAATAATTTTTTCTCTCAAAATTCTTAAGCCTCTCCTCTTTAATCCTTCGCCATTTTTATGTATTATTACTTTATATGATGAGCTAAGAGTTACAAAACTGGTTTTTAGAAATCTCCTTAGCAAATGTTTTACTGCTAGTTTAGCAGCTCACTTTATAATAAGGATATATGATATATTTCTTTGGTTCCTCTGCCTCTGGGACCTCAGCTCATCCTGAGGCAGAGAGTCCCATTTTAACATTCTGTTACATAAACCAGTGGCAAAATGGCTTTAACCTGAGGGTAATAATTACCAGGAACAAACAGAAAACAGAAAAAAAGTAAACTGGTTATGATATCTGAGTCCCTTCCCTCCCTCATCCTCACAGGGACCAGCTGGGTGAGATGTCGTACACCACAATGTGCATCAAGGAGACGTGCCGATTGATTCCTGCAGTCCCGTCCATTTCCAGAGATCTCAGCAAGCCACTTACCTTCCCAGATGGATGCACATTGCCTGCAGGTCTTTACATTCTTTTCCTAAGCAGTTCTTAGAGGCTATGGGATCCTGGAGACCACAGTGACAAAGATTAGTGAGTCTCTTAGCACTTGGAGAAGTCAAAAGATAATGCTAACATGTGACTTAGGTTTTATCACCTATGAGGAGCTCAGAGGATAATGCTTTGGTCAGACATGAATTTCAATGACTTTCCCAAAGGCACATAGCCAGTTGCAGCAAAGCTAAGCCCAGAATCCATGTCTCTGGAATCCCAGCCCAGGGTCTCTTCCATTGTGGGACATCATTTCTAAGATAATCTTTGTTTGGCTGAGTTTGAGACCGAGCTGAAACTTCATGGAAAATAGCACCAGCATCTTTATCTGAAAGACCAAGGGGGATCTTTGGCCTCATCATCATAATATCACCCTTATAAATATACAACATTTAATAGTTAATATAGAGCCTTCAGACCCATTATCTCATTTTTCCCCTTGGAATCCAATGTTAACAGACGCTTATACAATGATTTACAGTTCACTGAACACTTTTAAGTACTTTCAATGTGGCCCAAAATCCAGAGGCAGCCCCAATGTGTAGATGACATTAACTGATGTGAGCAGAGCTAGAACTTGTGCGGAGACCCTGAGTCTGGAGCCTAGAGTTCTTCGGAACAACACAGGTTTCTGAGCAGGGCTTATAGGAAGCAGAGGGGTCATGTGAGACATATTATCTGATTCAATGTTCTATTAATTCATGTCTTAGGAAGCAAGCCAACAGGATTGCTTCTGGCAAACACCTACAGCCTGTTACTGTAACTTTGCTGACAGACCCAGAATTAATTTCTGGAAGCTAGAATTATTTCTGGAAACCAAATAACCCTCACATTCTCTCTCCTTTGTTTTGTACTCTGTTTCTCCCCAAACCACATGGATATTTGCCAAAATTCTCCACTTTCCATATGTGAATAGCACCAATGGAAATTTGTCATGGGATCTGCATGACAGAATCACAGTTCTGTGTGTGTGTGTGTGCGTTTTCCTCTCAAGACAGAGTCTTGCTATGTAGCCCAGGCTGGAGTACAGTGGCGTAATCTCGGCTCACTGCAACCTCTGCCTCCCAGGTTTAAGCAGTTCTCCTGCCTCAGCCTCCCGAGTAGCTGGGATTACAGGTGCACACCACGCCTGGCAAATTTTTGTATTTTTATTAGAGATGGGGTTTCACCATGTTGGCCAGGCTAGTCTCAAGCTCCTGATCTCGAGACCAGCCCTCCTCAGCCTCCCAAAGCGCTGGGACTACAGCCATGAGCCACTGCACCCAGCCAGTTCTGTGCTTTTATACCTAAATTGTCTCCAGGAGTGCTTAATAGTCCATTAATAGGTATTTAGGCCAGGCACAGTGGCTGACGCATATAATCCCAATATTTTGTGACACCAAGGTGGGAAGACTGCTTGAAGTTAGGAGTCTGAGACTAGCCTGGGCAACATAGGGAGACCCTGTCTTTACAAAAAAAAAAAAAGAGAGAGATAGCCAGGCATGGTGTTGCATGCTTGTATTCCTGCCTACTTGGGGGACTGAGGCAGGAGGATCACTTGAGCTCAGAAGTTCAAGGTTACCGTGAGCAATGTTCACGCCACTGCTCTCCAGCCTGATTGACAGGCCAGACCCTGACTCTAAACAAAAACAAAAAACAAATATTTAAGTAATTTCCAAACATAGCAGAAAATATAAGCATGGTTTATCACTTTGATATGACACCAACAGCTACTTAAGATAGAATCATGAATTCAGTAAATTGTTGTGTGGAAAGCTAAGGTGCCAACCCAAGCCGCATCTTCTTAGGTGCTCCTCACTGGTGTCATCAGCTACAGCAGGCAGAGCATTGCCAGGAGCTAGCTCTTCCCTTCAAGAACAAAAGTCTTGTTTAAGAGCACAGTAGCCCACAACTTGCTCTTTCTCCTGCAGTCTCTTTTATTTCCCTCCTTTCTTAGGGATCACCGTGGTTCTTAGTATTTGGGGTCTTCACCACAACCCTGCTGTCTGGAAAAACCCAAAGGTATGATTCTCTCTTGTACATAAATACTTCCAAGAACTAATGCTGTGCAAGTCACTTTTTGGTAGCTAAGCACAGAAGTGGCTATATAATTAAGGGAAATGACACAAATTAAACAAAAATAAACATAAAAGCCAAAAGAAATGTAAAACTATTCTATGTTCTTGAAACACTCTTGACGTGTATCAGTGATTTCTTTCATGTAAGCCACTAAGGTTTAAGATCTATTACTTGTAACAGGAAGCTGGAGTATATGTCTCTGTAATAATTGGCCACATCATCATTTTGACTTGATTTCTAAGTGGATGCACATCCATTTCTAAGTGGATGTATCTCCATAGTGAAAATAATACCACTTGCCATAGTATTTTTGTTTGCCTGGGTATCAGACAAATCAGCTGTGAAGCTGCAAGGTCTGCAGGTCTGAAGGTACACTGCCCAGTGTAGTAGCCACGGGCCACATACGGCTACTGAGCACATGACATGTGGCCAGTTGGAATTGAGTTGTGCTGTAAGTTTAAAATACGTGCTGGATTTTGAAGACATAGTACCCTAAAAAAATGTGAAACATTTCCTTTTAGTAATTATTTATATTGATTACAGGTTGGAATGGTAATTTTTGGTTAAATAAACTCTATTAAGATTAACTTCACCTTTTAAAAATGTGACCACCAGAACATTTTAAATTACACATGTAGATCACATTATATTTCTATTGATCGGTGCTAGGTGGTAGGTGAAGAAATGTGTTCATGTTGTTTGGGGGATGGTGTTGGGGTTGTCCTCTCATTTCAGGTCTTTGACCCCTTGAGGTTCTCTCAGGAGAATTCTGATCAGAGACACCCCTATGCCTACTTACCATTCTCAGCTGGATCAAGGTGAGAACAATTTGAAGTTGCTGAAAGTACCCAAAGATGTTTACTTGAGAGTAGTTTATTCCTTTCAGCTCCTCAGCTCTATACATTCTTCCAGGGAACCGTAGATCTTGGTGCCTATTTGAGCCCCAAAGGATCAGTTAGTTTTACAAAGGACAATCGTATTCTCTGTCACATCCTTTTTGGCCATGCCTCAAAAGCAGTCCCACAATGTAAGCTACTGCTCATAGGCTCAATGCAGTCCACCTTCAAAGCAAGAGAAATAATTTCATGAGTAACTCCAACTGCCGCCTTGTTATAGGGAAGGCATCATGTTGGAGCCTCCCAGCTCAAATTCTCACAGTGAACAATTTAAGTCTAAAGTTCAAAAGTTTCAATGGCATTTGGTGGAAAAATATCACTTTACTGTGTACTTCAGACTTATTGTACTAGTATTTTACTATAGTCAGAAGAAACATCATTTTTTCAAGTATCACTTTCTTTCCCTCTTGTCTTCAGGAACTGCATTGGGCAGGAGTTTGCCATGATTGAGTTAAAGGTAACCATTGCCTTGATTCTGCTCCACTTCAGAGTGACTCCAGACCCCACCAGGCCTCTTACTTTCCCCAACCATTTTATCCTCAAGCCCAAGAATGGGATGTATTTGCACCTGAAGAAACTCTCTGAATGTTAGATCTCAGGGTACAATGATTAAACGTACTTTGTTTTTCGAAGTTAAATTTACAGCTAATGATCCAAGCAGATAGAAAGGGATCAATGTATGGTGGGAGGATTGGAGGTTGGTGGGATAGGGGTCTCTGTGAAGAGATCCAAAATCATTTCTAGGTACACAGTGTGTCAGCTAGATCTGTTTCTATATAACTTTGGGAGATTTTCAGATCTTTTCTGTTAAACTTTCACTACTATTAATGCTGTATACACCAATAGACTTTCATATATTTTCTGTTGTTTTTAAAATAGTTTTCAGAATTATGCAAGTAATAAGTGCATGTATGCTCACTGTCAAAAATTCCCAACACTAGAAAATCATGTAGAATAAAAATTTTAAATCTCACTTCACTTAGCCGACATTCCATGCCCTGACCAATCCTACTGCTTTTCCTAAAAACAGAATAATTTGGTGTGCATTCTTTCAGACTTTTTCCTATACATTTTATATGTAGAAATGTAGCAATGTATTTGTATAGATGTGATCATTCCTATATTGTTATTGATTTTTTTCACTTAATAAAAATTCACCTTATTCCTTATCATTGCTTTATGGTATTCTGTAATATGAATGTACTATAATTTATTTAACTATTTTCCTTATTGGGCATTTAAGTTATTTCTAGTTTTAAAAACATGCTTGTCAATGGCAACAAAAGCCAAAATTGACAAATGGGATCTAATTAAACTAAAGAGCTTCTGCACAGCAAAACAAACTACCATCACACTGAATGGGCAGCCTACAGAATGGGAGAAAATTTTTGCAACCTACTCATCTGACAAAGGCCTAATATCCAGAATCTACAATGAACTCAAACAAATGTACAAGAAAAAAACAACCCCATCAAAAAGTGGGTGAAGGATATGAACAGACACTTCTCAAAAGAAGACATTTACGCAGCCAAAAGACACATGAAAAAATGCCTATCGTCACTGGCCATCAGAGAAATGCAAATCAAAACCACAATGAGATACCATCTCACACCAGTTAGAATGGCAATCATTAAAAAGTCAGGAAACAACAGGTGCTGGAGAGGATGTGGAGAAATAGGAAGACTTTTACACTGTTGGTGGCAGGAGAATCACTTGAACCCGGGAGGGGGAGGTTGCAGTGAGCCGAGGTGGCGCCACTGCACTCCAGCCTGGGCGACAGAGCGAGACTCCATCTCAAAAAAAAAAAAAAGGACACCAAACTTCTCAATCTTAATGTTGTCATCTATGTGGTATCTTCCATAATCTCTCTCAGACAGAGTCATCTTTTGCTGATATGATCTTACAGTATTTTTTGTTTATACCATTATAATCTCATTAATTGCAGCAACACAAATGACAAAAGACAACTGATTTCTCCCCTTGGATGACCTAATTTGCTTTCACTCTTCCATCATCACTTATAACATGATGATTCTCAAATTCATCTACCTAAAATCTATATATAAAAAAATCCCTCCCTTGAATTCCAGATCCTTGGAGACAAACACCCACGTCTAAAACCAAATTTGTTTAACACTGGACCAGTCGTCCTGTGTGACTTTCCATTTTGTCACTATTTTGTCAGCTGGTATACCAATATCCACCCAGTTAAACAATATTTCCTTGTTTTTTTCTGGTACAAACCCAAATAAATTACAAACATCAATAAAAGTAAAATTCTAAAATAACTCACTTTCTCTATATATCTCCTTCTTGCTGGAAAAATGGGTTAGGTTAGTTCTTTAAAAGCATGCATGATAAATTGTACTGAATACAATATTCAGGTCTGGACATACTAGGTATAATTTTCTGTGTCTCTGGGGTCTTACCTATTTGGGGTCAAAATAAACAAGTTTATTAAGCTTATTAATATTCAATTTCATTATCTTCTTTAACAATTATGTTCCCTGGTAGTTTCATTGCCAATAATTTATTTGTCAGGTTGCCAGGTGCTTCTAAACTTCTGTGTATTTTTTCATATCCAATTTTACTTTAAATATTTTTAGAAAAGAGGTCTGTTAAATTTCCTAATAATTATTATATTATTGTTTTTTCACTGACATTTTGTGAATTGAAAACCCTTAAAAATATGAAATCATTTTTTCGAAATATGTGCCACAGACAATTTTGTTAAATAAGAAGACAGAAACAGGGCATTATCAAGAGATAAATATTCAATATACCTTATATTTCTGTCACACATTTTTATACCAACTGTGCCAAAAATTGTATATCATATAAATGATAACAAGTTCACAAAGGCATTCCTTTATCCCTTAACTCTCAAATTAGAAACTTTCATAGGTAGGAAGTAGGGGAAGCATATATTCCCTTTGAAAGGTGCAAGAAAATGTCATTGGCATTCACCATGGTACTCTTCAAGCTTAAAAAAAATGGACTGCAAAACATTTACAAACATAGCATATTTATTGGGTACCTTTATGTTTACATAAATATTGAAGATATCTCACATACCTCTTTCAATCAGATTATCTCACTGACATTTATTGACCACTTTCTATGGGGAAAACAAATTGTGTTTGCCCTAGAAATCTTCTTTGGAACTCAGTTCTTGAATAAAAATGTTCTCCTAAATAAATAAACAAACAAATAAATAAATAAAAAATAAAATAAAAAAATGCCTGTTGGCCATTTATGTTTATCTTTGTTTTGTTTTCTGTGATTTGTCTGTACACTGTTTATGCTTGTTTTTCTATGGAATTCTCTATTTCTTTTTTTTATTTTATTATTACACTTTAAGTTTTAGGGTACATGTGCACAATGTGCAGGTTTGTTACATATGTATACATGTGCCATGTTGGTGTGCTGCACCCATTAACTCATCATTTAGCATTAGGTATATCTCCTAATGCTATCCCTCCCCCATCCCCCACCCCACAACAGTCCCCAGTGTGTGATGTTCCCCTTCCTGTGTCCACGTGTTCTCATTGTTCAATTCCCACCTATGAGTGAGAACATGCGGTGTTTGGTTTTTTGTCCTTGTGATAGTTTGCTGAGAATGATGGTTTCCAGCTTCATCCATGTCCCTACAAAGGACATGAACTCATCCTTTTTTATGGCTGCATAGTATTCCATGGTGTATATGTGCCACATTTTCTTAATCCAGTCTATCATTGTTGGACATTTGGATTGGTTCCAAGTCTTTGCTATTGTGAATAGTGCCATAATAAACATACGTGTGCATGTGTCTTTATAGCAGCATGATTTATAATCCTTTGGGTATATACCCAGTAATGGGATGGCTGTGTCAAATGGTATTTCTAGTTCTAGATCCCTGAGGAATCGCCACACTGACTTCCACAATGGTTGAACTAGTTTACCCTCCCACCAACAGTGTAAAAGTGTTCTTATTTCTCCACATCCTCTCCAGCACCTGTTGTTTCCTGACTTTTTAATGATCGCCATTCTAACTGGTATGAGATAGTATCTCATTGTGGTTTTGATTTGCATTTCTCTGATGGCCAGTGATGATGAGCATTTTTTCATGTGTCTTTTGGCTGCATAAATGTCCTCTTTTGAGAAGTCTCTGCTCATATCCTTCGCCCACTTTTTGATGGGGTTGTTTGTTTTTTTCTTGTAAATTTGTTTGAGTTCATTGTAGATTCTGGATATTAGGCCTTTGTCAGATGAGTAGGTTGCAAAAATTTTCTCCCATTCTGTAGGTTGCCCATTCAGTGTGATGGTAGTTTGTTTTGCTGTGCAGAAGCTCTTTCGTTTAATTAGATCCCATTTGTCAATTTTGGCTTTTGTTGCCATTGCTTTTGGTTTTTTAGACATGAAGTCCTTGCCCATGCTTATGTCCTGAATGGCATTGCCTAGGTTTTCTTCTAGGGTTTTTATGGTTTTAGGTCTAACATGTAAGTCTTTAATCCATCTTGAATTAATTTTTGTATAAGGTGTAAGGAAGGGATCCAGTTTCAGCTTTCTACATATGGCTAGCCAGTTTTCCCAGCACCGTTTATTAAATAGGGAATTGTTTCCCCATTTCTTGTTTTTGTCAGGTTTGTCAAAGATCAGATAGTTGTAGATATGCAGCATTATTTCTGAGGGCTCTGTTCTGTTCCATTGATCTATATCTCTGTTTTGGTACCAGTACCATGCTGTTTTGGTTACTGTAGCCTTGTAGTATAGTCTGAAGTCAGGTAGCATGATGCCTCCAGCTTTGTTCTTTTGGCTTAGGATTGACTTGGCAATGAGGGCTCTTTTTTGGTTCCATATGAACTTTAAAGTAGTTTTTTCCAATTCTGTGAAGAAAGTCATTGGTAGCTTGATGGGGATGGCATTGAATCTATAAATTACCTTGGGCAGTATGGCCATTTTCATGATATTGATTCTTCCTACCCATGAGCATGGAATGTTCTTCCATTTGTTTGTATCCTCTTTTATTTCATTGAGCAGCGGTTTGTAGTTCTCCTTGAAGAGGTCCTTCACATCCCTTGTAAGTTGGATTCCTAGGTATTTTATTCTCTTTGAAGCAATTGTGAATGGGAATTCACTCATGATTTGGCTCTCTGTTTGTCTGTTATTGGTGTATAAGAATGCTTGTGATTTTTGCACATTGATTTTGTATCCTGAGACTTTGCTGAAGTTGTTTATCAGCTTAAGGAGATTTTGGGCTGAGACGATGGGGTTTTCTCAATATACAGTCATGTCATCTGCAAACAGGGACAATTTGACTTCCTCTTTTCCTAATTGAATGCCCTTTATTTCCTTCTCCTGCCGGATTGCCCTGGCCAGAACTTCCAACACTATGTTGAATAGGAGTGGTGAGAGAGGGCATCCCTGTCTTGTGCCAGTTTTCAAAGGGAATGCTTCCAGTTTTTGTCCATTCTGTAGGATATTGGCTGTGGGTTTGTCATAGATAGCTCTTACTATTTTGAGATACATCCCATCAATACCTAATTTATTTAGAGTTTTTAGCATGAAGGTTGTTGAATTTTGTCAAAGGCCTTTTCTGCATCTGTTGACATAATCATGTGGTTTTTGTCTTTGGTTCTGTTTATATGCTGGATTATGTTTATTGATTTTCATATGTTGAACCAGCCTTTCATCCCAGTGATGAAGCCCACTTGATCATGGTGGATAAGCTTTTTGATATGTTGCTGGATTCGGCTTGCCAGTATTTTATTGAGAATTTTTGCATTGATGATCATTAAGGATATTGGTTTAAAATTCTCTTTTTTTGTTGTGTCTCTGCCAGGCTTTGATATCAGGATGATGCTGGCCTCATAAAATGAGTTAGGGAGGATTCCCTCTTTTTCTGTCGATTGGAATGATTTCAGAAGGAATGGTACCAGCTCCTCCTTATACCTCTGCTAGAATTCGGCTGTGAATCCATCTGGTCCTGGACTTTTTTTGGTTGGTAAGCTATTAATTATTGCCTCAATTTCAGAGCCTGTTACTGGTCTATTCAGAGATTCAACTTCTTCCTGGTTTAGTCTTGGGAGGGTGTATGTGTCGAGGAATTTATCCATTTCTTCTAGATTTTCTAGTTTATTTGTGTAGAGGTGTTTATAGTATTTTCTGATGGTAGTTTCTATTTCTGTGGGATCGGTGGTGATATCCCCTTTATCATTTTTTATTGCGTCTATTTGATTCTTCTCTCTTTTCTTCTTTATTAGTCTTGCTAGCGGTCTATCAATTTTGTTGATCTTTTCAGAAAGCCAGCTCCTGGATTCATTGATTTTTTGAAGGGTTTTTTATGTCTCTATTTCCTTCAGTTCTGCTCTGATCTTAGTTGTTTCTTGCCTTCTGCTAGCTTTTGAATGTGTTTGCTCTTGCTTCTCTAGTTCTTTTAATTGTGATGTTAGGGTGTCAATTTTATATCTTTCCTGCTTTCTCTTGTGGGCATTTATTGCTATAAATTTCCCTCTACACACTGCTTTGAATGTGTCCCATACATTCTGGTATGTTGTGTCTTTGTTCTCGTTGGTTTCAAAAAACATCTTTATTTCTGCCTTCATTTCTTTATGTACCCAGTAGTCATTCAGGAGCAGATTGTTCAGTTTCCATGTAGTTGAGTGGTTTTGAGTGAGTTTCTTGATCCTGAGTTCTAGTTTGATTGCAGTGTGGTCTGAGAGACAGTTTGTTATAATTTCTGTTCTTTTACATTTGCTGAGGAGTGCTTTACTTCCAACTATGTGGTCAATTTTGGAACAGGTGTGGTGTGGTGCTGAAAAGAATGTATATTCTGTTGATTTGGGGTGGAGAGTTCTGTAGATGTCTATTAGGTCCGCTTGGTGCAGAGCTGAGTTCAATTCCTGGATATCCTTGTTAACTTTCTGTCTCATTGATCTGTCTAATGTTGACAGTGGGGTGTTAAATTCTCCCATTATTATTGTGTGGGAGTCTAAGTCTCTTCGTAGGTCACTAAGGACTTGCTTTATGAATCTGGGTGCTCCTGTATTGGGTGCATGTATATTTCAGATAGTTAGCTCTTCTTGTTGAATTGATCCCTTTACCATTATGTAATGGCCTTCTTTGTCTCTTTTGATTTTTGTTGGTTTAAAGTCTGTTTTATCAGAGACTAGGATTGCAACTCCTGCCTTTTTTTTGTTTTCCATTTGCTTGGTAGATCTTCCTCCATCCCTTTATTTTGAGCCTATGTGTGTCTCTGCACATGAGATGGGACTCCTGAATACAGCACACTGATGTCTTGACTCTTTATCCAATTTGCCAGTCTGTGTCTTTTAATTGGAGCATTTAGCCCATTTACATTTAAGGTTAATATTGTTATGTGTGAATTTGATCCTGTCATTATGATGTTAGCTGATTATTTTGCTCATTAGTTGATGCAGTTTCTTCCTAGCTTCGATGGTCTTTACAATTTGGCATGTTTTTGCAGTAGCTGGTGCCAGTTGTTCCTTTCCATGTTTAGTGCTTCCTTCAGGAGCTCTTTTAGGGCAGGTCTGGTGGTGACAAAATTTCTCAGCATTTGCTTGTCTGTAAAGTATTTTATTTCTCCTTCTCTTATGAAGCTTAATTTGGCTGGATATGAAATTCTGGGTTGAAAATCCTTTTCTTTAAGAATGTTGAATATTGGCCCCCACTCTCTTCTGGCTTGTAGAGTTTCTGCCGAGGGATCAGCTGTTAGTCTGATGGGCTTCCCTTTGTTACTTCTTAAGAAAAAAAAATATATATATATATATATATATATATATATATATATATATATGTATATTCTGCTTCAATATTACTCTCTTCTCTTTTGGAGACTTCAACTACATGTATGTCAGATTATTTGATATTGTCCCACAGGATCCTAGGACTTGGTTAATTTTTTTTTTTTTTAGCTTTTTTCATTTTTTTTTTTTAGATTGCATATCTTCCAATTATATGCCTTTAAAGTCACTGAATTTTTCTTTTGCTCATCCAGTGAGTTTCTAAATTTCAGATATTGGACTTTTCATTACTATACTTCTAAGTTTTAGACTTTTCATTTGATTTTTTCTTGTAGTTTCTATTTAACTGCTGAGATTTCCTGTCTATTCACTCATTAAGATTATATTTTCCTTTAAGTCTTTTTAAAAATCATTTGTAAATATTTATAATCACTGAAAATCTTTGTCTGCTTAGCCTTATGCTTGGACCAGCTCCAGATTGGTTTATATTAACAACTTTATTTTTCTTGACTATGGGTCATTTTTTCCTGTTTCTTTGTATGGCTAGTGGGTTTTAATTGAATACTGGACATGGTGAATAATATAAAGACTTTGGATTCTAGTTTTCTGAAGAGTGTTAATTCTTATCTTAGGAGGCAGTTCAACTACTGGTTGATCACCATGAACTTCTGCAACTTTGGTTTTACATTTTGCTTGTGCAAATTCTTTTTTAAAAAAACTATTTATCAAAAAAAACTTTACTTGGTTCTGAATCAAATTAACTTACTGTGTGAGATCACATATCTGTGCCATCAAAAGCTTTTCATCTCCTGAATCAGGGCATCATATTTTCTCTCTATGAAATAAATTAGGTCAAAGCATTTCATTTCCTCTAAATATTTTGGCTTCTACTACAAAGTTGTTTTCACAGTTGAATAAAATTTTGTGAATTTGCAGATAATTATTTTTATTATAATTATAATTTTTCACTTTTAAAATGGTGTCCTTGCTCCAATAAAGACCTTCAGGCTGAGGTAGTTTGCTGGTATGATTCCAGGCTCAGAAACATTTTCTGGTTCCCCTACACTCTGGCTAAGCTGAGTGTTGCACTTAGGACATCCTCGATCACCACCTCACTTTGTGAGTGTTTTTCAATTAGTTCTTAGAATTGTATTTTATAAATTTGAGGTGCTAAGTATCCCCTGCATGGCATGCTTTCCTGCTTTTACTGCTTATTCAGTGCCATCCCAGAGGACCTACGGGCAATCCTTGACCCTAACACAATCCTCATTCTGTTTCCAGAGCACTGCAATGTGGACTCGCATTTCTTCTCTCTCCTTATCTTTCTCTCTTTCATACACCACACCTGTAAACACATGTATATTCCTGACTACTACCAATATTTTTGCCCTGCACCAGAACCACATAAGTGGTTCCAGTATGTAGTGCTCTTTCTTGTCCCTACTCTACTCAGACCTATGTAGAGTCCTTTCTATAGTAATAGACTAGCACTCTTTACCTCCACAACCCTGGCAGGGACAGGCAGAGACAGGGGCCTATGAATATTATTTAACTATTTTTTGGTAGCAATATCATTATTTATCTTTCATGACAAGTAGATTCACTGTGGTGTTCTAATTTTTGTAGTTATTTATTTGAATACAGATATACATCTTAATAGTATGTATTTGCCCAACTTATAAAAGCCAGTGAAGGATAAAGGCTAATATAATACAATATAAATTAAATCATGAGAAATATTTACAAATTAATCTAAACTTTAAATAGAACAATTTGCAAGTATACATTTTTGAAACATTGCCTGAGATTCATAAGAACAAAGTAATCAAAGATACTAGCATATTTTGGCCAATAAATTTTATTAACAATTTTATACTTACATAATATTTTTATATGTCCCAATGCCTTCATAATTAATTCTGAGACATTTTTGCCTAAACCCTGAGGTTAACATTTTACATAAAGCAAAATAAGTTGCAGCTATAGAAGGTTACCATACAAATAGCCAGATAATTAAATGAAAAACAAACTTCATTTTGTGTTCTGTGGTTGAATATATAATCAAGGTAAAATGAAACACAAAGTTACTTTCTTTGTATCCTGAAGTCACTTAGAGCCTATCCAAATTTGGAAGATAGTTTTATAAAATCTAAATGGGAGATCAGCCATTCATTTCCAGTTGGACCCATGTGAAAACAATAATTTGCAACAGGCTGGCCAATAATTTCCTGACTCTGCCCATGTAATCTCCTGGAATTTGGCTACGTAAATATCATGTCTGGTTTTGGCATACCTGCTGTACTTCTCAATTTTCATGTCTAAACATCACCTGCTTGCATGTAGGAAAACCCAAAAGGCTTTCTCATACTGTGTATGAGAAGAACCTGATGAAAGAACATTTAATTTCCCTAATTTAGGTAGCAAAGAAGGCTGGGCTGTTTCCTAAGCATCCCCTGGGACGGAGGCTGATGGTCCCCTATGGGGCACTTTGTTTTAAGCAAGCATTTATCTGATCATGCACCTTCAGCCTGACTGTGAGTTTTAGAAAATTCTGCTCCCACCCTTTTCTCCTCTCCCCAAGACTTTTACTTGCTCATTATGTGAAGTCCAGGGCACTCTGCAAACATAAATATGAAATCACTCTTTTCTCCTTGAAAATTTATTTCATGAACCAATATTAAGTATGGCCAAGTTATGCTTGCATCATGTATTGGGAAATATCCTAGTTTTGTCTTGGATTCATTTAATAGATTTATTTATCTGATAAGCAGAAATTCATTTACATTTTTAAATATTTGTTAGACAAATTCACTTCATTTCTATGATCCCTTTCCAATGTTTGCTCAAAACTTCTTGTAAAATACTTTTCATATACTTTTTAAAAAATTAATAGATTATTGAATGTAAATGGGCTAAATGTCCCACTTAAAAGGCAGAGTGGCAAGCTGGATAAAAGAGCAAGACCCAATGGTATGCTGTCTTCAAAACACCCATCTCAAACATAATGAGACTCATAGGTTCAAGATAAAGGGATGGAGGAAAATCTACCGAGCAAATGGACATTAAAATAAAAGCAGGGACTGCAATCCTAATTTCAGACAAAACAGACTTTAAACTAACAAAGATCAAAAAAGATAAAGAAGGGCATTACATCAAGGTAAAGGGTTCTATTTAAGACCTAGCTATCCTAAATATATATTCATCTAATACAGGAGCACCTGGATTCATAAAGCAAGTTCTTAGAGACTACAAAGAGACTTAGACTCACACACAATAATAGTGGCAGACTTCAACCCTCCACTGTCAGTATTAGACAGATTATCAAGGCAGAAAATTCACAAAAATATTCAGAACCTGAACTCAACAGGACTAAATAGATCTGATAGACCTCTACAGGACTCTCTATCCCAAAACAGCAGAATATATATTCTTCTCATTGCCACATGACACATACTTTTAAATCAGCCACATAATAGAACATAAAACAATTCTCAGCAAATGCAAAAGAACCAAAATCATACCAAACACACTGTCAGAGCACAGTGCAATAAAAATAGAAGTCAAGATTAAAGCAATCATTCAAAACCATATAATTACATAGAAATTAAACAACAGGCTCCTGAATGACTTCTGAGTAAACAATGAAGTTAAGGAAGAAATCAAGTTCTTTGAAACTAATAAGAACAAAGGTAGAACATACCAGAATCTCTGGGACAGAACTAACAGTGTTAAGAGGGAAGTTCATAGCATTAAATGCCCACATCAAAAAGGTAAAAAGATCTCAAATTACCAATCTAATACCACAACTGAAAGAATTACGGAAGGAAGAGCAAATCAACTCCAAAGCTAGCAGAAGACAAGAAATAACCAAAATCAGAGCTGAGCTGAAAGAAATCAAAACACAGAAAACTATTCAATGTTTGCTTTCTGAAAAACATAATAAGATATATAGGGCATTAGCCACACTAATAAAGAAGAAAAGAGAGAAGATCCAAATAGACACAATTAGAAATAACAAAGAGGATGCTACCACTGACCCCACAGAAATAAAAATAACCATCAGAAACTACTATGAACACCTCTATGCACACAAACTAGAAAATCTAGAAGAGCAGAATAAATTTCTGGACACATACACCTTCCCTAGACTGAACCAGGAAGAAATCAAATCCCTAAACCGACCGATAATGAGCTTCAAAATTGAATGAGTAATAAATAGTCTACCATCCCAAAGAAGCCCAGAACCAGATTAATTCATAGCCATATTCTACCAGATGTACAAAGAAGAACTGGTAGCATTCCTACTGAAACTATTCCAAATAATTGAGAAGGAGGGACTCTGCTCTAGCTCATTCTATAAGACCAGCATCATCCTGGTACCAAAACCTGGCAGAGACACAACAAAAAAAGAAAACTTCAGACCAATATTCTTGATGAACATTGATGCAAAAATCTTCAACAAAATACTTGCAAACCAATTTCAGCAGCACATCAAAAATCTAATCCATGATGCTCAAGTAGGCTTCATCCCTAGGGTGCAAGGTTTGTTCAACATACACAAATCAATAAATGCGGATCATCACATAAGGAGAACTAAGTATAAAAGTCACTTGATTATCTCAATAGATGCAGAAAAGGATTTTGATAAAATTGGACATCACTTCATGTTAAAAACTCTAAATAAACTATGTATTGAGGAACATTCCTCAAAATAATAAGAGCCATCTATGACAAACCCATATTAGCATCATAATGAATGGGGAAAAGATGGAAGCATTCCCCTTGAAAACCAGCACAAGACAAGGATGCCCTCTGTCACCACTCCTATTCAACATAGTATTGGAAGTCCTGGCCAAAGCAATCAGGCAAGAGGAAGACATAGTTTGAAGATGACAGATAGCAGGCAGAACTAGCTTGCAGCTCCCACTTGGACAGAACAGTGTGTGAAGACTCACATCATGAACTTTTACTCCAAGAACCACTGCAGGAACATACCGGGAAAGCTAAGAGAATCTACAGACCTTTGAAGTAACTGGATTACTGCTGCAGGCTCCCTGAGAAGCCAAAAACTGTGATTCTGCTTCCTTTCTCAATGAGGAGGCTCGTGGTCTGGAGCAAGTTCTCAGCCCTGGTCACTGGCTGCCTGGAAATAGACTCATTGCAGCTGGGGAGGGCACAGTAGGAGTGAGACTGGCCTTTAGGTCTCCAGGCTGTGTGGGAGCAGGGTGAGCCCTCTGACTACCGGCTTTCCCCCACTTCCCTGGTGACCTGTATGACTTATCAGAGACAGCCATAATACCCCTGGGAATATAGCTCCATTGGACTGGGAACTACACCCCCATCCCCCACAACAGCTGCAGCAAGCCCCGCCCAAGGAAAGGCTGAGTTTAAACATGCCTACCCTGACCCCACCTTGTGGTCTTTCTCTACCCACCCTGGTAGCCAAAGACGAAGGTCATAATCACTTGGGAGCACTATGGCCCTGCCCACCACCTGAGAAACCTGAATACATAACCAGGTGTCTCTACAGCAAGTTTGCATCTTTCCTATAGGACCACAGCTGATGCACTCTTGAAAGTTCCATTTCCTGGCTGGAGGCCAACCAACACAAAACCAGTGCACTAACAAAAACAAAACCAAGGACCCTCACAGAGTCCACCTCACCCCTCTGCTACCTCCACTGGAGCAGGCACTGGTATCCATGGCTAAGAGACCTGAAGATGGATCACATCATAGGACTCTTTACAGACACTCCCCAGTAGCAGCCTAGAGCCTCGTAGCTCTGCTGGGTGGCTAGACCCAGAAGAGCAAAAATAATCACTACAGTTTGGCTCTCAGGAAGCCCCACTCCTAGGGGAAGGGGGAGAACATCACATCAAGGGAGCACCCCTTGGGACAAAATAATCTGAACAGCAGCCCTTGAATCCCAGATCTTCCCTCTGACATAGTCTATCAAAATAAGAAGGAACCAGAAAAAAACAATTCTGGTAATATGACAAAACAAGGTTTTTTCACACCCCCAAGAGATCATATCAGCTTACCAGCAATGGATCCAAACTAAGACAAAATCTCTGAATTGCCAGAAAAAGTATTCAGAAGGTTGATTATTAAGCTAATCAAGGAGGCACCAGAGAAAGGTGAAGTCCAACTTAAAGAAATCAAAAACATGATACAGGATATGAAAGGAAAATTCTTCAGTGAAATAGATTGCACAAATAAAAAACAATCACAACTTCTGGAAACTGAACACACACTTACAGAAATGCAAAATACACTGGAAAGTCTCAGCAATAAAATCAAACAAGCAGAAGCAAGGCCTTAACAGCTCAAAGACAAGTCTTTCAAATTAACCCTACCCATCAAAGACAAAGCAAAATAATTTTTAAAAATAAACAAAGCCTCCAAAAATTTGGGACTACGTTATATGTCCAAAACTAAGAATAATTGGTGTTCCCAAGGAAAAAGAGAAATCTAAAATTTGGAAAACATATTTGAGGGAATAATCAAGAAAAACTTCCCTGGCCTTGCTGGAGATCTAGACATCCCAATAAAAGAAGCTCAAAGAACACCTGGGAAATTCATCACAAAAAGTTCATCACCTAGGCACATAGCCATCAGGTTATCTGAAGTCAAGATGAAGGAAAGAATCTTAAGAACTGTGAGGCAAAAGTGTCAGGTAACCTGTCAAGAAAAACCTATCAGATTAACAGCAGATTTCTCAGCAGAAACCCTACAAGTTAGAAGGGATTTGGGTCCTTTTTTTTTTTTTTTTTTTTGAGATAGAGTCTCACTCTGTTGCCCACACTGGAGTGCAGTGGCGCGATCCCAGCTCACTGCAACCTCTGCCTCCTGGGTTCAAGTGATTCTCCTGCCTCAGCCTCCTGAGTAGCTGGGACTACAGGGCACACCACCACACGCCTGGCTAATTTTTCTATTTTTAGTAGAGATGGGGTTTCACCATGTTGGCCAGGATGGTCTCGATCTCCTGACCTCGTGATCCACCCACCTCAGCTTCCCAAAGTGCTGGGATTACAGACGGAGCCACAGTGCCCAGCCTAGGGTCCTATTTTTAGCCTCCTTAAACAAAACAATGGTCAGCCAAGAATTTTGTATCCAGTGAAACTAACCTTCATCAATGAAGGAAAGATAGTCTTTTCCAGACAAACAAATGCTGAGAGAATTCACTACTACCAAGCCAGCACTAAAAGAACTGCTCAAAGCTCTAAATCTTGAAACAAATTCTCAAAATACACAAAAATAGAACCTCCTTAAAGCATAAATCTCACAGGATCTACATAACAAAAACTCAATTAAAAAAAAACAAGGTTATTCAGGCAACAAATAGCATGATGAGTAGACTAGTACCTCACATATCAATACTAATATTGAGTGTAAATGGCCCAAATGCTCTACTTAAAAGAAACAGAACAGCAGAATGGATAAGAAATTACCAACCAAATTTCTGCTGTCTTCAGGAGACTCACCTAACACATAAGGACTGACATGAACTTAAGGTAAGTGGAAAAAGATATTCTATGCAAATGGACACCAAAAGTGAGCAGGAGTAGCTGTTCTTATACCAGACATAACAACTTTAAAGCAACAGCAGTTTAAAAAGACAAAAAGGGACATTATATAATGATAAAAGGATTAGTCCAACAGAAAAATACTGCAATTCTAAATATATATGCACCTAACACTGAAACGCCCAAATTTATAAAACAATTACTATGCGATAAACAACAACACAATAATAGTGGGGGACTTTAATACTCCATGGACAGCACTAGACCGGTCATCAAGACAGAAAATCAACACAGAAACAATGGACCTAAACTATACCCTACAACAAATGGACTTAACAGATATTAACGAACATTCTACCCAACAATTGCAGAATATACATTCTATTCATCTGTACATAGAACATTCTCCAAGATAAACCATATGATAGGCCACAAAACAAGTCTCAGTAAATTTAAGAAAATCAAAATTATATCAAGTACTCTCTCAAACCACAATGGAAAAAAAATTGGAAGTCAACTCCAAAAGGAACCCTCAAAATCATGAAAATACATGGAAAATAAATAACCTACTCCTGAATAATTTTGGGGTCAACAATGAAATCAAGATGGAAATTTAAAAATTCTTTAAACTGAACAATAATAGTGACACAACCTATCAAAAACCCTAAGATACAGCAAAAGCAGTGCTAGGAGGAAAGTTTATAGCATCAAATGCCTATATCAAAAAGTCTGAAAGAGCAAAAATAGACAATCTAAGGTCACACCTCACAGAACTGGAGAAAGAACAATCAAAACTCAAACCCAGCAGAAGAAAAGAAATAACAAAGATCAGGGCAGAACTAAATGAAATTGAAACAAAAAAAATACAAAAAATAAATGAAATGAAAAACCTGGTTCTTTGAAGAGATAAATAAAATTGATGAACCATTAGTGAGATTAACGAAGTAAACAAGAGAGAAGATCCAAATAAACTCAATTAGAAATGAAACAGGAGCTATTACAAACTGATACCAGAGAAATACAAAAGATTATTCAAGACTTCCATGAATGCCTTTATATGCATAAACTAGAAAACCTAGAGGAGATGGATAAATTCCTGAAAATATACCACCCTCCTAGGTTAAACCAGGAAGATATAGAATCGCCGAACAGACCAATAACAAGCAGTGAGATTGAAATTGTAATTTTTTTTAATACCAACAAAAAAAAAGTCCAGGACCAGATGGATTTACAGTTGAATTCTATCACACATTCAAAGAAGAAGTGGTACCAATTCTATAGACACTATTCCACAAGATAGAGAAAGAGAGCATCCTCCCTAAATCACTCTGTGAAGCCAGTATCATCCTAATACCGAAACCAGGGAATGACATAACAAAAAAAGAAAACTACAGACCAACATCTTTGATGAACATAGATGCAAAAATCCTCAATCAAATACTAGTGAACTGAATCCAACAGCATATCAAAAAGATAATCCACCATAATCAAGTGGGATGCAGGGATGATTTAACATACCCAAGTCAATAAATGTGATACACCACATAAACAGAATTAAAAACAAAACCACATGATCATCTCAATAGCTGCAGAAAAAGCATTTAACAAAATCCAGCATCCCTTTATGATTAAAACTCTCATCAACAAAACTGGCACACCTTAAGGTAATAAAAGCCACATAACAATAAACCCACAGCCAACATTATACTGAAAGGGGAAAAGTAGAAAGCATTCTCCTTGAGAACTGGAACAAGAGAAGGATGCCCACTTTCACCACTTCTATTCAACATAGTACTGGAAGTCCTAGCCAGAGCAATCAGACAAAAGGAAGAAATAAAGGGCATTCAAATTGGTAAAAAGGAGGTCAAACTGTCACTGTTTGCTGATGATATGATCGTATACCTAGAAAAGCCTAAAGACTCATCCAAAAAGCTCCTACAGGATGCAAAATTAATATACACAAATAAGTAGCTCTGCTGTACACCAGCAGCAACCAAGCTGAGAATCAAATCAAGAACTCAACCCCTTTCAAAATAGAAAAAAAAAAAACTTAGGTATATACCTAAGATTTTGGGTGACGATAATGTGTCATTGTAGGTTCATTAAATGTAACAAGTGTTATACTCTGGTGGAGGATTTTGATAATCAGGGAAGCTGGAAGGGAGGGGTGATATATGGGAACTCCCTGAACTTTCTGCTTAATTTTTCTGTGAACTTGAAACTTCTCTAGAAAGATAAATTCTATCAGAAACATAAACAAAAAAGAACAGAGAATGAGAGTGGGGGAGATTTTTTACAAGAATGTATAGAGGTGTGACAAAGGATGACTAGATGGGAACTTTTAGATTCTGGAAGGGGACAGCAGTGCAGCAAAGCTTTCATATGGGTGTGAGCTGTCATGCACATGGCTCCTATCTGAAAATCTTGTTCTTCTAGAATCCAGGTCTGCTGGCCAACATCTCAGCAGTTTTCACCCTGCAGACTTAATTAGGCTTCCTCTTCCTTATGTCCCCTCCCTGAATATGGCATTTTGAAAGCCCAGTGTTGCCCAGGGGGCATCTCCTTTGTGTTTATGAGAGACCTGCATTCTCCCTGGCTCAGTTCTCTCAGGCTCTCCAGAGCTCAGGACCTCTGAGAAGAATGGAGCCCTCCTGGCTTCAGGAACTCATGGCTCACCCCTTCTTGCTGCTGATCCTCCTCTGCATGTCTCTGCTGCTGTTTCAGGTAATCAGGTTGTACCAGAGGAGGAGATGGATGATCAGAGCCCTGCACCTGTTTCCTGCACCCCCTGCCCACTGGTTCTATGGCCACAAGGAGGTAAGAGGAGAAAATTAGTTGGGGAGGTTAAGGGACAGAAAGATGAGGTATTAAAAAAAAACAGCACAGACTGGTGGGGCATTATGTAATATGCAAAATGCTTTCACACCAATCTCATTGTGATTTTTACAAAAATTCTATGATATGGGGAGGAAAGATATTGTTATTCCTGTTTTACAGATAAGAAAACTGAAGCCTAAAATAGAAATGCAACTTTCCTGTGCTACCCACCTCATAAATGACAGAAATGAAACTTGAACCCTGGTCTTCTGATTCAAGGCCAAGGTCTTTACTATTCTCAGGACTCTGGGTGTTCTAGAGAGAAATAGACCAAGCCAATTGTTAACAGGAACTATACCAAGATGCTACAGCTTCTAATGAAGCTGGAAATAGGAAAACATTTAGCAAATTAGAAAGGAAAGTTGAAAGATGAGCAGCAACCAAAAGGAGTAAAAGGCATGTGAGACTTCGCTGCTTTGGAGGCAGATAAAGCATGAGTGGGTATATCCAGAGCAAAGATGAGGTAGGGCATCAGTGGTTACTAACGGTTTACCTTGTGCCAGGAATTTTATGTTTATAATTTCACTTAATTTTCATGGCAGCTTTGTAAAATATATTTGGTCTTCCTATTATACACGTGAGGAAATCATGGCCCTGATGACCTAGATAATGAATAAGTGTCAGATTGGGATTTGAACTTAAATCTCCAAAGTTGACGCTGGAGTGAGAAGACCAATCGCTCAGCAACAGGTCCTGAGCACTTGCCCAGGGCCACGAAGATTCTGTGGAGGTGCTGGAGACACATGGAGAAGAAAACTTGCCTTCAACAGATGTGAACCTGTCTGATGGGGTGGTGTCCACAGATCCTCAACTTAGCACATGGTCCATCCGAGGGAAAGGGGTCCTCCTGGGGTGACAACCTTTACTAACCAGTCATGACTTATCTTATGACAGTTTTACCCAGTAAAGGAGTTTGAGGTGTATCATAAGCTGATGGAAAAATACCCATGTGCTGTTCCCTTGTGGGTTGGACCCTTTACGATGTTCTTCAGTGTCCATGACCCAGACTATGCCAAGATTCTCCTGAAAAGACAAGGTAAAAACCAAGAGGGGCTCACAGTACAGAGCAGCAACAAAGAGGGTCTCAGGGTGTCTGTGGCACTAGGGAAGGACAGGTTGAAGCATTTTTAAGGGAAATCCATCATTTGATATGTTGAAGGGAAGATTCCATGTCCTCCTCAACATCATAGTCAGGACTCTATTGAGGGCTGTTGTAGAGGATTCTCTGATCCATTTTCAAGCAATCTTCTCTCCCTACATGGCAAATTTTTTCTGATGCTTCCATCACATTTACTTACCTCAGACCCCCAGGACTACCACTTACCATCACTGTGAACATACAGTGGGTTGGGCATGCAGTGGTGGTTTGCTTACAATTGGCTTAACGCCAGTGCTGCACAGAGATGAGTGTTCCCCATAGATGCTTTGCCCACTAATGTTGCCTGTCCTCTGGGAATGGCCAGTGCCAGGTTGGAGGCTCTGGCAAGTGGACACCAGTTCTCCATCTGGTCCCTAGTGTGGGAATTCCGTGGAATTGCAGAGCTGCTTCTTGGCCGTGGCAAGATGTGTGTAGGATTCCCCCACTGGGCTTTCCTCAACTGCCTGTTGGCATATAAGGCTGGCCTTCGCCTCACTCTCCCAGCTACCTACATGAGTCATTCAGTTATAAAATGCCTCCATACCACTCTTGGTGCTTCTGCAAAATTTCAAGCAGCCTGTGGCTCTCTCATTTCACAGGGCACTCTGCCAGAATCACCATCTCAGCTTTCTTCCTGGTAATGGTGCAAGAAATGTCTGGCTATCCAGTTTCAAACTTTACTCTGCTCCCCTTTATGCTCTGCTCTCACCTTTGGACCTTTGCCCAAAAGGGATGAAAGAGGAAAGTGATTGTTTCTCCTTTGGAGTTATTTTCTCTTCTTTATCTACAAATTCTCTCTTCAGTGTGTTCACTCCCTTGAGAAGGGAGGCTTAGTTTCTGGCTGTTTTTCTTTTTTTGTGGTTGGTTGTAAGGGCATCTGGGCAGGCCATACAGGGAAAGCCATCCTTCCTGTTCATATTTTCTTCAGTCCCCATTGTCTTCAACTCACAACCTTAGCTCCTTCCCAGAGAAGCCAAGAATTTCTCTCCCTCTCTTGCTTTTTTTCTCTTACTGTTTTGTTTTCTTTTCCTTTGGTTTGTATTCCCTGCTGGTGCCTAAAATTGTCTCCTCCTCAGAGAAAAGGATAATTTTATGCCTTGAAGTGTGATAACTGTACAGTTACATGAGAAAAGAGCAGAATAATATACAGAGTATGGGATGTTAAGTTATTTATCTGCCACACATTAGTACTTCTTTTTGAGTCCCACTGCAGAAGCACGGTGGCCAAAAAAGGAGAGCTGAGAATCCTGCTCTTATTATTTCTGGCCAGACCCACCCAAATCATCTTATCCCCAGCTTTTTATTTTGAAAATTTTCAACCCTACAAGAGAAATTTTGAACACCCATTGTACCCTTCTCTAGTGTCATTAATTGATATCATATTCCCATATGTGCTTTTCTTTTAATTACATTCATTTTATTGTGGTAAAATATACATAAACTAAAAATTTACCATTTTAAATCACTTTTAAGTATACAATTTAATGGCATTAAATACATTTACATTGTTGTGCAACTATCACCGCCATCCATCTTCAGAACTTTTTCATCTTCCCAAACTGGAACTCTGTACACATTAAACTCTAACTCCCCATTTTCCCCTCCCCCCAGCCTCAGGCAACAACCATTCTACTTTCTGTCTTTTTAAATTTCCCTATTCTAGGTACCTCCATAAGTAGAACCATACAATATTGTCCTTTTGTAACTGGCTTATTTCATGTAGCATAATGTCCTCAAGGTTCATCCATGTTGTAGTATATATCAAAACGTCCTTTCTTTTTAAGGCTGAATTTCCATTGTATGTATGTACCACATTTTGTTTATCCATTCCTCTGACAATGGACACTTGGATAACTTCTATCAGTTGGCTTTTGTGAATAATGCTGTCATGAACATGCATGTACAAATATCTGTTTGGGTCCTTTCAATTATTTCAAGTTGATACCAAAAAGTGGAATTACTGAGTCACATGATAATTCTATATATAATTTTTTGAAGAACTGTGATAGCATTTTCCACAGTGGCTGCACCATTTCACATACCCACCAGCAATGCACAAGGGTTCCAATTTCTTCACGTTCTCACCAACATTTGTTATTTTCTGGGGATTTAAAAAATAATAATAATAGCTACAATGGCTCACACCTGTAATCCCAGCACTTTGGGAGGCCAAGGCAGGCAGATCACTTGAGCCCTGGAGTTTAAGACCTGAGCAACATGAAAAAATCCCATCTCTATTTAAAAAAAAATAGACCAGATGCAGTGGCTCAAGCCTATAATCCTAGTACTTTGGGAGGCCAAGTCAGGCAGATTACTTGAGGTCAGGAATTCAAGACCAGCCTGGCCAACATGGTGAAACCCCGTCTCTACTAAAAAAAATACAAAAATTAGCCAGGCGTGGTGACACATGCCTGTAGTCCCAACTACTTGGGAGGCTGAGGGAGGAGAATTGCTTGAACCTGAGAGGCAGAGGTTGCAATGAGCTGAGATAGTACCACTGCACTCCAGCCTGGGTGACAGAGCAAGACTTCGTCTCAAGAAAAAAAAATAATAAAAAATATGTTGTATTATTTAAACTAATACTAATAATAGCTATCCTAATGGATGTGAAATGGTATCTTATGGTGGTTTTTATTTGCATTTCTCTAATGATTAATTATGTTGAACATCTTTTCATATGCTTACTGGCCACTTATATATCAACTTCGGGGAAATGTCTATTCAAGTTTGCTGCACCTTTTTCAATTGGTTCTTTGGTTTCTTTTGTTGTTGAGTTGCAGTAGTTCTTTATATCTTCTGGATATTAATCCTTATCAGATATATGATTTGTAAATATCTTCTCCCATTCTGTTGGTGTCTTTTTTACTCTGTTGATAGTGTTCTTTGGTGAGCAAAAGTTTTTTATTTTATCAAGTCCAGTTTATCTATTTTTTCTTTCACTGCCTGTGCTTTTGGCATCATATCCAAAAAATTATTGCCAACTCCTATGTCATGAAGTTTTCCTTATGTTTTCTTCTAAGAGTTTTAAGTTGTAGCTCTCACATTCAGTTCTTTGATTCATTTAGTGTTAATTTTTTATATGGTATAAAGTCTGCATTTGCTCATAGATGGATGGATGATAGATAGATAGATAGATAGATAGCCAGAGCCAAACAACTTTTTATGCATAAGTTTTATCTGAGTTAATAGAGGTTAAAAAAATAGGGATTTTCTATTTCTTCTCCATTTTTCAGCTTTCCCTATCTATAATGAGGAACTTTCCTCCTCTCCCCACCCCCATCTGCCTTTCTCTCACTGTCTCACTTTCTGTCCCTCTGTTTCTCTTTCTGCATACCAGTAAGGATTCATGGATTGTTAAGAAATCAGTGTATTGAATTTCATTATCATCATCTTTTTTGATGGCCAAATTGTCCCAGATATGGAGAAGGAGACAAAGCAAGAGAAGAGGCTGGTAGACATGGGCCCAGTCATTCAGAACTTTGTAGGCTGAGTAATGGTGAGCATCAAAGGAGAGAAGTACTGTGAATATCTGTGTGTTTTGAAACATCACTCAGACAGCTGTATGATGAATGGCTGGAGGGAATCAAGGCTGGAGACCAGGAATCCACCTTATCCTGCTGCACTGTCCAAAGGACAGATGATGGAGGCCTGGACAAAGGTAGAGGGGTGGAGGTGGAAATAATTGTATGAATTCAAGAGATACTAATGAATGTACCAATATTTTTGACATGGGGGTATCAAGCTGTCAAGCAGTCCCTAAGCTACTTAGCTGGTTCACTGCACATTCATAAATTCAGTCAGCAAAAAGCCAGTGGGCCTGAATGGATTTAGACTGTTTATTACTCATGGCATAATAGGTATCATGAGCTTCACATTAACATCGGCCCCACTATCTCCCTAAGTCCTATAGGGGCAATGGAGAGGAACTCAGGTTAGTACTGTGCACACCAGGGTCTGTGTTACATTTGAGGAATTCAGACACTACAAGATCCTGACCATATATAGGGGCTATTGCCAAAAATGCTCTTCCTCACCCCTAGAAATAGGCATTGTCTTTTATGTGTGTGTGGCAAAATACACATAAGGTTTGCCATTTAACCGTTTTAAAGATCCAATTCAGGGACACTAAGTATATTCACAGTGCTATCCACCTATCATCTCTGTCTAGTTCCAGAATTTTTCATCAGTCCAGACAGAAACCTCATACCAATTTTAAGCAGTTATTCCCCATTCCTCCCTTGCCCCAGTCACTGGCAACTACTAATCTGCATTTTTGTCTCTATGAATTTACTTATTCTGGATTTTTCATATAAATGGAATCACACAATATGTGACCCTTTGCATTTTGCTTTTTTCACTTAGCATAATGTTTTCAAGATTCATACATTTTGTAGCATTGTTTCTTTTCATGAATTATATTCTACTGTATGAATATACCACATTTTGTTTATGCATTCATCTGTTAATAGACCTTTGAATTGTTTCAACTTTTGGCCATTATGCATAATGCTGATTTCATAAAAATGAAAAGCTTTTGTGTGTCAAGGGCCACTAAAAGCAACCTGTGCCTCCTGGGTTCAAGTGATTCTCCTGCCTCAGTCTCCCAGGTAGCTGGGACTACAGGCGTGCACTACCAAACCTGACTAATTTTGTATTTTTAGTAGAGATGGGGTTTCACCATGTTGGCCAGGCTGGTCTCAAACTACTGACAAGTAATCCACCCGCCTCAGCCTCCCAAAGTGCTGAGATTACAGGCATGAGCCAACGCACCAGGCCAAGACCAATTTTATTTTAATTTGCATTTCCCTAATGACTGAATATCATCTTATTGTTTGCCCATTGATGCTGAATATCATCTTATTTGTTTGCTGGCCCATTGTTTATCTTTGGAGATGTCTATTCAAGTCCTTTGCCCGTGATTAATTGGGCTGTCTTTTTATTGTTCAGTTGTAATAGTTTTTAAATATATATAGTACACAAGTTTTTTTATCAGATATATGATTTGCAAACATTTTCTATTATTTTGTGGTTTGTCTTTTAACCCTTTTAGTGGCCCTTGATACACAAAAGCTTTTCATTTTTATGAAATCTAACTTATTTATTTTTCCTTTTGTGGCCTGTGCTTTTACTATCATTTTTAAGAAACCATTGCCCAGTCCAAATTCATGAAGACCCTCCCCTATTTTTTCTTCTAAGAGTTTTATAGTTTTGACTCTTATACATAGGTCTTTAGTCCTTTTTTTGGGTGAAAGAAGCCTAAAGTAGGGGCATTTGTTTATTTATTTATTTATCTTTTATTTTAGATTAAGAGGTACATGTGCAGGCTTCTTACCTGGGTATACTGCATGATACTGTGAAGTTTGGGGTATAAATGATGCCATCACCCAGGTGCTGAGCACAGTACCCAACAATTAGTTTTTCAATCCTTGCCCCCTTTCCTTCCTCCCCCACCCCAGTAGTCCAGAGTGTCTATTGTTGCCATCTTTATGTCCATGAGTACTGAATGTTTAACTCCTACTTAAAAGTGAGATCATGAAGTATCTGGTTTTCTGTTCCTACATTAATTCACTTAGGATAATGTCCTGCACCTGCATCCATGTTGCTGCAATGATGTGATTTCATTGTTTTTTTCCCCCTTTGGTACATTTTTAGTTAATTTTTGTATATAGAGTGAGATAAAGGTACACTTAATTATTGTGCCCACAGGTATTTAGTTTTCCCAGCACCATTTCTTGAAGAGACCATTCTCCCCATTGAATGGTATTTGCATCCTTGTTGAAAATGAATTGACAACAGATGTATGGGTTTATTTTTGGACTCTGATATCTACACTTAATGGCAGTACCACATTGTTTTGGTGACTATAGCTTTGCAGTAAGTTTGAAATCAAGGTGTATGAGTTCTCCAGCTTTGGCAGGCTTATCATACATCAGGTCAAACTTGTGGTCCAGGCAAGCCCAGGCCTCAGCAACTGCTGTGGTGTTGCTCAGCATGCACACAGGTCTCTATACCTTGACCAGGTCTCCACCAGGTACCTCACTGGGGGGCTGGTAATTAATACCAACCTTAAAGCCAATGGGATGCCAATCCACAAACTGGATGGTAGGCTTGATCTTGATGGTGGTGATGGCAGCATTGACATCTTTGGGGACCATGTCCCCATGGTACAACAGGCAGCAAGCCATGTATTTACCATGGCAAGAGTCACATTTCACTATCTGGTTGGCTGGCTAAAAGCAAGCACTGGTGATCTCTGCTACAACAAGCTGTTCGTGATAGGCTTTCTCAGCAGAGATGGTGGGGGAATATGTGGCCAGAGGGAAGTGGATGCAGAGACAGGGCACCATTTTGGTCTAGACTTCTGTCAGATTAACTTTCAGGGCTCCATCAAATCTGAGGGAAGCAATGATGGAGGACACAATCTGGCTAATAAGGCAGTTAAGGCTAGTATAGGTTGGGCATTCAATATTGAGGTTTCTCCACAGATGTCATAGATGGCCTCATTGTCTACCATGAAGGCACAATCAGAGTGCTACAGGGTGGTATGGGAGATGAAGATAGAGCTATACAACTATAGCTGTGGAAATATGGGGGGTTGGGTATGCGGAGAACTCCAACTTGGACTTCTTGCCATAATCAACAGAAAGAACATTCCACCAGCAGAGAAGTGAACCCAGAACAAGTCCCCTCACCAAAGCAGTAAAAAACCAAGAAGTTCTGAAGACCTGTGCACTAGTCAACCAGCTTGCAAATTCAGTCCAAGATGAGGTCAATATAATCCCCTTTCCTATGCAAAAGTGCCCTCAAGTATAGTTATAGGCAGCATCTTCCTTGCTTGTGATGAGCTGCCCAGGGTGGAAGAGCTGGAAGTAGGTGCCAGTGTGAACTTTGTCAATGACCCTGGGTTCAACATCTACAAACACTGACCTAGTCACATGGTTGGCAGCACCTGTCTCACTGAAGAAGGTATTGAAGGAGTTATTTCCTCCCACACTAGTCTTGTCTCTTGGCCTTGCCATCAGGCTAGAGGCCATGTTCCAGGCAGTAGAGATCCTAGCAGGAACTGCCAATCTGGACATCAGCCTAGCCAACATGGAGATGCACTCACCTATGACAGGGACCTGTAAGGTTCTGCAAGGCTGAAGGAGGTGAAGGGACAGCAACAAGGATCTCCCACTAACAGACCACCATGGAGTCCAAGGGAGTAGTCCATAGTGTCCTCTTATAATCCTTTTATTATCTGTAATAATAAGTTGATAGTAACGTTCCCACTTTCACTTCTGATTGTAGTAACTTGATTCTTCTCACTTTTCTTCATAGTTCATCTAATTAAAGTTTTGTCAATTTTGTTAATCTTCTCAAAGAAATAACTTTTTGTTTGTTAATTTTTTTCTATTGTTTTTCCTGCTTTTATTTTATTTACCTCAGCTCTAATCTTTATCATTTCCTTCCTTCAGTAGCTTTGGGTTTCATTTGCCCTTCTTTTTCCAGTTCATTAAAGTGTACAGTTAGGTTATTGATTTAAGGAATTTATTTTTTAATGAAGACATTTAAGCTATAAAAATCTCATTAAGCACTGCTTTTGCTGAATCCCATAACATTGGGTAAGTTGTTTTCATTTTCATTTGCCTCAAAATATTTTCTAATGTCTTTTATGATTTATTCCTTGTCCCTTTGGTTGTTTAAGAATGTCTTGTTGGCCGGGCATGGTGGCTCACGCCTGTAATCCCAGCACTTTGGGAGGCCGAGGCGGGTGGATCATGAGGTCAGGAGATCGAGACCATCCTGGCTAACACAGTGAAACCCCGTCTCTACTAAAAATACAAAAAATTAGCCGGGAGCGGTGGCGGGCTCCTGTAGTCCCAGCTACTTGAGAGGCTGAGGCAGGAGAATGGCGTGAACCCAGGAGGCGGACCTTGCAGTGAGCCGAGATCGCGCCCCTGCACTCCAGCCTGGGCGACAGAGCCAGACGCTGTCTCAAAAAAAAAAAAAAAAAAGAATGTCTTGTTTAATATTCATGTTTTGTGAATTTTCCCGTTTTACTTCTGATATTGATTTCTAGTTTTATTCTATGGAGAGGTATTTTTGTATGATTTCAATCTTTTTAAATTTATTGAGACTTTTTTTGTGACTTACCATATGATCTATGCTAAAGAATGACCCATGTGTACTTGAGAAGAACATGTAATCTGCTGTTGTTAGGTGGAGCTTTTAGAACATGTCTGTTTGGCATAATTATAGTGTTGTTCAAGTTCTCTATTTCCTTATTAATTTTTTGTATCATTGTTCTGTCCATTATTGAAAGGGATGTAGTGAATTCTCCAATTATAATTTTAGAACTGTCTATTTCTCCCTTCAATGCTGTCAGCTTTTGCCTCATATACTGTGGGGTTCTATTGTTAGGTATATATTTATATATTATAACTGTTATATCTTCTTGATGGATTGACCCCTTAACAATATATAATGTCTTTCTTTGTGTCACAATATTTTAAGGTATAGTTAACTGATAATCACCCAGCTCTCTTTTCCTTACTGTTTGCATAGAATACCTTTTCTACCCTTTTACTTTTAACCTCTTTGTTTCTTCAGATCTAAAGTGAGTCTCTTGTAAGCAGCATATTAATGGGTCCCATTTTTTTACTCCATTCTGCCAGTCTCTGCCTTTTAATTGAAGTTTAATCCATTTACATTTAAAATAATTACTGATAAGGAAGGACTTATTTCTAACATTTCACTGTTTGTTTTTTATATGTCTTATTTTTTTTTTTTAGAGACAGGGTCTTGCTCTGTCACCTAGGGTAGGGTGCAGTGGTGTCATCATAGCTCACTGCATCCTCTAGCTCCTGGGCCCAAGTAATCCTCCCACTTCAGCCTCCTGAGCAGTTGGAACTACAGGCCTGCACCACTATGCCTGGCTAATTTTTTCTTTTGTATAGACAAGGGTCTCACTATGTTGTCCAGGCTGGTCTCAAACTGCTGGCTTCAAACAGTGCTTCCCCCTCAGTCTCCCAAAATGCTGAGACTACAGGTGTGACCCACTGTGCTCAGCCTGTCATATATATTTTATGTTCCTCACTTCCTCCATTACTGCCTACTTTGGTGTTTAATTGATTTTTGGTTTTTGGTATGGTAACATTTTTATGTTACTCTTCTCATTTCCTTTTCTGTATATTTTCAGTTATTTTCATAGTGATTAACGTGAGATTAAAATTAATATCTTAAAGCTATTGGAAATTTTCAACCATTATTTCTTCAACTTAGTTTTCCCTCTTTGCTCTTCTGGGACTCCAATTATGCATATGTTAGTATGCTTGATGGTGTCTCACAGGTCTCTTAGGACCATTTACTTTTTCATTCTGTTTTCTATTTCTGCCCCTCAGATTCAACAATCTCAATTGACCTATCTCCAACTTTGATAATTTTTTCTCTGCCTGCTCAAATCAACTGTTGAAACCTTATGAACTTTTTATTTCAGTTACTGTATACTCCAGTTCTAGAACTTTATTTGTTTCTGTTTACAACTTATATGTCTTTGTTAATATTCTCTATTTGTTCATACATGAGTATTTTGGTTTTGTTTCATCTTTGGCCATGGTTTATTGTAGGTCTTTGAGCATATTGAAGACAGTTGATTTAAAGTTGTCTAGTAAGTCCAACGTCTATGCTTCCTCAATAACATTTTCTTTTCATTTCTTTTTCCTGTGCATAGGCCATACTTCCTTGTTTCTTTTACATGATTTGTAATTTTTTTGTTTAAAACTGAACATTTTAAATGTTATGTAAGAAAAAAAGGAATAAAAGAAAAAAAGGTAGGAAAGAAAATAAAAATACTCTCCAGGTCTTTCCTGGTTGGTTCTGGGTTGGGGCACACCTCTAATATTTAATTGGGGCATTTACAAGTTTGCCTTAGCTTTCTCTTTCTTCTTGCACTTTGTGTAAGGACTAGTCAAAGTTGAAAGCCTGTGGTCTTATCAGGTCTTTTCCAACCATGCATCCTACCCTGGGTATGTGTAGGTTCCCTGTTATATGTGAGAACTTTTTAAAGCATTGATTCCAAAACAAAATTCTCATTCCCAGCTTTTCCTTCTAGTTTTTGGTGTGTTTATTATTGCCTCAATTGTTCTTTTTTGTCCCAGGAATCAGTGCTAGTTCTTTTGCCTCTCAATGTTTTTGAGGAACACTTCCCTGCCCTGAGAGAATTCTGAGTTAGGTAAAACATAGGAAAGCCCTTGTCCTTCAGAAAACCCACACAGAAGTCAAAACAAACAAAATTCCTTGAGAACAAGGACCATTCTGCTTTCTCTAGGATCCAGGAAACAGAACCCACTGAGAATGCAGGCTGCCATCTTCAAGATTGCCATGGTACTGGAGAGGGATGTGGGGCAAGGCTAAATTGCAATGCCACCAATCTTTTCTATCCTTTTTCAGTGGTCTTTTTTCTGATTAAGTGTGCACCTGGTTGCTGTAAACAATTAACTGTCTTCCAGAAATCTGCTAAAGTTGACTATAACAGTTTTTGCCAGATAATTTTTGTTTTTGCTTTGGGAAGGGATGGCCCTGGACAGTTCCTAATCCACCATTTTTCCTGATGTCACTCTTAGACATTATTTTTTAGGACCCTGGAATGTCTAGAGTAGAAAGGCTCACACTTATTAGCCTTAAATGTAGACATACATACATTCTTTCCAAAATAGTTTTGGAAACATCCTTAACAATTCTATCAATCTCTTTTACCCATTTCTGAAGAAATGCCAGAATTATCTTCCAACAAGTAGATTAGGAGGATGAGAAAGTGGAATTAGTTAAGAAGGGGTCCCAACTTTTGGTAGGGAAAATAGGGAATACACTTGTGCCTTTAAGTGGATAGAGGAAGAGGAGGCTATCTGGTAGTGAAGGGATAGATCAGGTTTGGATTTGCTGGGGTCCTGAGGTGTCTGTGTGGTACACAAAGGGAAATGTCTAGAGGGCAGTGGTTTTATATTGAAGTCTATGGACAGAGGGAGAGAGAGAGAGAGAGAGAGAATACACTAGGGACTGAGAGAGTGAATGCCATAAGATATCTTCTTACCCTTAGAACTCAAGGTATTTTATAGGTTCATTTCACCTGGACTTTTGCAGAAAGTGAATCTCATGTTAACAATCCTCTCTTTTCCTAGATGTTCATATGTTTTCTCCCCCATTTTTATTTCCCTGTCTTTATCCCACATAAAGATGTTGATGGAATGAATAAAGGACATTAATTCTTGTTTTCCCAAAACTGTAAAACCAAGGTTATGTCCCTTATCTTTTCTTCTGATTCATTTATATACATCTTTCTCA
Organism: Homo sapiens; assembly: GCF_000001405.40. NCBI lineage: Eukaryota > Metazoa > Chordata > Mammalia > Primates > Hominidae > Homo > Homo sapiens. The sequence goes on from NC_000001.11 coordinate 47,080,188, forward strand.
AACAAATCCAACAAGGGTAAAATCTACAATTTATCTCAAAGTCATGTTCCTGTGTCTAGCTGTACATGTCTATGTGAAAAGGAACTGGAGCTTTAAAATGTTGTCAGAGTTCCCCAACAAAAACAAATGTATTTTTTCAACTTATGTTGAAAGAAAATTATACTCTGAAAATTATACAAAGGAAATTATGCTCTGTTTTCCACTGCTATTGACCTCGTAGCACCAAGTGCTGTGGAGAAAGAATAAACAAGTTCTCATTCTAATTCTGTGGCTTCCCTGGGACTCTCGGTACTGAAGAACTAGCCTCCAACCACCTTGCACACTAGCTATTTGTGTTACCCACAAGGAATATGGAAACATACAAAAATTTCCTCTCATTTTAACTCGTGATTTTCACTTAATGCCATCTTTTGCCTCCTTTGTTCTGTTTTACAGATCCCAAAAGTGCTGTTAGCCACAAAATCCTTGAATCCTGGGTTGGTATGTGTATTAGTCCATTCTCATTCTGCTATAAAGACATACCTGAGACTGGGTAACTTATAATGAAAAGAGGTTTAACCAACTCATGGTTCTATTGGCTGTACAGGGTTCTGCTTCTTGGGAGGCTGCAGGAAACTTACAGTTGTGGTGGAAGGAAAAGGAAAAGCAGGCACACCTTCACGTGGCCACCAGGAGTAGGGGTGGAGTGTTACACATTTTTAAACAAGCAGATCTAGGGAGAATTCTATCACAAGAACAGTAAGGGGAAAATCCACCCCCATGACTCAGTCACCTTCCACCAGGCCTCTCCTCCAACACTGAGGATTACAATTTGACATAAGATTCAGGTGGAGGCACAGAGCCAAACCATATCAGTATGTGTGTCTGATCCTTTCTCATCTGAGCCTGGTGGAGGTGGAGGTCGGGGGAGAAATTACTTTCCTGATAGACACGAAATGCTCCTGTCTCCCTCACCTTACCACAACCTACACTCGCTTTTGCTTCAGAAACCTGAGCTCAATCTTGCCTTGTCTTTCATAGCTTCTCCTCTTATTCTACCTGTTTGGGACTGGTCCTTTATTTCTGGTGTAACTAGGGGTAGGGGTGGAGGAATAAGAAGGGGCCCGGGGGGTTGTATGCTCTCCTCCTCACACCAACTGATGTCACTATCCCAGGTAGTCCCCACTTGAGGATCATGGAAAGAGAAGGAGAGTCCCTCAGCCTGCTAACATGGACCTTACTGAGAATGGTGCCCTGGAAGAGGTTGCCATTGTGAAAGTTGCTTAAGATCATTCTCTCTCCTTTTCCCTCCACACTTCCCCTCCCTTTTCTGGGCAACCTGCCTGTGCAGCTAAGCAAGTTCACACCAGAAGATTCAGGATCTGGGTAGTAGCCCCAGATCCCTGGATCAAACGTGCATGGGCACCTTCTCTCCCTCTCCTTAGATTTCCCACCATACAGAGAATTTAAAATATTATTCACCACAAATTTCATTATCAGTTTTCCACAATCTAATTGCCCCTGGAAAATCTTGCTCTTGAGGATCCCTTTGAAAGAATCCACTCTCATAAACTAAGTCTTTTATGAACTCAGTGGAGACCTCAAACCCACTTACCAGCAGGAATGATAAAGAAAAGCCCCTTTAGTCCTCCATCATTGATCCTCAGCCTGAAGAGAAGCACAAAAGTGATGGAAAGAAAGCAGCACCTCTGCTTCAGTCTGGAACTTTGTGCCAGTCTAAGGCAGTATTTCTCAAAGTGTGGACCTGAACTAGCTGGGACCCTTGTCATAACTCAAAAGTCCTTGATTCTACTTCAACACCTAGGAATTATTGGCTCTGAAGGATTAAGCCAAGGAATCTGCCTCTAGCAAGCACCTCGGGCAATTCTCACCCACCCTAAATTTGAACTCTTATCAAGAGGCTGATGAATCTGACCATCAAATAGGATAGGATGGACCTTTTTTTGAGTTCATTGTATAAACAAATTTTCTGATTTGGACTTAATTCCCAAAGGATTAGGTCTACTCCTGCTCATTCACTCTTTCAAAGCTCTGTCCACTCTAACTTTTCTCCAGTGTCATAGATAGGGAATTGCTCACTGCGTGCCTAGTCTTTCTTCACTTACCTGGCCTCTGATAGAAACAGTTGCCCCTCTCATTTCATAAGGTCGAGGACTTGTGACCCTGGATGGTTCTAAATGGAAAAAGCACCGCCAGATTGTGAAACCTGGCTTCAACATCAGCATTCTGAAAATATTCATCACCATGATGTCTGAGAGTGTTCGGATGATGCTGGTAAGAGGAGAAGAGAGCATTCGTACCTGGCCTCTGAAGTGAGGTGCTGCCAGCCATATGGTGTGGGAGACTCTGAGTTCCCTCAGAACCATGTTCACAGCAGTTTATATGGGGTTATTTGATGTTTAGACCATGACCATCATCATCAGGGCAAGGACCCTGTCTTGTATACCCAACACTTCTCACAGGGATGGACTCAGGGTAGGTGCTCAATGAGAAGTAGCTGAATGAATGAGTGAGTGAGTCCAGTAGACTCACTACATTTGGAGAACACAAGGCAGAAGAGCAAAGACACCCATAGGAGTAGCCATGCCAACATAGAGAAATGTATCATGTTCAGGAGGTCGAGTCAGGAAACACTTCCTAAGAAAGGTGACACGAGCTGAGTCTTGGAGAATGGGGAGGATTTCTAGAGATGGGGACTCAGAGAAAAGATGGCCTTGTGGTCAAGGAGAAAAGGGAGCTTTAGCTTTGGCTGAGGCAGAAGAGGGTGCAGAGATGTCACAAGACAATCTAAAACCCATAGAGAAGACACAATTGTGTGTCTCCACACCTGTCCTCTTGGAGTTTGGATGGCAAAGACATGCGAGGTGGTTTTGAGCACACCTAAGGTCCGTTTCAGGGGTCCTGAATGAGGTGATTGCGACAACTCAAAGACTAAGTTTCTAAGATCCCAGGCATGGAGTAAAGCAATTCTATACACAGGATCTCAATCCTAGTCACAAAGACTTCTTAATGATACAGGGGCTCAGAGACATGGGTTCCCCTAAACACGTCAGCTTGGATTCATACTGGCCCCATATTTTCCAGTGTGCCATGTTGTTATCCTTTATGACCCTCGTCACCATGCCCACGTCCCACTCCAAAATAAAAATCAAAGCAAAACATATAAATATAGTGACTGCAAATACTTTTTAAGCACTTACTATGCATCAGGCTTATTATATCCTTTTATACTACTACAGTCTTACAATTTTGCTGTATTATCTCCATTTTGCTAGTAAGGATATTGAGATGCAGAGATTAAGCAGTTTGTTCAAGGTCACAAGGCAGGCCAGGTGCAGTGGCTCATGCCTGTAATCCCAGCACTTTGGGAGGCCAAGGTGGGTGGATGGCTTGAGCCCAGGAGTTCAAGACCAGCCTGGCCAACATGGCCAAACCCCATCTCTACTAAAAATACATGATCATAAGGCAGATTAGAGGAAGAGTTGAGTTCAAACTCAAGCTTCCTTGAGTTGGAAGAGCACACCCTGAACTGATGCACCTCTCTTCGAGTCTAAGGCTCCTTCCTGATGATGCCCCCTTCAGCCTGCTCCAACCACTGCCTCTCCTTGCAATGCCCTTACCCACATCCAAACAGACACCACCCCCATTATCACCTACCTATTGCTCTTTCTCTACTCTTCTTGGCTCCATGACAGTTGCAATCTTTCAGAACATCTGATTTTAGTAACGTGTTTGGAAAAAAGCTTTCAAATTGAATTAATTAATTAATTCACATTACAGAGTTAATAACAGCTTAACAGTGTATAAATATTTATATTGAAATGGAGAACTTCGTCTCAATAAACATTTGGCTTTTGACAAAGTGAAATTTTCTGGGATATTGGCAGGTATGTCCAAGGGGGTAAATAACATCTGAATTCTAATATATAGTTGAGGGTTTTCTGTCTTGACTCTTAACTGCAAACTCTTTGAGAATAAGAACTATCTCTAATTCCTCTCTAAATTCTCAATGGATCTGGGAAAAAACTTGTCAAGTACTAAATATTTTTAGGGATCTTTTCCTAGAATCAAAAACCTCTGTTTATTTATGCTCTCTACAGATGTTTTTGAATTCTTATTTATTTTTTATTCCATGTTTTGTCAGCTTAGTTTTTCCATGATAAAAGTCATATAAATTGTACTAATGAAACTTGAAAAAGAGGGAAAAATAGCTATTTCCCCACCCTTACAAAGTCACAAATAGCATCTAAGGCACAGTATCATTTTCAGTACTGACAAGGTGTTTCATTTTATATGGTTGTCATAATAAGGCAAATTCATTTTGTACGCTTTATATTTTCAAACCCAGCAAGCTCTAAAAGGGACATAAAATAACTTAGAAATTGGGAAAGATGGGCATGTGTATGATCATGATATTCATCCCCTGCCCCAGAACAAATGGGAGGAACACATTGCCCAAAACTCACGTCTGGAGCTCTTTCAACATGTCTCCCTGATGACCCTGGACAGCATCATGAAGTGTGCCTTCAGCCACCAGGGCAGCATCCAGTTGGACAGGTCAGTGACAAAAGGAAGGTAATTGTTTGCCAATAACTGTGTCACCCACTAACATGTTGTTCCATCTTCCCTATTCCAGTACCCTGGACTCATACCTGAAAGCAGTGTTCAACCTTAGCAAAATCTCCAACCAGCGCATGAACAATTTTCTACATCACAACGACCTGGTTTTCAAATTCAGCTCTCAAGGCCAAATCTTTTCTAAATTTAACCAAGAACTTCATCAGTTCACAGGTTAGTCCTGGGATTTACATGGCCAGAGTCCACTATGAGACATCTCATTGTCTGAGACATTGACTCTGGTTATGGCTGCTTCTACTATGGACATATGGCATGGTCATCATTCAGAAATGCTAATTTGTACCTCTTAAATGAATGTGCTACATAAATGCTATGTAGAGGGTATTATATTATTGACTATATATAGCTGTATTTTAATGTTTGGTGTTAGAACTAATACAATAAGCAAAACATCTGTCTATTTTGCTTCATTTCTTATGGAGCAGCTTCAGATGTGAAGAAAAGTAAAAGTGAAAGGAAGTACATTTCTGTAGGAAGACAGAGCAGGACATCTGAGCAAGTACTGAACATGAGTGGGTACTGCCTACTATGCACAGTTCATCAAACAACACAGCACACCACTGAGTATTCCTTTTGCATGGGTTTTTGGGGACTTAGGACATAGATAACTTTGAGGGACCATAAATCTACCTATGACAATAGCCATTTACAATTGGAATATATTTCTGATTTATCATTTTATCTTGATAAAATTGGCCTCTTTTTCTCTAATAATGCTTCTAGTCTTAAGATCTACTCTATCTGCTACTAGTATGATAACCTCTGCTTTCCTTTGGTTAGTATTTTGATAGTATATTATTCCATACTCTTTTTTTTCCATTTCTGTGCCCTTATATTTGCGGTTTATGTCTTTTTTTCTTTTTCTTTTCCTTTTTTTTATTATTATACTTTAAGTTCTAGGATACATGTGCACAACGTGCAGGTTTGTTACATATGTATACATGTGCCATATTGATGTGTTGCACCCATTAACTTGTCATTTACCTTAGGTATATCTCCTAATGCTATCCCACCCCCCTCCCCCCACCCCACAACAGGCCCCAGTGTGTGATGTTCCCCTTCCTGTGTCCAAGTGTTCTCATTGTTCAATTCCCACCTATGAGTGAGAACATGCGGTGTCTGGTTTTTTGTCCTTGTGATAGTTTGCTGAGAATGATGGCTTCCAGCTTCATCCATGTCCCTACAAAGGACATGAACTCATCCTTTTTTATGGCTGCATAGTATTCCATGGTGTATATGTGCCACATTTTCTTAATCCAGTCTATCATTGTTGGACATTTGGCTTGGTTCCAAGTCTTTGCTATTGTGAAAAGTGCCACAGTAAACACACGTGTGCATGTGTCTTTATAGCAGCATGATTTATAATCCTTTGGGTATATACCCAGTAATGGGATGGCTGGGTCAAATGGTATTTCTACTTCTAGATCCTTGAGGAATCGCCACACTGTCTTCCACAATGGATGAACTAGTTTACAGTCCCACCAACAGTGTAAAAGTGTTCCTATTTCTCCACATCCTCTCCAGCACCTGTTGTTTCCTGACTTTTTAATGATCGCCTTTCTAACTGGTGTGAGATGGTATCTCATTGTGGTTTTGATTTGCATTTCTCTGATGGCCAGTGATGATGAGCATTTTTTCATGTGTCTGTTGGCTGCACAAATGTCTTCTTTTGAGAAGTGTCTGTTCATATCCTTTGCCCACTTTTTGATGGGGTTGTTTGTTTTTTTCTTGTAAATTTGTTTGAGTTCTTTGTAGATTCTGGATATTAGCCCTTTGTCAGATGAGGAGATTGCAAAAATTTTCTCCCATCTGTAGGCTGTCTGTTCACTCTGATGGTAGTTTCTTTTGCTGTGCAGAAGCTCTTTAGTTTAATAAGATCCCATTTGTCAATTTTGGTTTCTGTTGCCATTGCTTTTGGTGTTTTAGACATGAAGTCCTTGCCCATGCCTATGTCCTGAATGGTATTGCCTAGGTTTTCTTCTAGGGTTTTTATGGTTTTATGTCTAACATTTAAATCTTTAATCCATCTTGAATTAATTTTTGTATAAGGTGTAAGGAAGGGATCCAGTTTCAGCTTTCTACATATGGCTAGCCAGTTTTCCCAGCACCATTTATTAAATAGGGAATCCTTTCCTCATTTCATGTTTTTGTCAGGTTTGTCAAATATCAGATGGGTGTACATGTGTGGTATTATTTCTGAGGGCTCTGTTCTGTTCCATTGGTCTATATCTCTGTTTTGGTACCAGTATCATGCTGTTTTGGTTACTGTAGCCTTGTAGTATAGTTTGAAGTCAGGTAGTGTGATGCTTCCAGGTTTGTTCTTTTGGCTTACAATTGACTTGGCAATGAGGGCTCTTTTTTGGTTCCATATGAACTTTAAAGTAGTTTTTTTCCAATTCTGTGAAGAAAGTCATTGGTAGCTTGATGGGGATGGCATTGAATGTATAAATTACCTTGGGCAGTATGGCCATTTTCACGATATTGATTCTTCCTACCCATGAGCATGGAATGTTCTTCCATTTGTTTGTATCCTCTTTTATTTCATTGAGCAGTAGTTTATAGTTCTCCTTGAAGAGGTCCTTCACATCCCTTGTAAGTTGGATTCCTAGGTATTTTATTCTCTTTGAAGCAATTGTAAATGGGAGTTCACTCATGATTTGCTCTCTGTTTGTCTGTTATTGGTGTATAAGAATGCTTGTGATTTTTGCACATTGATTTTGTATCCTGAGACTTTGCTGAAGTTGCTTATCAGCTTAAGGAGATTTTGGGCTGACACAATGGGGTTTTCTAAATATACAATAACGTCATCTGCAAACAGGGACAATGTGACATCCTCTTTCCCTAATTGAATGCCCTTTATTTCTTTCTCTTGCCTGATTGCCCTGGCCAGAACTTCCAACACTACATTGAATAGGAGTGGTGAGAGAGGGCATCCCTGTCTTGTGCCAGTTTTCAAATGTAATGCTTCCAGGTTTTGCCCATTCAGTATGATATTAGCTGTGGGTTTGTCATAAATAGCTCTTATTATTTTGAGATACATCCCATCAATACCTAATTTATTGAGAGATTTTAGCATGAAGGGCTGTTGAATTTTGTCAAAGGCCTTTTCTGCATCTATTGGGAAAATCATGTGGTTTTTGTCTTTGGTTCTCTTTATATGCTGGATTACGTTGATTGATTTGCGTATGTTGAACCAGCCTTGCATCCCAGGGATGAAGCCCACTTGATCATGGTGGATAAGCTTTTTGATGTGCTGCTGGATTCCGTTTGCCAGTATTTTATTAAGGATTTTTGCATCAATGTTCATCAGGGATATTGGTCTAAAATTCTCTTTTTTTGTTGTGTCTCTGCCAGGCTTTGGTATCAGGATGATGCTGGCCTCATAAAATGAGTTAGGGAGGATTCCCTCTTTTTCTATCGATTGGAATAGTTTCAGAAGGAATGGTACCAGCTCCTCCTTGTCCCTCTGGTAGAATTTGGCTGTGAATCCATCTGGTCCTGTACTTTTTTTGGTTGGTAGGCTATTAATTATTGCCTCAATTTCAGAGCCTGTTATTGGTCTATTCAGAGATTCAACTTCTTCCTGGTTTAGTCTTGGGAGGGTGTATGCGTCCAGTAATTTATCCATTTCTTCTAGATTTACTAGTTTATTTGCTTAGAGGCGTTTATAGTATTCTCTGATAGTAGTTTGTATTTCTGTGGGATTGGTGGTGACATCCCTTTATCATTTTTTTTTCGTCTATTTGATTCTTCAAATGTGTCTATTTGATTCTCCAATTTTTTTTTGTTTTTTGTTTTTGTTTTGTTTTGAGACAGGGTCTCACCTTATCACCCAGGCTGCAGTGTGGTGGCACTATCTCAGCTCACTGCAGATTCAACCTCCTGGGTTCAAGTGATCCTCCTGCCTCAGCCCCCCAAGCAGCTGGGACTACAGGTGTGTGCCACCACACCCGGCTAAATATTGTATTTTTTTTTTACTAGAGGCAGGGTTTCACCATTTTGTGCAGGCTGGTTTCGAACTCCTGAGCTCAAGCAATTTGCCTGCGTCAGCCTCCCAAAGTGCTAGGATTACAGGCGTGAGCCACTGTGCTCAGCCAAGGTTTATTTCTCATATGCAGCATTTATTTAGATTTTGCTTATGTAGTCTGAAAATATTTGTGCTTTGGTTAGAGCATTTAAACCACTTATATTTAATGTAATCACTAGAATATTTGGATTTCAACATGCCGTGTAACTATTTGTTTTCTATTTAACCGATTTTTATCCCTTCTTTTATTAATTGCTGGATCATTTTATATTATTATTTTTTCTGTTTTAGATCATAAGTTTAGTTTTCATGGGTATGCTAGAAATTACAACATGTAGTCTTTATTTATTAGAATCTAACATATGTAATTACATTAAATACTTCCCTGAAAATGCAAGGATCTTACACCATTTGAACCTCTATTTACTACTTCTCATATTTTTAAATATTGTTGTGATGGGTTTTTTTAATAATTTTTTTTTAAGTTCCGAGGTATATGTGCAGGATGTGCAGGATACGGATAATAATTAGGCAAAATATTACAGCAATTAGAATTTTACAACCAGAATTCCACATTGTGGAAGTTATTCTCTAATGACAAGTCAAGGGGGAAATGTATGCTTTTCTTAAGAAAAATGTTACTTTTATGTTAATGTTTCTGGTAATGCACAGCGACACCTAATGGACGCAAACCAATATTGCAATCCATTGGTGTAACAGGTATCAAACTCTGTTATGGCCTATAGTTATCCCCATTAACAGTGATACTCTTAATACTCATATTCTAACCCTATATTTTAAACCTTCTTGTAAAATTTATCTCTTTTCACCTAGAAGCAATCAAACTCCAAACAGTGCTGCAGGCAGAACCACACATGAACAAGCTATTTTTTTGAGAACCCTTAGATCAACCTCAGGAGGAGGCCCAACTGCCTTTCTCCCACACAACGCCCCTTTTCAGCAGGCAGTAGCAAGAAAGAATTGTCGTCCAATGCCCCTTCACAGCAGTTAGGTTTGCTTAGAGAATAAGTTCAGGCTTAGGCCATTTTTATAACTTGCAATATGATTGGGAGAAATATGATATTGGATGCTAAAACAACTTTAGTGTTAATCTCACAATTCCTTTCCTTTAATTATTAATTTTTTCTGACTTTCATAGACCCTCTTACAACATACTTAAAATTTCTGACATGTCCTAAACATTCTTCCTTTAAACAACCAGTCATCTTTTTTAGGACAAGTATTTACCATACAAAATCCTTTCTTTTATAAAATCTTCTTCTTTATAACCTTCTCTTCATAGCTTAAAGTGGATTATATTATGAACCTTCAGTAAAAAGTCCTATTAAACTTAATGATAGTAAAATTTTCATACTTGTTTCTTATCCATAACTATTACTCCTGCCATAAGCAAAACAACCTTGACTAAATCTTTCCTGCAATTATTAATCCTGTTATAAGGATAATAATTAGGCAAGATATTACAGCAATTAGAATTTTATAACCAGAGTTCCACATTGTGGGTGCTACAGTGTATACTTCTTTTGCAAATAGTAGCATGACTATAACAATTCCCACAAGAGTGGCATAGTAAATAATTTCCTTTGAAAAGTTTACATAACATTTCCCTTTGGGGATTTACAAAGTTACAAATGCGATTCTACGAATAATTAAAATCTCCCTGCAAATATGCGTTAAAAAGAGGTTTTAGTATCTGGTGATGATCTTTGAGAGGAAAGGTTAGAAATAGTGAAAAGTATCTGGTGAGGTAGGAGAGGGACTGAGTAAGATAAGTAGCCGTCACTCAGTTACTTATCTTTCATGATTTTCAGCTTAAGATCCTCTGTTTCTTCACATTGATATGGAGACATTCCTCTGAGCTGTCAGGGGTTGCTCCCTCAGCTCTTCAGGCTTTGACTTGAGTGTGATGTATCCAGGAGTTGATTCCTGTAACTTTTACTGCTGAGGGGGTTGAAAGAAGAACAGTGTAGGGCCTTTTCCAGCTTGACTTAGGGAAGGAGAAAGAGCTGAGAGTTTTCACCAATACCAAATTTCCTGGGTTAAATAAAGGTGTTTCTATTTCTTGGGATTGGGTTCTTGTTAGTTGTGTTATCGTCTATTGGAAGTGAGCTAGAGAGTTTACATGCTTAACCAATTTAGAGGTTTCCTGCCTGAAACAATCTCTGAGCACATTGATAAGTTTTTGTCCTTTTCCAAGTGAAAAGCTTGGCAAAGGATTTTAAGGACTTTCCATTGGCTGGAGGCTGGCAAATAGAGTTTGCCATCCTGACTGTAACCATCCTGAGAACTGAAAAGTATGCCCTTGAGAAGTGGCCTATTTTATTTCTGCAGGGGAATACTGGGATTTAATTTCTCTTATGACGCCTTCCTAAATTAGAAGGGGCTTGAAGCATGTTGATGCCCTGAGGCTTCCTTGCCTTTGATTTAGCTGCCTGATCAGCTAACCTATTTTCTTCGGCTATCTTATTTGTTCCCTTTTGATGTCCCCTACAATGCATCCCTCCTATTGCTCATGGAAGAAAAACTGAGGATAATAACCTGCTAATTTTGTGGTGATATTTTATAGGAGGTCCATTGGCGGTTTTCCTTTTAAATGGCAGCATGAGCATGGAGAGCTAAGAGAGCATACTTGGAGTAGGTATAAATGTTAGCTACCTTTCCTTGCTTAATTCAAGTGCTCTTGTAAGAGCTATTAGCTCCGTCAATTAAGTGCTTGTGCCTGGGGAGAGACATTATTTAGAGTGACTACTGCTTATCCTGCCTTATGTACTTCTTGCTTTACTGGCTGTTTGTTAACTAAGAGCTCCCCCTACAGGACAGTGATAATGCCACATCATGTGGAGTGTAAACAGTTAAATTATTTCCTAGGGTTAACCTGGAGGCTTTTTTTTGCTAGTAGAGCTGTTATGACGATGGTTTGGAAACACGTGTAAACAATAAGTTCTAACTGCAACTAAGGTTGAGAAAAATATTGGATCAGAGTTTTTCCTGATATGCCCCTTCCGGTCCTGCTGTGGGAAGAGGGGAGGCCTGGAGTTAAAGGGGAGAAAGGAGACTGGCTCTAATGTTCAGAAGGAGGTCCGCTTTCCTTCCTTTAATTTCCAGAATCACCCAGGGCTCCCGTGCTGTAATAGCAGTTTGAGCCACTGGAGTCGGCATTTGAGTCTCAGGACCCATCAGTCCTGCTGGACCATCTGTGAGAGTGGTCCTGAACCCAGTGACCTCCACCTCTGGGGGCACTTCCATCTCCAGTGATCTGTGCCACAGGCTGGACAGGGTCACGCTGGCTTTGTCTTGCTGCCTGGGCACTCCTTCTTAAAATGCCACACCGATAGAAACTAGCGGATGCAACTTGGGGATCCTGGACTTTGCAAGCCTGCAAAGTTGTTGCTACCGTCTCTCTCCTTCTCCTGAGCTTTTTCTCTTCTTTTGGGCCTCCCCCTGGTCCCTATTATAAAAGACCAAAGTGGCCACATTCAGGAGGTTCTCTAAGGTGCTATCTGGTCCTATAGCTTGCTTCTGTACTTTCCTTCTAATATTGGGGTTCTAGTACAGCCTCTCTCAGCCTTTCTGTAAAGGCTACGGAATTCTTATCTGGCTTCTGGTCTCTTACAGACAGTTTAGAGTAATTGAGAGGGTTGGTCCTGGTTTTCCATAGGCCTTCTAAAATGCATATTAAAAAGTGCTTCCTTTTCCATTTATCTTCTGAGTTATTGGGGTTGCAATTAGGGGTCTTTACCAGAATTGCCTCTCTCCCAATTGGGAATGGTGTTTTTGCTATTTCTTCACTTTCCCTATCTGCTTTCTTCCCTTTTGGTGTATTATAGGAGATATATTGCTCATCTCCAACATTTTCTGTTGCTTGCAGAGCTGCCTGATTTTTAGCTGCTGTGAGGGTCTGGTTTAGGAACAGCATAACATCCCTCCATGGCAGGTGAAATACCTGAGTTAAATTTTGGAAAGCCTCTAAATACCTATCAGGGTCATTAGAAAACTGGCCTAAGTCTCCATTTATTTGCCTAAGGTCCTATAATGAGAAGGGAACTTGAAGGGGCCCCAAATAAGGGGAATCCTCAGATGGTTTCCCTGGAGGTTACTTCTCTAATTTGGGGGAACTATTCTTTTTTGGGCCTGCCTGATATGATTGTTAAAAGAGTTGGGTTGATCTTACGATGTTTGCAAGGGTTTAGTAAAAATGCCATGCACTTGTGCAAAAGAAAATGAGTTGCTTTTCTTTTTGAAGTCCTGAGGTTAAAGAAGTTCCAGTGTTTCAGAGTGCACTCCAGAGGGGTGCAAGCTGAAGATAATCTGTTACCCATCTAGAAAAAGATGTGAGAGTTCTTTTAGTCTCCTTCCTTTCCATATGACCCAGGGTGAAGGACAAGACAGGGGAGCATCCTTCTGGCTGTTTTCTCTCCCTGGTTCTTGGGTCCCAGCACCCTGTTAAATATGCCACCTATGGTCGAAGGCGTGGTCCTCCAAGCTATGGAACCAGATGAACTAAGTGATGCTTTACCCACACAACCTTAGCTTATCCACCTTGTGTCATTCCTCTTTTCACTTCCTAAACCTGTGTAATCTGCCCGGCTCCCCAAAATATGAGAGACTGTGTCATTTTTGGGCAAGCCTCCTTTAATGGAGGCAATGTGCCAAATTGCCTGCTATTATGGCCCATGCTAAAGCATTTACCTTAGAAAAATGGTTCCGGTTAACTTCCAAACTTAGAATCCCCTTACTAAGTACCATTTTAGTAGGAAACAGATTGGATGTCTTAAAAGAACATAGGAACTGAGGGGCTATTTTCATGCTGATGGGACAATATGGAGACTAAAATTTGGCTATGGAAGACATTTTACTCCTAACTGCTAAAGGCAGAACTTTCCTGTTCACAGAAGTAGCTTAGAGCCTAGTTTCCAGTAGAAAAGGCACAAAAAGGAAACGTTGGAAAGCCACAACGTACTGCAGAGAACCAACAATGTGTGTTATGGAGAGAATTTCTGTTTCCACTAGTCATTTATCAGTTCCAGGAGCCTTTTGGCAGAGTCTTCAGGGTTTTCCAGGCATAGAACTTTGTCATCTACAAAGAGAGAAAGTTTGATTTCTTATTTTCCTATTTGGATGCTTTTTATTTCTTTCTCTTGCCTGATTGCTGTGGCTAGCATTCCCAGTACTATGTTAAATAGGAGTGGTGAGAGTAGGCTTCCTTGTCTTGTTCCAGTTCTCAAGGGGAATATTTTCAGTATTCCTCTGCCACTCAATTTGAGCACCAGTCTCTACCATGAGATATGACATCTCATCTTTTTCTTTAAAACCAAAGCCTAGGTTGTACAAATTAAGCTCAGCGATTGGTAACAGTACCCTACATCACAAACAAATTTTACAACCTTTGAATTAAATTTATGTACCAAGCACCTCTAAGCATATATGTCAAACACCTCCAACCTTTACAACAACCCTGTGTGATACATTTAAACATCCTTATTTGAAGGAAGAGAAATTGTGGCTAAAAGGTGGGATGGGACGATTTTTTTAAAAAGACAGCTAGTGGTACTGTCCCTTACCAACTCAGGAACATTGGGTGGGGGGCAGCCAGGGGCTACCGATAAAGCACCAGCTTCTCAGAACTACATTTGGCTTTGATTGACTTTCCAGTAACCTTGATAATAACAAAGATCATAATTTTTCCATCTAGAGAAAGTAATCCAGGACCGGAAGGAGTCTCTTAAGGATAAGCTAAAACAAGATACTACTCAGAAAAGGCGCTGGGATTTTCTGGACATACTTTTGAGTGCCAAAGTAAGTCTTCTAAACTTCTGAACACATTCGACTCAATAATTAAATAATAAAGAAATAGGCCGGGCACAGTGACTAGCACCTGTAATCCAGCATTTTGGGAGGCCAAGGCGGGCAGATCACTTGAGGTCAGGAGTTTGAGACAAGCCTGGCCAACATAGTGAAACCTGGTCTCTACAAAAAACACAAAAATTAGCTGGGCATGGTGGTGCATGCTTGTAGTCCCAGCTACTTGGGAGGCTGAGGTGGGAGAGTCGTTTGAACCCAGGAGGTGGTAGAGCATGACTCTGTCTCAAAAAATAAATAAATAAGTAAAATTAAAATAACAAATAAATAAATTAGAAAAACTTACTTATATGATAACTGATACATATTGAACTTCCCTTGTGAAGATTTTCCTGCTTGTCCTCCCAGGGCTTTCCCTCATGCCTCCAGTGTCACATTTTAATTATCTGGGCACTTGTCTGTCTTTTTCCAAGCCCACAAGCTGCTGAAACCTTCTTCCTCGACATGTGGTCTATAGACCAGCAGCATTGGTAAAACCTGGGAGCTTGTTAGAAATGCAGAATCTTAGGCCCTACCTCAGACCTAGTGGGTTAGAATCTTCATTTCAACATATCCCTCGGTGTTTCATTTGCAATTAAAGTTTGAAAAACCCCATCCTAGAAGACTAGGATCATATTTTATTCCTGTTTCCCTAGTGATTAGCACAGTGCTTGGTGACTGTCTCATGAGGTGTCCACGTGATGTTCATGAGAAAAGTGAAGGACTTGGCAATCAACAGTCACTCAATATATGACAACTATTGTTGCACACCAGGCTAGCAATCCTGTAAGGATAAAATTAGATTATATGTGTAAAGATACTGACATGTGGTGAGAAAAACAATATTTTTATTTTATTTTGTAGTTATTTTATATTTTAATACATATTTATTCATAATTTTTGCTTATGTGCCAAGCATCTTCAACCTTTATTATAACAACCTGTGGGGTATTTATAAATATCTTTATGTAAGGAAGAGAAATTGTGGCTCAAAAAGTGAAGTGAACTGCTCAAGATGACATACCTAAAACTAACAAAGCCAGGATTTAAGACAATTCTGGTTTGGTCCAAATCTCATGCCATTTCCGTTGTACCAAATGGCACCATGTGAACATAATTTTCCATCATCATCTCCAAGTGTTCAATAAATATTTGCTGAATTTAATTGTGCTGAATTATTTGAGGGAACAAAAATAAACAAATACTCTGTGAGGGACCAAAAATAAATAGATACTCTGTGAGGGACCAAAATAAATAAATACTCTGTGAACTCAACTTTCATTGTGTTGGCTACCTTGATCATGTGAAACACGACTCTTCCTAAACCAGGACTACTAAGAACAGGGCACTGCAAAATGAGGTGGATTTGGAAGTGAAATAGAATTCCCAGGAACTAATGACTTGTTAAAAAAAAATTTAATTTTCTGCTGAGCATGGTGGCTCATACCTGTAATCCAGCGACTCAGAAGACAGAGGCAGGAGGATCACTTAAGGCCAGGAGTCTGAGACAAGCCTGGGCAACATAGCAAGACCCCAACTCTATAAAAAATTTAAAAATTATCCAGGTGTGGCAGCACTGCCTGTAGCCCTAGCTACTCTGGAGACTGAGGTGGGAGGATCACTTGAACAGGAATTCAAAGCTAATCATGCCACTGCACTCCAGACTGTGTGACAGAGCAAGATATCGACTCTAAAAATAATAGTAAAAAATAAAATAACATTTGCTGATTAGAAAAATAGTACACACTGTTTTTATTTTGAGTTAATACCTTTTTTCTTTTTGATTTCCAACTCTTAAGTTCAGGGGTACATGTGGAGGATGTGCAGGTTTGTTACATAGGTAAACATGTGCCATAGTGGTTTGCTGCACAGATCATCCCATCATCTAGATATTATGCCCAGCATTCATTTGCTCTTCTTTTTTTTTTTTTTTTTTTAATGGAGCCTCACTCTGTCGCCCAGGCTGGAGTGCAGTGGCGCGATCTTGGCTCACTGCAAACTCCACCTCCCAGGTTCAAACGATTCTCCTGCCTCAGCCTCCCAAGTTGCAGGGACTACGGGCATTGCCACCATGCCTGGCTAATATTTTTGTATTTTTAATAGAGACGGGGTTTCACCATATTGGCCAGGCTGGTCTCAAACTCCTGACCTCAAATGATCTGCCCGCCTCAGCCTCCCAAAATGCTAGGATTACAGGCGTGAGCCACTGTGCCTGGCCTCATTAGCTATTCTTGATGCTCTCCCTCCTCCCAGCCCCCACCCTCCAACAGGCCCCAGGTGTATTGTTCCCGCACCACGTGTCCATGTGTTCTCATCATTCAGCTCCCACTTATAAGTGAGAACATGTGGTATTTGGTTTTCTGTTCCTGTGTTAGTTTTCTGAGGATAATGGCTTCTAGCTCCATCCATGTCCCTGCAAACGACATGATCTCATTCCTTTTTATGTCTGCATAGTATTCCATGGTGTATATGTACCACATTTTCTTTATCCCATCTATTATTGACGGGCATTTAAGTTGATTCCATGTCTTTGCTATTGTGAATAGTGCTGCAGTGAACATACATGTGCATGTATCTTTATAATAGAATGATTTGTATTCCTTTGGGTATATACCCAGTAATGGCATCGTTGGGTCAAATGCTATTGCTTTTGACATCTTTGTCATGAAGTCTTTGCCCATGCCTATGTCCTGAATGGTATTGCCTAGATTTTTGTCTGGGGTTTTTATAGTTTTGGGTTTTACATTTAAGTCTTTAATCCATCTTGAGGTGATTTTTGCACATAATGTAAAGAAGTTTCCATTTTTTCCATATGACTAGCCAGTTCTCCCAGCATGGTTTATTAAATAGGGAATCCTTTTTCCATTGCTTGTTATTGTTGACTTGGCTGAAGATCAGATGATTGTAGGTGTGCAGTTTTATTTCTGGGTTCCCTATTCTGTTCCATTGGTCTCTGTGTCTGTTCTTGTACCAGTACCATGCTTTTTTAGTTACTGTAGTCTTGTGGTATAATTTGGAGAGGCCTCCAGCTTTGGTTTGTTTGTTTGTTTGTTTGTTTGTTTTCTTAGGATTGTCTTGGCTATTCAGGCTCTTTTTCAGTTCCATATGATTTTTTTTTTTTTTTTTGAGACTGACTCTCTGTCACCCAGGCTGGAGTGCAGTGGTGTGCTCCTGGCTCACTGCAACCTCCACCTCCCAGGTTCAAGTGATTCTCATGTCTCAGTCTCCCGAGTAGCTGGGATTACAGATGCCAACCATCATGCCCAGCTAATTTTTGTATTTTCAGTGGAGATGGGGGTTTCACCATGTTGGCCAGGCTGGTCTTGAACCCCTGAACTCAAGTGATCCTCCCAACTCGGCCTTCCAAAGTGCTGGGATTACAAGCGTGAGCCGCTGCACCCAGCCCCATATGAATTTTAAAAGTTTTTTCTAATTCTATGAAGAATCTCAATAGTAGTTTAATGGGAACAGCATTGAATCTATAAATCGCTTTGGGCAATATGGCCATTTTCATGATATTGATTCTTCCTATCCATGAGCATGGAATGCTTTCCCACTTGTTTGTGTCATCCCAGATTTCTCTGAGCAGTGGTTTGTAGTTCTTCTCGAAAAGGTCCTTCACTTCCCCTGTTAGATGTATTCCTACATATTTTATTCTTTTGTGGCAGTTGTGAATGGTAGTTCATTCATGATTTGGCTCTTGGATTACCTGTTGTTGGTGGAAAAATAGTACATATTAATTGTTAAACAAAATTAAATAGACACTAAAGAAAACTAAAACTGCCTGCAATCCCATTTGGTAATACTACTATTTTCCTTCAATATTTTGTCTATTCAACTTGTATATTTTAAAATTACTATTAACTCACATATTCATATGTAATACATTTCTAATACTGCTCTTTTCACCTAATAATAAATCATGAGCTTTCCCTTTATCATTAAGAAGTTATTCAAAGACATAATTTTAGTTACTACATAGTGTCCCATTTTATGGATGGTCCATAATTTATTTTACCTTTCCCTATTTTTGGCCACTTGCGGTCTTTCCTTCTTTTGACTATGGTATTAAACATTCTTGTACATAATAAACATTTTCTTAGAGTTTATTCCCTTAAGTAAAATTAATAAATCATAAAATATGAACGTCCATAGGACTCTCAATTTATTCTGCCCAGTTGAATTCTGTTGAGTCATTTCTTTCTACATTGCCTGGTGTTCTGTTAAGGTTTGAAAAAAGTAAAATAGAAAAATATATGCCAAATTAGTTGTATTAATTTTGAATTTTACAACATTAATCTTTTTGTATTATCATTGCTACAATTGAAAAAGATAACAATCCATAGCCAGCTTTGGATAAAGATCATCACTGTATTTTTTAGAGCGAAAACACCAAAGATTTCTCTGAAGCAGATCTCCAGGCTGAAGTGAAAACGTTCATGTTTGCAGGACATGACACCACATCCAGTGCTATCTCCTGGATCCTTTACTGCTTGGCAAAGTACCCTGAGCATCAGCAGAGATGCCGAGATGAAATCAGGGAACTCCTAGGGGATGGGTCTTCTATTACCTGGTAAGACCTGTATTCCTATTTCATCCTGAATTTTCCCCTTATACATTTGATTATTTCTCTCTTCCGGTATCAGTAAGTTATTGTGCATTGAGATAGTCTGTATGCATTTGGAAAGGTAAGGGTGTAGGCTAGAGTCCTACGTTATTTAAAGATTATCACTAGTTTTTATATAGAAAAACACTGTGTCAATCAGACAGTATTCAGTACACCCTATTTTATTACTTTCCTCACTTCAGGCAATAGTACAACTGCGGAAAGAATAGTCTGCCTACCTTTTTTATGTCACGGAAGGCAGGAATATAACAAACCCCTCTTTCTCCAAGATGTAAATGGACTTCTTAGGACTCCAGCTTTTACCACCTTAGATTGCCCAAGTAAGATGTTCAATCACTTGACATGAAAGAGAATTCACACCCCTCTTCCTTATCACCATCTCTGAACCTTAAACACTGCCACCCCACAATGATGATTAACCTTGAGCTGCTGGGTATTTCATGGTGTTAATAAAACCAAACTGATCATGTTTTAAAAACTTTAAAATGGTGAAACATAGAACACATTCAAAAAGTACAGGGAACAGATGTATAGCTTAAAATGTTGTCTAACAAACAGCCATATAGTTGCAACCCTGGTTTAAAAGAAAAATTGCTCATTACCAGCACTGCTAAAAACCTCGTGCCTGCCTTCCCATCACAAACCCCTTCTATTTCTCCAAGATGTAAATGTTTTCCTGACTTTAATAACATTCATTCTTTGTTTTTGTTTATAGTTTGTTGCCTAAGCTTGCAACTTTAAATACTAGAGTCTAGTTTATCTTCTGTTTGAAGTACATATGAATAAAATCATACATTCTTTTGTTTGGCTTCTTTTGCACAGGATTCACTCATTTTTTAGAGGAGCTTCTTTTCGGTCATTTTCATTCCTCTATGGAATTCCGTTATGTATAAATCATGAATCCTATATCCATTCTAGTGTTGATGAACATTTAGGCTATTCTCAGGTTTTGTTTTGGTTTTGCTATTACAATAGCGCCCTCTTGTCTGTGATTTCACTTTCCATGATTTCACTATCCACAGTCAACAGCAGTCCAAAAATATTAAATGAAAAATGCCATAAACAACAATTTATAAGTTTTAAATTGATGCCATTCTGAGTAGCATGATGAAATCTCCTGCCATCTCCCTCTGTCCCATCCAGGATGTGAAGCATTTCTTTGTCCAGCATATCCACACTGTATATGCTACCTGCCAGTTGGTCACGGTTGGTGTTGGTTATCAAATCAGTTGTCATGGTATCACAGTGCTTGTGTTCAAGTAACTCTTATTTTACTTAATAACGGCCTCAAAGCACAAAAAGCATCTATGCTGGTGTAGTGTTATAAACTGTTCTATTTTATTATTAGTTATTGTTATTAATCTCTTACTGTGCCTAATTTATACATTAAACTTTATCATAAGAATTTATGTATATGAAAAAACAGTATATACAAAGTTCAGTACTATCCATGGTTTCAGGCATCCACTGGGGGTTTTGGAACGTATCCCTCACAGATAAGTGGGGACTACTGTATAAATAATGCTTTTAAGAACAACCATCCAGTCCTGGAATTTTCTTTTTTGGAAGACTTTTTGTTAGCGATTCAATCTCACTACTCATACTGGTCTGTTCAGGTTTTCTATTTCTTCCCAGTTCAGTCTGGGTAGGTTGAACGTTTCCAGGAATTTATCCATTTCTTCTAGGTTTTCTAGTTTGTTAGTGTGCAGTTGTTCATAATAGTCTCTAGTGACCTTTTGTACTTCTGTGGTATCAGTTGAATGTCTTCTTTTTCATTTCTGGTTTTATTTGGATCTTCTCTCTTTTTCTCTTCATTAGTCTAACAGTGGTTTATTGATTTTACTTATCTTTCAAAAACCAACTTTCATTTTATTGATCCTTGCATTGTTCTTTTAACCTCTGTTTCATTTAGTTCTGCTCTGATCTTTGTTATTTCTTTCCTTCTACTAATTTGGGGTTTGGCTTGTTCCTGTTTTTCTACTTCCTAGAGGTGCCTCATTAGATTGCTTATTTGAAATCTTTCTAGGTTTTTGCTGTAGGCACTTATTACTATAATTTCCATCTTAGCACTGCTTTTACTGTATGTCATAGGTTTTGGTATGTTGTGTTTCAACTTTCATTTGTTTCAAGAAATTTTTTTATTTCCTCTTTAATTTCTTTCTTGACCCAATTGTTGTTCAGGAGAATGTTGTTGAATTTCCATGTATTTGTACAGTTTCTAGAGTTCCTCTTATTATTGATTTCTAATTTTAGTCCTTTGTGGTCTAAGAAGACAATTCATATGATTTTAATTTTTTAAAAATGTGTTGAGACTTTTGTGTCCTAACATACAGTCTATACTGGAAAATATTCCATGTGCTGATAAGAAAAATATGTATTCTTCACCTATTGGACAAAATATTCTGTAAATGTCTGGGAGGTACATTTAGTCCAACGTGCAATTTAAATCCAATGTTTCTTTATAAATTAATAAATTTATAAAGAAATTTGTCTAGATGACTCGAATAAAGCTGAGAGTAGGGGGCTGACGTCTCCAACGATTATGGTATGAAAGTGTATCTCTTTAGATCTAACAATATTTGCTTTATATATCTGGGTCCTCCAATGTTGGATGCATACATGTTTAGACTGTTATAGCCTCTTGCTAAACTGATCCCTTTATCATTATATAATAACTTTCTATGTCTTTTTTACTACTTTTTACTTTTTCTCTGATATAAACATAGCTCCTCCTACTCATTTTTGGTTTCTGTTTGCATGGACTATCTTTTTCCATTGCTTTACTTTCAGTCTATATGTGTCTTTACAGGTGAGATGAGCTTCTTGTATACAGCATATAGTTGGGTCATGTTTTTCAATCCATTCAGCCAATGTATACCTTTTAAGTGGAAATTTTAATTCCATTACATTCAAGGTTATTACTGATATGTGATGGCATATTCCTGTCATTTTATTAATTGATTTCTGGTTGTTTTGTATATACTTTGTTCTTTTCTTTCTCCCATCATTTAGCATTGTGGTTAGGTTGTATTCTGTAGTGGTACCATTTGAGCTTTTTCTCTGTCTTGTTTGTGTGTTAGTTCTACCAGTGGTTTTTATATCTTCAAGTATTTTCATTATGGCAGTTATCATTCTGTTACTTCTGGGTATAGGACTCCCTTGAGCATTTCTCATAGGTTAAGGCCAGTGGTGATGAATTCCCTCAGCTTCTGCTTGTTTCTCCTTCATTTATGAAAGATAACTTTGCTGGGAATAGTATCCTTGACTAACCATTGTTTTCTTTCAGCACTTCAAATGTATCATCCCATTCTCTCCTGGCCTGAAAGGCTTCTGCTGAGAAATCTACTGTTAGCCTAATGGAGGTTTCTTTATAAGTGACTAGTGACTAGACACTGTTCTCTTGTTGTTTTTAGCATTTTCTCTTCATCTTTGACTTTTGACAGTTTGACTGTAATACGCTGTAGAGAAGACCTTTTGAATTGTATCTATTTGGGGATTTTTAAGCCTCCAGTATGTGGACGTGTAAATCTCTTATTAGACTTATGAAGTTGTTGTCTATTATTTTATTAAATGGGTTTTCTAACCCTTTTGTTTCCTCTTCACCTTCTGGGACACCAAAAATTTGAATATTTGATCATTTGATGGTGTCTTATATGTCACATAGGCTCTGCTCATTCTTTTTTATTCTTTTTTTAAAAAAATTGTATAACTGGGTTATTTCAAAAGACCTGTCATCAAGGTCTGAGATTCTTTCTTCTGCTTGATCTACTCTAATTGTTGAAGCTTTCAAATGTATTTTGTATTTCATTCAATAAATTTTTCAGCTCCAGAATCTCTGTTCAGTTCCTTTTTTTTTTAAGAGAGAGAGTCTCACTCTGTTACCCAGGCTGGAGTGTAGTGGCATGATCATAGCTCACTGCAGCCTCAAACTCCTGGGCTCAAGCAGTCTTCCTGTTTCAGCCTTCCAAGTAGCTGGGATTACAGGCATGTGCCACCATGCCTGGCTAATTTTTTTTTTTAATAGAGATAGGATCTCACAATGTTGTCCAAGCTGGTCTTGAACTCCTGGCCTCAAGCCATCTTACTGCCTCAGCCTCTCAAAGTGCTGAGGTTACAGGTGTGAGCCATCTTTTTCTATGATATCTATCTCTTTGGTGGATTTCTCACTCATATCCTGAATTTCTTGTCTGACTTCTTTTTAGTGTTTTTCTGCATTCTCTTGTATCTCACCTTCTTCTTTTTTTTTTCTTTTTTTTCTTTTTTTTTTTTTTTTTAGACAGAGTTTTGCTCTTGTTGCCCATGCTGGAGTGCAATGGCACGATCTTGGCTCACTGCATTCTCCACCTCCCGGGTTCAAGCAATTCTCCTGCCTCAGACATTTGAGTAGCTGGGATTACAGGCACATGCCACCACAACCAGCTAAGTTTTTTTATTTTTAGTAGAGATAGGGTTTCACCATGTTGGCCAGGCTGGCCTCAAACTCTTGACCTCAGGTTATCCTCCTGCCTCTGCCTCCCAAAGTGCTGGGATTACAGACATGAGGCACCACACCCAGCCTCAATATTTTGCTTCTTTAGTGTCAATATTTTGAATTCTTTTCCCAGGATTTTGTAAATTTCTTTTTGATTGGGATATGTTGCTGGAAAATTATTGTGTTGTTTTGGAGGTGTCATAGTTCCTTGCTTTTCATGTTTCCTGTGTTCTTACATTGGTATTTGTGCATCTTGTGTAACAGTTGCTTTTTCCAATTTTTTGAATTTGCTTTCATAGGGGAGGACTTTTCCTGAAAATGTATGCATAGTGTTCATTGGGTAGGATGCTTTGGCTTTGATTCTGGGCATGTGCAGTAGTGTAATCGCTGTATGATTTCTTCAACTATAAACAGCATCATTTTTGTCTGTGATTTACTCAGTGGCTTAGCATGTGGTTGTTAGTGGAAGCT
Source organism: Homo sapiens (assembly GCF_000001405.40). Taxonomy (NCBI): domain Eukaryota; kingdom Metazoa; phylum Chordata; class Mammalia; order Primates; family Hominidae; genus Homo; species Homo sapiens. Next base: position 47,104,281 of record NC_000001.11, read on the forward strand.
GTGGTGAAGTTTTGTTGGGGAATGGGATACATGGGCCAGTCTTCGGGTCCCAGCAGTGGCTACAGTAGGCTGAGCATGCCCGTTCTTGGGCACCAAGGTGATGTATACTAGCACCAGTGTTAGCTACTCCAGGCAGACCAACTCTTTCCAGGTGGCTTGCCTGGGTTCTGGAAATGGCAGTGGTGGGTCAGGTAGGTGGGTGAGCTCTTGCGCACCTAGGCATCAGGCATGTCGGACAACCTGCTTGATACTAAGCAGTCCACGCTGGTATTGGTGGTGGCGGTGATGGGCTGAGCAGGCCAGTCCCCAGCCCGCAGTTGACACATGTGGGTGGATACCAGCTGTGGTGGTAGCAGCAGATTGAGTGAGCCCAACCTCAGACCCCAGGAGAAGTGCTCAGGTGCCAATGATAGACTGGGCAGGGCAGTCTCTAGGGCCCTAGACAGCATGCTCAGGTACTGGGAGGAGTGGAGCCAGCCTGAGCAGATCTGCCCTCAGACCCCCTAGTAGTGTATGCAGGTGCTGGCTATGGTAGGCAGGGACAGGGTGATCCCCAGGCTGCTACAAGAATGCTCAGATGAGAATGGCAGCAGCTGAGCTATGGCCCTGCTACTGGAGAGGGAGGGGCTGGGGCTGCTTTTTTTTTTGAGGCGGAGTTTTGCTCTTGTTGCCCAGGCTGGAGTGCAATGGCACGATCTAGGCTCACCACAAGGGAGGCGCTGCTTTCATTTGGAGCAGCCATAAGCAAAAGGCTTTTGTGGGATGAGGGTGACTCATGATTTGCTAGCACCTTGGCCCTTGCAGCTACAGTTACAGGCAGTGGAATTTGTCCTCAGGGTGCATGAAAATGTGTGCCCACCCCTCTGCTGGGGGTGATAGGGTCACTGGCAGTGGCTCCCACCTTGGCACCAGCAGCAGCAGCCACAGCAGCTGTGGTGGGGAATGTCACTGGGGCTTCAGGGATGTGGAGATGTAGAGGCTGTTGAACCCCAAGGCAAGACACAGTCTGATGGAGGCTGAGCTCTCCAGATGATGCCACACTGCAGCTGCTGAGGACTCAGGGGTTTGTGGGACCCAGTGTGAGCTCTCTCTCTGGAGTAATGTCTTCATGCAATCTCCAGCCGGCTCCTTATGTTAGTCTCAGGGCCTGCAAAGGTTAGTGGGCTCTTCCATAGCTAGTATTGTAGGAGTCCGTGGTGGGAACGTGGATCACTGGAGGGCTCTCACTTATTCTTTTCCCAAATTAAAGAGCTTCTCCAGACTCCCAGTTGATCCCCGCCAAACAGGCTGCCTCACTTCCCTCTCCTTCCTTGCTTTTGGTGCTTTCCATCACTTCTCTGTTGAATTCCAGCGTTCTCCCTTAGATGATCTATTTGAAGTGTAATTATCTACTTGCTATGTTGGTTCCTGTCTGTGGAAGAGGCGAGTACCAGATGCCGCTAGTCAGCCATCTTAGAGCCACATCCCTATTTTATATTTTTTTACAATTCTAAAGAGGCAGAAATACTTATTCATTCATAGAAGAGGCACTCTGGATATAAATACAGTCCATGTCTCTACCAAATTTTCACAGATGTGTGATACTGGTCACAGGAGCCCTGGAATAAGTATGTCTCAGGATAAGAGCCCTATATCTGCGGGGGGGGGAGAATCACTTACAGTTACATGTGAAAAGTGGTAAGTGTTAACATTTAGCTTTTCCTAAGACATACTTGATACATCTGAAGTCCTCCTTTGGGTAAAGAACAAAATCATTCTCAGTTACAAAAATGGAGAAAAGCTGGGCTTTCAGTGCAATGCCTAAGTGACTACTCCTCCTTTTCCTTTCCTCCTGTGCTTCTACCCAGGGAACACCTGAGCCAGATGCCTTACACCACGATGTGCATCAAGGAATGCCTCCGCCTCTACGCACCGGTAGTAAACATATCCCGGTTACTCGACAAACCCATCACCTTTCCAGATGGACGCTCCTTACCTGCAGGTCTTAAAACTTTTTTTTTTTTTTTTAACAATGCAGCTGTGCTGGATTGAAATGTCTTAACATACTCATGTCTTTAACAGTTATTTATCCTTAGACTCTGTGGAACCTAGGGCCATTCTTATTTCCCAGAGAGGGAGAAAGAGGATAGAGCTCTCAGGACTATCCAAACAGGCACAGGATTATCAAGGTGCAAAGGTACAGAATCCTGCCATATGGACTGAGGGTTGGGTGAGGGGGCCTTCGTGAAGCATCACGGCTTTAATGCTGAAACTTAAAGGACTAGATTTATATCAGCAAAGATGAGAGAGGCAGTACTGTGGGCAGAGAGAAGAGCAGACACAAAGCAGCAGGCAGCCTGCCTTCTCCCTTCCCTCACGCACACCGGCAGGGCATGTCACTGGAGCAATTGCTGTAATCCACAGACTCCAGGATTCACAGAGGGAAATTGTGGGACTATACCTGGAGCCATGATGTAGCCAGATCATAGAGTTTTCTGAAGGCCAACCTTTGTGTTCAGTCTTTCTCAATCAAGCAGCAGACAGATTTAAGACGTCTAAGCTGGGTGGCATGATTATAGTTATTTTTTAGAAAGATTAATACATTGGTGGAATGCAAGATGGATTGAAAGGCAACATTAGAGACATAAAGGAATGAGCCAGAATTTATCTTTGACCTATGTCGAGATGTGTTTCTACAACTTCCTCCAATTTAACCGTCTTTCAAATATTGGATTTGATTGGGCAATCTAATTAAATGTAGCAATATTTAATTGCTACTGTGCTACCATAGTTGCCCAATAGCAATTAAATATTTGTTTCCTACAAAATCAACTTTACTATTGTAATAACAAAAACAAAAACTATTTAGTACTTACTAGGGACTAAGCATTGTTCCATATGTTTTGCATGTGTTAACTCATTTTATCCACCCATCCTCCTGCCCCCCAGTTCTGCTGTGGAAATACTAGTGTTATGCACATTTTAGACAAACAGGAACAAAAAGGTAAAACTTCATCTCTGGTAAATGGTGGAACTAGGACTTGAACCCAAGTAGTGGGACTCTAGAGTCTGCGCTCGTAACTACTACACTAAAGCAACAACTTAAGCTTTCTCTGGGATCTCTCCAGAGAAAGATCTTTGCTATCATGGGGATCTTTGCAATCATCTAGTATCTAAAGAAGTTTCCTCTTTTTAATTCAGTGTTATTTTTCACATGGTATTTATTGTAATATTTATTACCTACATAATATTGCATCCATACACATAATATTCCGCCCACCTAGTTGCTCCAACAAAACAGCTCAGAGTCAACTTTTACTACCTTTTCCCTTAATCTTGCATTTCAATAATACCTAAATCCTGTCAATAAGCTCTGGTTTTTTTCAACATCAATAAAATGATGATTTATTGCTGCCTTCCAACACAAGAAAATTATTTTCTCTACTTCCATTCTAGATCACCTAAGCCCTGTAATCCACAGAATCTTAAAATCCCCCGACCCATACAAAAGCTACATGTTGAAAATGTGAGAATCAGCATGCCTTCTAATTTTTCCCATTCAGGTCCTTTCTGTTTCATGTTCCTTTCACTTTCCTGATCTTGTGGCTTTTGCAGCTGCTGCGGGTAACTTTCTGGGCTTCAGACAATGCTGTTGAGATCCGCATGGATGTTGGTGGAAGAGCTGGCTCCACCCGGCTGACTCAGTTTTAGGCTACTTATACGTCATCTCTGGTCTCCTGCAGTCTCTGCCCTTTCCTCCAAGTGCCTTCAAGGGCTGCACCTTAATCTCCCTCAAGCTACAATGAAGGGACAGGAAGTGCACACGCAGAGTTGCCTTCACCTCACTTTACATTCCTTTCCGCCACACCTTCTTGCCCTCCAGAGCTTTCAGGCCTTCACTGCACCTCACGTGCTCATCTGTCTCATTTCCTGTTACCCTGCTTTCCTTCCTGCCCCTCTCATACACACAGGCACTCCACAACTTCACTTTCTTCACCCCAGGCTTGGATGCCTGGATTCATCACTCCAACTTCCCCTTTGGCAATGCCGTCAACTTCCTTGAATATTTTCCCTTTCTCTACTGTCACTCATCAGTAATTCAACCAGCATTAAATTCCTCTATACGCTTTCTCTGCCCTGCTAATGGGCCCTTGAATGCAGCTATAGCACAACAAAGCATGTGCAAATGGATGCCTCATATCCGCCAGACCCACCTCTTCCCCTGTATTACCCAGAAATCCTGTTTATTTCTAAAAAGAAACATGTTTATGATGCCTGCTTTCTCTCCCACACCTCACAGTATCACTTACACATTGTCATCACTCTCTACCTGTGCCTGTGCCATGGTCCCATTCACTCTTGGCAAAAGACCTACTACATTATGTGTGCCCTTCTCTTCATTTGCTGGCCCAACAAGTGCATATTAAACATTTGCTCTAGGCACTTTGCTTTGTTCTGAGCATACTATGATGTGCAAAATGTCCAAAAGAAAGCATGTCATCTACCTCCTTCCCCTAAACCTATTCCTCCTCCTGGATTGCTACATTAATGAATGGCACCACTGTCTGTGAGTAATTTTAAGTGAGAAAGATAGAAGTCATCCTCACACCTCCACCATCTTCCTTACCCAGACAGTATCCAAGTCCTAGAATATCAGCTATTTCCTTCTCAACAACCTTGCTTCCATGGTCTCAGTTATTGCCTTTGTCAATCTTCAAATGCCAGAGTCCCCTAAGTTTTATATTTCCATACTTAGGTATCTACAAACCAATCTACTTATAAAAGATAAATCATAAGTCTAGGTAAATTCTAAGTTCCAACTCAAGAAAGCCACTTGGGTGATTCTGTTGCCACTTGTCCCTCCTAAGATCCTACTTATACACATACACTGAAATGCAAAAAGAAATAATCCCATAAAAGTGAAAAGAATGGAAGGAAGGTATTTAACAAACAAAAAGAGAGAGAGAGATTTTAATGAATTTATGAAATTAAAAAAGAAGGTAGGATTGGGCTGCCAAATTAAACAAGAAGAGAAATTCCCAGTTTTAAAAGGCAATGAGAGGGTGGCTGCAGAAAGACTTGCAGAGAGTAGAGGGTGGCTCTACTTTTTAATCCCATAGAAAAGGTTTAGAAATTGTGGTCTTAATAAGCTTAGTAAGGCTGAGCTACTTTAGGAAAAGTGTATATTAATCACCTAAAAGAAATAGTCAATCCTAAAAATTATATTTTATCTTTTAAAAGTTAACTTTTAATTTAGAGCCTAGGGTACAATTAAAGACTCTTTATTCTGGCAGAGAAAAGGGGATGTCCACTCTGCTGACAGATTGTGACTCAAATGATACACAGATTCCTGGGAGAGCAGTCATTTTTTCTGGACAATGCAGATCCCTTTTCACTAATCTTATTAAGAGATATTTTGAGCCTTGCTCAGAATTACCTAGATTTGTGGAACAAAGAAATTGGAGTTAGGAAGACAGATTTAGAGAGAGGATGAAGATAAAATCAGATCAGTTGCAGGCAGTCATTAATCTGCTTTTCATAAGTTTTTTTCCAGGGAATCTTCACTGACATTGAGTTAGAGTCATTGAGGTGTTTTCAGATTTTCTACATGGCCAAAAAAAAAAAAAAAGATGACAAACCACCAAAAGTTATGAATTCTATTTCCTTTTTGCCCTAAGGCTCCATGGAGATTTAAGACCTCAATAAAGTAGGAAATTTTCAAATTATGTCTTTTTCTGACGTATTCTTGGTTTAAATATGTAATTTTGTTAGATAATGTGCATGCTTTTTTATTATAATGAATATGCTCATAAGGTGTCAGTGTGATTCTCTGGATTAATAAAACCCATGCCAGAAAAACAAAAACAACAGATTCCCTCAATAGCCAATAACAGACCTATCAATGGCCTAGTATGTGCCATGAATCTGATGGTCCAGTAAGCCTCAGTGGAGAGGGACATGGCCCAAAAAAATGGGTGTTCCATGAAATCCCCTAAATAATTCACAATCACTAAATAGAACAAAACACAATGGGTTTTGTGCCACTCATGGGAGAGATCCATGGCAATCAACTAGACACTGGCTGTAAGCTAGAGCAAGCAGAAACTCCTAAGAAAGACAATAACAGACTTAGGAAATCAAAAATATCTCATCTGAGGACACTGGCATGTGCCTGTAATCCCAGCTACTCAGGAGGCTGAGGTGGGAGGATCACTTTAGCCTGGGAGTTTGAGGCTGCAGCAAACTATAATCACACCACTTCCCTCCAGCCTGGGCAACATAGTGAGACCTTGTCTCAAAAAAATTTTTTCATTGACCATGATTTGAGACTCACCCAAAGGAGCTAATAATTGATGAGCCTGTGAATCATACTTCTTAGGTATTAGCTACTACTGAACTTCAATGGGCAGTCTGTTCTGATGATCTTGGTGAGACTTCCAGAAACCATTTAAAAGAGAACAAGGCTTCTGGAACCAAAAATTGAAAAATGAAAGAATGTGTACTGCCAGGATATAAACCTAATCCAACCATAGAGGTTAGACCCTATGATTGAGGCTTGGGAGAGTTAAATAACATTGGGTTTTTGAAGCTCTAAACTTCAAAATCTCTGACCCATGTTAAGAAAGCAAATTTCTTGAATGTCCTTGATTAGCTAGCAATATGTGGATTAATCACTTAGGAAGAATTCGTTAACGGTGACCTGGCCATTTGTTTTTTGAAAGTGATCTTTGCTGTGTGGATGCAGCACTGTTATGGTGTTCCAGTTGCCATTCTAACCCAAATTAGGTCTTTACCTCAGTCAGTAAGCTAGCTGGCCATGTCAGGATTGGTGAAGTTCAAAAATTAGTCTTCATAATGTTAAAAGCCACAATTCATCATGAACATAAGACAGCTATTGATACCTACCTATGTATCAAGTTACACATCTGCAATTTTTTTTTTTTGATGGAGTCTTGCTCTGTTGCCCAGGCTGGAGTGCAATGGTGCAATCTCTGCTCCCTGCAAACTCTGCCTCCCAGATTCAAGCAATTCTCCTGCCTCCACCTCCCAAGTAGCTGGAACTACAGGCGCATGTCACCACGCCTGGCTAATTTTTTGTATTTTTAGTGGAGACGGGGTTTCACCGTGTTAGCCACGATGGTCTCAGTCTCCTGACCTTGTGATCCACCCGCCTGGGCCTTTCAAAGTGCTGGGACTACAGGGGTGAGCCACTGTGCCCAGCCCTGCAATTTTTTAAAGCAAACTATAGGAAATGAAAAGGAAAACAGTCAAAGGCACCCTACTAACAGATTTTAACTGCCTTTCAAAGACCTACGCAAACCAAACAAATAAAGTATACAGACGATCTAAACAATGTAATTAATAAGATAGACTTTATGCGTACAATATTAAACTTTTTCCCCACTAATAGAGGACAGACTTTCCTTTTAAGTACACCAGCAACATTGCTTAAAGTTGACTGTATACTAGACCACAATAAAAAAACTTAATTACTAAAAGAGAAACATTACAAAATAGTGTTCTTTAAATGAAGACAATAAAAATGGAAATTAGCAACAAAAATTTTTCAAAAAGTTTCATTCATCTGGAGTTTTTTGTTTAATCCATTAAAAACTCTTGGGCTAAAGCAAAATTACAAAATCAAATCATGACCCTGAAAACTCTACATATGAGAATTAATGGTTTGCCACTAAAGCAGCATTCATTCAGAAGAGAAGCTATAATAGTAAATGCGAAATATTTTTATTAATAAAAGAATTAAATTAAACATTGACGTCGAAAACAACTGGAAATAAATCAGTTGGGGAAAGAATAAAAGAGTAAACTAAAAGGAAACAGGTGAATTAACAAAGGCGAAAGCAAAAGGTAATGGTATGGAAAGCAGAACGGTTGCAAAACTAGTCAAAAAACACAATAGCCAGTGGGGGAGGGGCTGGTCAACAAAGAGACACACCACGAACTAATATTACACAAGTGTATGCACAGAGACTTGAAAAACCAGGAAAAAAACTAGATAATTGTATAATACATAATTTACTAAAACTGATGCTGGTAGAGATAAATAGTCTAAGCATGCCAATTTTCACAGGACTAGAGAAAAATTGTAGAGCCCCTGAAAAGGAACCAGACCTATGCAGTTTTTCACAAATTTTTTCAAACCTGTAAAGACCATATAATCCCAGTAATACTTAAAGTTGTCCAGAGCATAGAAAAATAAAAACTTAGAAAGTTATTTAAGGAAGTATCACATTGATAACAAACCTACTAAAAATTGAACAAAAATATATTTAGATAAAAATCACTTATGTATATAAGTACAAAAATTTTAAATAAAATATTAGTACACATAATCCAATAGCTCATTGAAATAAATGTATTGGCTGGGCAGGTGGCTCATGCCTGTAATCCGAACACTTTGTGAGGTCAAGGTGGGAGGATCGCTTGAGTCTGGGCAACACAAGACCCCATCTCTACAAAAAGATAAAATAAAATAAAACAGTGCATCATGGCCAAGTAAGTAGGTCATATTCCAAAACTGAAAAGATTGTTCAATATTAGGAATCCATTAATATAATTTATTACATTTATAGGTTTCAGGAGAAACCCATATCATCTCCACCCTGATCAATGGATATTCCATAACATGATAAAATATTACTTCAGTGCCATATTGGCACTATATCCCATATGGTTCTATGGCTCCAAAGTATAATACAATCTCCCAAGTAGCTGACTAGGAAAGGAAAAAAAAAAAAGACAATACTCTCACTCTCTGCTTAAACTTCTCAGTGATCCATAATGGTTTCAACCTAAAATCCTTAGCATGACCTCTTTCCCATTTTAAGGTACAAGCCCAGCCAACCTCCACAGGCTGATCTATGGACACTTTGCTCCCTGAATCCTGTTATACAACCTCCCAGTCACCCAAATTTCTCATGCTTTCTCAAGTATTAAAGCTTGGCTTCATGCTTTTTTATCTGCCTCAAATTCCTTTCTGAACATTCTTCTCTTTACCTGGTTTTCCCCTACCGATTTCATTATACTCAGCTCAGCATGCCTCGCCTGGGCCTTTTCTCTTGCATACATCCAAAGGCTCTATACATGAGGTTCCCCTCTCAATTCCCCAAGCATCCTAGGCTTCCTTCTGACTTATTACCATGTGTTGCAATTGCCTGTCTCTTCCAATGGACTGTGAGCTCCTTGAAGGCTAGAGTAGATCTCACTGATCTTCACAGCACCCATTTAAGTGTCATCATAACAGACGCTTCTTAAATGGTTAACGAAATTATGATTGTAGAATTCTTTCCTTGGTTATGAAATCTATGAATAGATGTGAAAGAATCTTTGCTCGTATTTTATTGAGGATCACAAGCATTCTTATACACCAATAACAGGCAAACAGAGAGCCAAATCATGAGCGAACTCCCATTCACAATTGCTTCAAGGAGAATAAAATATCTAGGAATCCAACTTACAAGGGATGTGAAGGACCTCTTCAAGGAGAACTACAAACCGCTGCTCAATGAAATAAAAGAGGATACAAACAAATGGAAGAACATTCCATGCTCCTGGGTAGGAAGAATCAATATCGTGAAAATGGCCATACTGCCCAAGGTAATTTATAGTTTCAATGCCATCCCTATCAAGCTACCAATGACTTTCTTCACAGAATTGGAAAAAACTACTTTAAAGTTCATATGGCACCAAAAAAGAGTCCGCATCGCCAAGTCAATCCTAAGCCAAAAGAACAAAGCTGGAGGCATCATGCTACCTGACTTCAAACTATACTACAAGGCTACAGTAACCAAAACAGCATGGTACTGGTACCAAAACAGAGATATAGATCAATGGAACAGAACAGAGCCCTCAGAAATAATGCCGCATATCTACAACTATCTGATCTTTGACAACCTGACAAAAACAAGAAATGGGGAAACGATTCCCTTTTTAATAAATGGTGCTAGGAAAGCTGGCTAGCCATATGCAGAAAGCTGAAACTGGATCCCTTCCTTACACCTTATACAAAAATTAATTCAAGATGGATTAAAGACTTAAATGTTAGACCTAAAACCATAAAAACCCTAGAAGAAAACCTAGGCAATACCATTCAGGACATAGGCATGGGCAAGGACTTCATGTCTAAAACACCAAAAGCAATGGCAACAAAAGCCAAAATTGACAAATGGGATCTTATTAAACTAAAGAGCTTCTGCACAGCAAAAGAAATTACCATCAGAGTGAACAGGCAACCTACAGAATGGGAGAAAATTTTTGCAATCTCCTCATCTGACAAAGGGCTAACATCCAGAATCTACAATGAACTCAAACAAATTTACAAGAAAAAAACAAACAACCCCATCAACAAGAAGGTGAAGGATATGAACAGACACTTCTCAAAAGAAGACATTTATGCAGCCAACAGACACATGAAAAAATGCTCATCATCACTGGCCATCAGAGAAATGCAAATCAAAACCACAATGAGATACCATCTCACACCAGTTAGAAAGGCGATCATTAAAAAGTCAGGAAACAACAGGTGCTGGAGAGGATGTGGAGAAATAGGGACACTTTTACACTGTTGGTGGGACTGTAAACTAGTTCAACCATTGTGGAAGTCAGTGTGGCGATTTCTCAGGGATCTAGAACTAGAAATACCATTTGACCCAGCCATCCCATTACTAGGTATATACCCAAAGGATTATAAATCGTGCCGCTATAAAGACACATGCACACGTATGTTTATTGTGGCACTATTCACAATAGCAAAGACTTGGAACCAACCCAAATGTCCAACAATGATAGACTGGATTAAGAAAATGTGGCTCATATACACTATGGAATACTATGCAGCCATAAAAAATGATGAGTTCATGTCCTTTGTAGGGACACGGATGAAGCTGGAAACCATCATTCTCAGCAAACTATCGCAAGGACAAAAAACCAAACGCCGCATGTTCTCACTCATAGGTGGGAATTGAGCAGTGAGAACACATTGACACAGGAAGGGGAACATCACACACCAGAGCCTGTTGTGGGGTGGAGGGAGGGGGGATGGATAGCATTAGGAGATATACCTAATGTTAAATGACGAGTTAATGGGTGCAGCACACCAACATGGCACATGTATACATATGTAACAAACCTTCATGTTGTGCATATGTACCCTAAAACTTAAAGTATAATTTTAAAAAAAAAGTAAAAGAGAAAAAAAAAAAGACAGAATCTTCGCTCATGCACTTACCTGCTTTTTCTTCTGTTTACTCAGGAATAACTGTGTTTATCAATATTTGGGCTCTTCACCACAACCCCTATTTCTGGGAAGACCCTCAGGTATGATTGTCCCAACTGCACCCAGTGGCATCTAAGATAGCACCAAGAGGGAAGAGAAGCATCTTCACAGTTGAGAGAGCAGTTAGGATAACGATCTGTCATTTAGAAAAGAACAAAACAGAACAAAAACCCTATGCTTTTAAGAGAAAACTACATTTGCATTTATAATCATCACCAGAGTTCCATGATGATGCCTTATCAACAGAAGCATATCATCCCCTGGGAAGTAGAGGGGTGTGATTAGTCAACTGACACTGCACTGTTTAACCACCTTGCTCTCTGCTTTCATTCATGTCTGTAGTCAATCTAGTCACAGACTTGTGAAGTGTATTGCAAATCTCTTGTTACTGGTCATAATTAAAGTAGCAAGATTATGGACTCTTTGCTTTTTTTAAGATTTGAGCATATTTGAAGTTAGTCTCTAGGAATATCACTCTCCTTCACACTCAGTGCTAACCTGAGAGTGAAAGGGAGAGGGGGCCTGGGAGAGAACAAGCACACTCCTGGGCTGCAAACCAGCGCTCAGACCAACCCCACAGCCCAGGAGATACTAATCGGCAGCCTCTCACAGAGACTTTCGGGCAGAAGCTGAACAACTTCAGCTTGTGACTTCAGCTTGTGAATTGCCACCCCTTTTTTCTTTGCCCAAGTCACTGGCTCAGTCCATTTGGAAACCAAGACAAATAGAAAAGATAATAATTTGATGCTTTGCCCATTTTTATATGACAGAGGCACGGGTTTACTGTGAAGGGAAAATAATGAAGTCACTATTTGCTCAAGTCAGATTGTCTGGATGATTTGCTGCTGCTTCTTACTATCGGGGCCTGTTTAATCTATCACTAGGTTATATAGCCTCTGCTTTCTTGGGATATATTTTCAGTGGTAGGCTTTTGGGGAACATCAAGCAGGACTTGTAGTCTCCAGACATTGTAAGTTCCTAAAATTAGCTTTGGAATTCTGTTAACAATATCTATGGATTTCGTTTTTGTTTTTGTTTTTGTTTTTTGTGGGGGTGGGCTGGAGGGATTAGGACTGGGATCTTCACTCTCATTACAGGTCTTTAACCCCTTGAGATTCTCCAGGGAAAATTCTGAAAAAATACATCCCTATGCCTTCATACCATTCTCAGCTGGATTAAGGTAAAGACTCAAGCTGGTGAACTTGATGGAAATGTGTAATAGTGCTTACCTGACAAGTGCTTCTTCCCTTCAGGCCCTCAGTTAGCTGACACTGCTGTTGCTCCCCATTATTTTACCTGGCTTGTCTTCTCTTGTGACCAGTGCATTTAGTTGGTACCCTTTTGAGCCCCCAAAGGGACCGGTTAATGTTACAAAGAACAACTCTGGTCCTTGGCATATGGGTGTGAATTGATGAAGGCCATCCTCATGACAGGCCCAAAGACTACACTTAAACTTGCAATGGACAAGCATTGGGAATGCCATCTTGTTATAGGAACAAGGCAACATTGGCACCTCCCAGCTCTTGTTCCTACAGAGAGCAATGTTGTTCTAAAGTCCAAGTTTCCCTTTGGTTTGGTATGAGAGACACCCGATTTACCAAATGACAACACAATCCACTGAGTATGCCAGGTTATTGTTCTTATGCCTAAGGCTTCAACTGCACAGCCTCTAAATAATAGTAAGAAGTAGCTTTTCCTTATCATGATATAAGGAAGGTTTTCAAGTTACGTGGACCTTGCAGAATCAAATGTTGATAGAACTCACTACCACTTATTTGTAAGATGGGCCCCAAAATAATAGAGCCACAGTTTGCAGGTCTTGACATTAATGGACTTTCTGATCGGGGCTTACTTAACTTAAAATAAAACATTTGCTGGATTCTGCCACATTGGAATTTGTTTAAAACATGGATCTTGGCTGGGTGCGGTGGCTCTTACCTGTAATCCCAGCACTTTCGGAGGCCAAGGTAGGCGGATTACTTGAGATCAGGAATTTGAGACCAGCCTGGCCAACATGGTAAAACCCTGTCTCTACCAAAAATACAAAAATATTAGCTGGGCATCATGGTGAGCACCTGTAATCCAGCAGGATGACAGAAAAAAAAATGGATCTTGTTTCCCTACAAAAGTCGTCATATATAAAAAGATTGGCGTATGTTGTTAATAATATATAAATTCATTAGATGCCATGTTTTCTTTCTTGGTATCCCCAGGAACTGCATTGGGCAGCATTTTGCCATAATTGAGTGTAAAGTGGCAGTGGCATTAACTCTGCTCCGCTTCAAGCTGGCTCCAGACCACTCAAGGCCTCCCCAGCCTGTTCGTCAAGTTGTCCTCAAGTCCAAGAATGGAATCCATGTGTTTGCAAAAAAAGTTTGCTAATTTTAAGTCCTTTCGTATAAGAATTAATGAGACAATTTTCCTACCAAAGGAAGAACAAAAGGATAAATATAATACAAAATATATGTATATGGTTGTTTGACAAATTATATAACTTAGGATACTTCTGACTGGTTTTGACATCCATTAACAGTAATTTTAATTTCTTTGCTGTATCTGGTGAAACCCACAAAAACACCTGAAAAAACTCAAGCTGACTTCCACTGCGAAGGGAAATTATTGGTTTGTGTAACTAGTGGTAGAGTGGCTTTCAAGCATAGTTTGATCAAAACTCCACTCAGTATCTGCATTACTTTTATCTCTGCAAATATCTGCATGATAGCTTTATTCTCAGTTATCTTTCCCCATAATAAAAAATATCTGCCACCTTCTGAGTCCCATAGTCTCTCATTATACCCTGTAGGGAATGGATAAATTGATGACAATGTATTAGAAAGCCTAGACACTTAAGAGGAATTCCAAATACAGAAAAGTCTGATATATGAATTCCCATTTGGAATATTTAGAGGAATTCCGAATACAGAAAAGTCTGATATATGAATTCCCATTTGGAATATTTAGAGGATACCATGCAGTACGGAACTCTTGCTCAACATGGAGTAACATGACTATGGAATGTTTCAGCAGAGACGGGGTCCAGATAGAACAACCTAATCCCCCATGCTGGTGTGTGCTATAATAGAGATACAGAAATTCCCATATATCTGCAGTGGAAAACACAGAATCATTAAGAGAGCCAAGAAGCATCACAAGAGAGCCAAGAGGAATCATTAATCCAGGAGTGAGTGACTGAAATTAAACTGTGCTAAAGTCCATGCATCTTTTGAGGTTGTAGGGTGGGCAGTGGGGGAGTGGTTAAAATACCAAATAACTTTAGACTTTATCAAGCATGAAAAATAAAATTCTCAAACATAGTAACTAAAGAATAGAAGTAAAATGTATAAATTTGAAATCTGTAGAGGAAAATACAGAATAAGAAAAAATAGGATATAAAGAGCCAAAAAAAAAAAAAAGGCCAAAACATACTCCCAAAAAGAAGGGGGAAAAGAAGCATAGAAAAGGAACCACAAAGTAAAATAGTAGAAACATATGCAAATACATCAATAATTAATGAGTAGAAGATAATCAATGGATAGAAGAACTCACAAGTTAGGACGCAGAGGTTGTCAGATTGGACTTTTTAAATTCCAGACATTACTAAAACGTAAGACTATGAAATTACTGAAAGTAAAAAGGTGGTAAATATATGCCAGAAAAATACTAATGGAATCAGAGTAACTATATTAGTATTAGATAAAATAGATGAAATAAAAACAAAACATTATCAGTGATAGTCACTATGTGTGATTCACTATATAAACAGAATTAAAAACAAAAACCATATAATCATCTCAGTAGACGCAGAAAACGCTTTTGATAAAATCTAACATCTCTTCATGATAAAAAAACCCTCAACAAACTAGACATTGAAGAAATGTACCTCGAATTAATAAGAGCCATCTATGACAAACCCACAGCCAACATCATACTGAATGGGCAAAAGTGAGAAGCATTCCCCTTGAGAACTGGAACAAGACAAGATGCCCACTATCACCACTCTTATTCAACATAGCACTGGAAGTCCTAGCCAGAACAATCAGGCAACAGAAAAAAATAAAAGGCATCAAAACAGGAAAAGAGGTCAAACTATCTCTCTTCATGGATGATATGATTCTATACCTTAAAAACCCTAAAGACTCTGCCAAAAGGCCCTTGGAACTGATAAATGACTTCAGTAAAGTTTTGGGATACCAAATCAATGGCCAAAAATCAGTAGCATTGCTATATACCAATACATCCAAGCTGAGATCGAAATCAAGAACACAGTCCCTATACCATAGCTACAAAAAGAATAAAATACCTAGGAATATATCTAACCAATTAGCTGAAAGGTCTCTACAAGGCGAACTACAAAATGCTGCTGAAAGAAATCAGAGATAACACAAACAAGTGGGAAAATATTTCATGCTCATGAATTGGTAGCATCAAAATTGTTAAAATGACCATACTTCCCAAAGCAATCTACAGATTCAATGCTATTCCTATCAAGCCAGCAATGTCCTTTTTCACAGAACTAGGAAAAAAAAGAGCCTGAATAATCAAAGCAATCCTAAGCAAAAAGAACAAAGCCAGAGGCATCACATTACCCACTTCAAACTACACTACAAGGCTACAGTAGCCAAAATAGCATGGTACTGGTACAAAATAAACACATATACCAATGGAACAGAATAGAGAGCCCAGAAATAAAGCCATACACCTGCAACCTTCTGATCTTCAACAAGCTTGACAAAATAAGCAATGGGGAAAAAGACTCTGTATCCATTAAATTGTGCTGGGATAACTGGCTATCTATATGCTGAAGAATGAAACTGGACCCCATCTATATGCTGAAGAATGAAACTGGTCCCTTTATACAAAAATTAACTCAAGAGGGATTAAAGACTTAAATGTAAGACCTCAAACTATAACAATTCTAGAAGAAAACCTAGGAAATAACCTTCTCCATTTCAGCCCTGGCAAAGAATTTATGGCTAAGTCCCCAAAAGCAATTGTGACAAAAACAAAAATTGATAAGTAGGACCTAAGCAAACTAAAGAAAGAGCTTCTGCACAGCAAGAGAAACTACCAAGAGAGTAAACAGACAACCTGCAGAATGAGAGAAAATATTTGCAAACCATGCATCCGACAGAGGTCTAATATCCAGAATCTATAAGGAGTTTAAACAAATCAAGAAGCAAAAAGCAAAGAACTCCATGAAAAAGTGGACATGCATGTCTTTTTTTCTAAAGAAGAAAGAAGACACACATGTGGCCAACAAGCATATAAAAAAAAAGCTCAATACACTGATCATCAGAGAAATGCAAATCAAAACCACAGTAAGATACCATCTCACACCAGTCAGAATGGCTTTTGTTAAAAAGTCAAAAAATAACAGATGTTGGTGAGGCTGTGGAGAAAAAGGGACACTTCTACACTGTTGGTAGGAATGTAAATTAGTTCAGCCACTGTGGAGAGCAGTTTGGAGATTTCTCAAAGAACTAAGAGCTGAACTACCATTGGACCCAGCTATCCCATTACTGGGTATATACCCAAAGGAAAATAAATCGTTCTACCAAAAGGACACATGCACCCAATGTTCATCATCATGCTATTCACAATAGCAAAAGCATGGCATCAATGCAGATGCCCATCAATGGTGGATTGGACAAAGAAAATGTGGCACATATACCCAATGGAATACTATGCAGCCATAAAAAAGAACAAAATCATGTCCTTTGCAGCAACATGGATCTAGCTGGAGGCCATTATTCTAAGCTAAGTAACACATAAACAGAAAACCAAATATGACATGTTCTTACTTATAAGTGGGAGCTAAATATTAGACATATGGACACATGGACATAAAAATGAGAAATAGACACTGGGGACTATTAGAAGGGATAGAGAGAGAGTGACACAAGGGCTGAAAAACTACCTATTGGCTACTATGTTCACTACGTGGGTGACAGGTTCTATCATACCACAAACCTGAGCATCACACAATATGCCCAAGTAACAAACATGTACTACACTACAAGGCTACAGTAGCCAAAACAGCATGGTACTGGTACAAAAGTAGACACGTAGACCAATGGAACAAAATAGAGAGCCCAGAAATAAATGCATACACCTACAACCCTCTTTAATTTGACACCAAATAAAAGTGGACCCACAGGAAGAAATAAAGACCATCAGATGCATACATACACGCATATAAACGTGTGTATGTATATATACATATACATAGAATATCTTTTAAATCTTATTTTCTTAATTTCATTAAACAATATATGACTTTAAAGAAAAAATCAAACTGTATTGTTGGGCTTATTATATATGTTTATATATAATATAATATGTAATACTTATATATTATATAAATATATTATGTATATTTATATATAATATATTATGTATATTTATATAATATATTATGTATATTTATATATAATATGATATATTATATTGTGATATTTTATATATAATATAATAGTATATTTATATATAATATAATATATTATATTATATATAAAATATCACCAATAATAGTAAGGATATGAAAAAGGGGAAATGGAAATATACTTTTGCAAGGTTGCTATATTTTACCTGAAATAATTTAACATAAACTTAAAGAAGGTTTAAAACCAGTTAAACTGCATATTGTAATCCCTAAAGCAACCACTAAAAAGTAATCCAAAGAGAGAGAACTAATAAATCAGCTGACACATTAAAATGAAATATTGAATAATACTTGATTAATACAAATAATGGCATGAAAGGATAAATAGGGAAATATATAATAACCAGATGAGACGAACAGAAAAAAATAGCAAAATGGCAGACTTGAATTCAACCACATCAATAATTACATTAAAGATTACTAGACTAACCACTCCAATCAAAGAAAGAGACTGATGAACTGGATTTTTTAAAAAGCAGGGACTGACAGCCTGTGTGTTATACTGAAGAGATGAACTTCAAATAGAAAGACAAAAATAGCTTTAAAATAAAAACAATAGAGAAAGCTATGTTATGCAAACAGTGCGCAAAAGAAATATGGAGTAGCTATACTATTATCAGACAAAATTAACTACCGATAAAGAATATTATCAGAGACAAGGAGGAACACTTCATGATAACAGAGGATCAATGCATCAGGTAGATTATGTGCTTCATAACAGAGCTTCAAATTACATGCAGCAAAACTTTCAGAAATAAGGAAATAAATACACAAATTCAAACTCACAGATGGAGAATTTAGCAAGTCTTTAGAAATCGATATACAACTAACAAAAATATAGTAAGAATACTGAATATCTGAATAACACTACCAATCACCTTAGTCTAATTGACGTTTATAGAACATTAAACACAACTGTAGAATACAAATTCTTTTATTTTTTTATTTTTTTATTTTATTTTATTATTATGCTTTAAGTTTTAGGGTAAATGTGCACAATGTGCAGGTTAGTTACATATGTATACAAGTGCTATGTGGGTGTGCTGCACCCATTAACTTGTCATTTAGCATTAGGTATATCTCCTAAAGCTATCCCTCCCCCCTCCACCCACCCCACAACAGGCCCTGGTGTGTGATGTTCCCCTTCCTGTGTCCATGTGTTCTCATTGTTTAATTCCCACTTATGAGTGAGAACATGCAGGGTTTGGTTTTTTGTTCTTGCAATAGTTTACTGAGAATGATGATTTCCAATTTCATCCATGTCCCTACAAAGGACATGAACTCATCATTTTTTTATGGCTGCATAGTATTCCATGGTGTATATGAGCCACATTTTCTTAATCCAGTCTATCATTGTTGGACATTTGGGTTGGTTCCAAGTCTTTGCTATTGTGAATAGTGCCGCAATAAATATACGTGTGCATGTGTCTTTATAGCAGCATGATTTATAGTCCTTTGGGTATATACCCAGTAATGGGATGGCTGGGTCAAATGGTATTTCTAGTTCTAGATCCCTGAGGAATCGCCACACTGACTTCCACAATGGTTGAACTAGTTTACAGACCCACCAACAGTGTAAAAGTGTTCCTGTTTCTCCACATCCTTTCCAGCACCTTTGTTTCCTGACTTTTTAATGATCACCATTCTAACTGGTGTGAGATGGTATCTCATTGTGGTTTTGATTTACATTTCTCTGATAGCCAGTGCTGGTAAGCATTTTTTCATGTGTTTTTTGGCTGCATAAATGTCTTCTTTTGAGAAGTGTCTGTTCATGTCCTGCGCCCACTTTTTGATGGAGTTGTTTGTTTTTTTCTTGCAAATTTGTTTGAGTTCATTGTAGATTCTGGAGGTTAGCCCTTTGTCAGATGAGTAGGTTGCAAAAATTTTCTCCCATTTTGTAGGTTGCCTGTTCACTCTGATGGTAGTTTCTTTTGCTGTGCAGAAGCTCTTTAGTTTAATTAGACCCCATTGGTCAATTTTGGCTTTTGTTGCCATTGCTTTTGGTGTTTTAGACATAAAGTCTTTGCCCATGCCTATGTCCTGAATGGTAATGCCTAGGTTTTCTTCTAGGGTTTTTATGGTTTTAGGTCTAATGTTTAAATCTTTAATCCATCTTGAATTAATTTTTGTATAAAGTGTAAGGAAGGGATCCAGTTTCGCTTTCTACATATGACTACCCAGTTTTCCCAGCACCATTTATTAAATAGGGAATCCTTTCCCCATTGCTTGTTTTTCTCAGGTTTGTCAAAGATCAGATAGTTATAGATATGCAGCGTTATTTCTGAGGGCTCCATTCTGTTCCATTGATCTGTATCTCTGTTTTGGTACCAGTACCATGCTGTTTTGGTTACTGTAGTCTTGTAGTATAGTTTGAAGTCAGGTACCATGATGCCTCCAGCTTTGTTCTTCTGGCTTAGGATTGACTTGGCGATGTGCACTCTTTTTTGGTGCCATAAGAACTTTAAAGTAGTTTTTTCCAATTCTGTGAAGAAAGTCATTGGTAGCTTGATGAGGATGGCATTGAATCTATAAATTACCTTGGGCAGTATGGCCATTTTCACGATATTGATTTTTCCTACCCATGAGCATGGAATGTTCTTCCATTTGTTTGTATCCTCTTTTATTTCATTGAGCAGTGGTTTGTATTTCTCCTTGAAGAGGTCCTTCACATCCCTTGTAAGTTGGATTCCTAGGTATTTTATTCTCTTTGAAGCAATTGTGAATGGGAGTTCACTCATGATTTGGCTCTCTGTTTGTCTGTTATTGGTGTATAAGAATGCTTGTGATTTTTGCACATTGATTTTGTATCCTGAGACTTTGCTGAAGTTGCTTATCAGCTTAAGGAGATTTTGGGCTGAGAGGATGGGTTTTTCTAGATATACAATCATGTCATCTGCAAACAGACACAATTTGACTTCCTCTTTTCCTAATTGAATACCCTTTATTTCCTTCTCCTGCCTAATTGCCCTGGCCAGAACTTCCCTCTCTCACCACTCCTACACATTCTTTTCAAATGCACATGGAACATTGATCAAAATATGCTGATCTTTAAAAAAAACAGATTTCAAAGGGTTGAAATTTTTAACTGTTACCTGAGAAGCCCAGAAACAAATTAAAAAGCAGTAAAAACAAGATATCTGGAAGAGCTTAAAATATGTGAAAATTTTATATATTTTTGGATAAATAATTGATATTTATTAATTGATATTGAGATAATTGGCTAACTAATCACTTGAGGAAAAATAAGTTTCATTTCCCACCTATTTGTATGTAGATAAATAAGCAAATAAATTCCAGCGGAAATGGTTTTAAACTTACGTTTTTATGTATTGAACACCCTGGTACACATTTGCTTTTTTTTTTCTTTTTTAATTCTACTGGAAGTTTTAGGGTACATGTGCACAACGTGCAGGTTTGTTACATATGTATACCCGTGCCATGTTGGTGTGCTGCCTCTCTCACCACTCCTATTCAACATACTGTTGGAAGTTCTGGCCAGGGCAATCAGGCAGGAGAAAGAAATAAAGGGTATTCAATTAGGAAAAGAGGAAGTCGAATTGTCCCTGTTTGCAGATGACATGATTGTATACCAAGAAAACCCCATCATCTCAGCCCAAAATCTCCTTAAGCTGATAGGCAACTTCAGCAAAGTCTCAGGATACAAAATCAATGTGCAAAAATCACAAGCATTCTTATACACCAATAACAGACAAACAGAGAGCCAAATCATGAGTGAACTCCTATTCACAATTGCTTCAAAGAGAATAAAATACCTAGGAATCCATCTTACAAGGGATGTGAAGGACCTCTTTAAGGAGAACTACAAACCACTGCTCAATGAAATAAAAGAGGATACAAACAAATGGAAGAACATTCCATGCTCATGGGTAGGAAGAATCAATATCGTGAAAATGGCCATACTGCCCAAGGTAATTTATACGTTCAATGACATCCCCATCAATCTACCCATGACTTTCTTCACAGAATTGGAAAAAACTACTTTAAAGTTCATATGGAACCAAAAAACAGCCCACATTGCCAAGTCAATCCTAAGCCAAAAGAACAAACCTGGATGCATCACGCTACCTGACTTCAAACTATACTACAAGGCTACAGTAACCAAAACAGCATTGTACTGGTAACAAAACAGAGATATAGACCAATGGAAGAGAACACAGCCCTCAGAAATAATGCTGCATATCTACAACTATGTGATGTTTGACAAACCTGACAAAAACAACAAATGGGGAAAGGATTCCCTATTTAATAAATGGTGCTGGGAAAACTGGCTAACCACATGTAGAAAGCTGAATCTGGATCCCTTCCTTACACCTTATACAAAAATTAATTCAAGATGGAATAAAGACTTAAATGATAGACCTAAAACCATAAAAACCCTAGAAGAAAACCTAGGCAATACCATTCAGGACATAGGCATGGGCAAGGACTTCATGTCTAAAACACCAAAAGCAATGGCAACAAAAGCCAAAATTGACAAATGGGATCTTATTAAACTAAAGAGCTTCTGTACAGCAAAAGAAATTACCATCAGACTGAACAGGCAACCTACAAAATGGGAGAAAATTTTTGCAATCTACTCATCTGACAAAGTGCTAATATCCAGAATCTACAAAGAACTCAAACAAATTTACAAGAAAAAACAAACAACCCCATCAAAAAGTGGGCAAGGATATGAACAGACACTTCTCACAAGAAGACATTTATGCAGCCAAAAGACACATGAAAAAATGCTCATCATCACTGGCCATTAGAGAAATGCAAATCAAAACCACAATGAGATACCATCTCACACCAGTCAGAATGGCAATCATTAAAAAGTCAGGAAACAACAGGTGCTGGAGAGGATGTGGAGAAATAGGAACACTTTTACACTGTTGGTGGGACTGTAAACTAGTTCAACCATTGTGGAAGTCAGTGTGGTGATTCCTCAGGAATCTAGAACTAGAAATACCATTTGACCCAGCCATCCCATTACTGGGTATATACACAAAGGATTATAAAACATGCTGCTATAAAGACACATATACACATATGTTTATTGTGGCACTATTCACAATAGCAAAGACTTAGAACCAACCCAAATGTCCAACAATGATAGACTGGATTAAGAAAATGTGGCACATATACACCATGGAATACTATGCAGCCATAAAAAAGGATGAGTTCATGTCCTTTGTGGGTACATAGATGAAGCTGAAAACCATCATTCTCAGCAAACTATCACAAGGACAAAAAACCAAACACAGCATGTTATCACTCATAGGTGGGAATTGAACAATGAGAACACATGGACACAGGAAGGGGAACATCACACACCAGCGCCTGTTGTGGGGTGGCGGGAGCAGGGAGGGATAGCATTAGGAGATGTACCTAATGTTAAAAGACGAGTTAATGGGGGCAGCACACCAACATGGCACATGTAAACATATGTAACTAACCTGCACGTTGTGACCATGTACCCTAAAACTTAAAGTATAATTTAAAAAAACCCACAAATCAAATCCCTGAGCTGATCTACCCACAGGAGTAACTGCTTCAAGATGCCACCAAGGGGCATCTTGGTGTTCCTTCCTCTGCCTTGGCTTGCCTAAACACCGAATCAGGAAATATCCAGCAACCAATATAGCAGTTTCATTTTTACAATGTGGCATTCAAAACTGAACTGAGTCTCTTCAGGATGGTGATATAACCAGTTCAAAGTTTTGCTTTATCCAGCTGTCACTCATGGATTCAATCAGTAGGTATTTCTTGGGCATCATCAACAGACACAGTCATCTGCATCATGCGATGGAAGCAAAGGACATAGCAGCTGAGTTACCACCTTTCAGGAGTTTTTATGGAGGTATCTGAGTAGTAAATAAATGGGATAGGCCAAGCTCAGTATCTCGCACCCGTAATCCCAGCACTTTGGGAGGCCAAGGTGGGTGGATTGCCGGAGGACAGGACTTTGAGAACAGCCTGGCCAAAATGGTGAAACCCTGTCACTACTAAAAATACAAGAATTAGCCAGGCATGGTGGTGGGTGCCTGTAATCCCAGCTACTCAGGAGGCTGAGGCAGGAGAATCACTCTAACCTAGGAGGCTGAGGTTTCAGTGAGCTGAGATTATGTCACTGCACTCCAGCCAGGTCGAGAGAGCAAGGCTCTGTCTCAATAAATAAATGAATAAATAAATAAGTGGGATAGATGTATACTTTTTAATAAGTCTTCAAAATCACAAGCACACTTTTCTAAGAGTTACATTCATACTCTACATATGGCTCTATGTTCTACTTTTATCACTTTCCCACATGCTTTACTCATATCATTAAACATTCTCCATAAACATCGCTTTCAATGACTATGCTACACCTAGCCCCATGATTGCCATTCAGTTTCTCACAGGAGCTGCCCTGGATAGTGAGACTTGCATTTATGCCAATATGGGGAGTTCATAATCTGACACATCTTCCTGCAATTTGAAAATAATGAATCAAACATAGCAAACATGAAATGACCTCTGGAAGGTTTAGGGGCTGCCATCTAGACTGGAGGCTCAACTTAATCATGACCTTGTTTAAATGAATGGTTAACAGCAAAGTCTCTGGAGCCTGACTGCCTGGACTACAATCCTGGCTGTACCTCTTACCAACTGGGGGATTCTGGACAGGGAACTACCCTGTTTGCGCCTTAGCTTTCCCACCTATAATATGAAGATTTTTTTAAAAATCTCTTTTGTAGAGTTTTTCTGGAGAAAGCATGTAAAGTTTTGGCTTCATGGCCAGAACATAACAAGTGCTCACTAAATGTTGGCCATTACCACATTTTGAGCCCAACTCTAAAGAAATTGAGAATCTAGGGAGGGGAAAAAAAAAGCACAGTGAGAATTCAAAGCCAAAATCTCTGACTTCAGAGCTACTGTTGCCCATGCTATGGGAGAAAAACAGGTGCTGATCCAAGTAGGGAAAGAGTCAGGGTCCAAGAGTCCCCAGTCGGGGTTAGGGAGGCAGTGATGGCTGGTGGAAAGTAGCCACAGAACTGGGGGAGGTTGGGTGGAATGAAGTGTAAATAGTTACATGTCCCTACTCTTTGGTTTGGATAGGAGCCCAGGATTTGAGGCAGAAAGAAAAGAACTCTGACTCTCTGGGTTCTCGAATGTGTCACCTGCCATGAGTGGGGCAAAGGAGGAAGGTGTTGGGCATAAGAGTTTAGATGGATTAGGGAGCAGGAGGAAATGGGGCCCCTGGGAGAGCTGACTTCCATGGAATTCTTTTGGAAATCTATTGATTTATGTTCTGAATTGATGACCTTTGGTATGACCTTGTGGAGATAATTATGAAAAAAGTGAGAGGAGTGGTAATTTGAAGAGGAGCTGGTCCCATTTCTGCTCTTTCATGTATGATCTCCATGAATCTGCCAGTGCTTTTTCCTTTTTCTAGTATTTACCAACTGGTAAACTCCTCTTCGTCCTTAAAGACCTCTTTACTTATTTATCTTCTCTGTCTCTGAATGGCCCAAGCCCACAATTTATTCCTTCAGTACACCCTCTATAATGTTTTAACACAATAATTTATTTTCCTTCCTTTAGCTACTAAACGG